>NC_000002.12:235671436-235974466 GCF_000001405.40 Homo sapiens | reverse complement strand
ACACCAGGATTTCTGCATACCCTCTTGTATAATAAGATTGGGTAAATCCAGTCTGGTCCTGCATTTTTAAAGAAAGATCTTTGCTACACAACTTCTAGATGTTATGAGCCATATAAAAGTCAGTGTCTTTACATGGAATCTGAGAAATATCAAGGAAGCTATTCAGTGTGCCCCACTCCCAGATTCAAAAGCAGCTCCACATACCTCAAAGACTTGCTTTTTGCCTGGTGGAAAGAGTTTGAGGCAGAGAATCAAGAGACAGTTCTGTCACCTACCAGCAACCTGACCCTGGACAAGAAAGCCACTTAACCTCTCTCTACTTCAGCCTTTTCACTGGGGAAACAGGGAAATTAGCACTTAATGCAAACTTGCATGAATGTTATAAAACTAACGAGAACCACCAGGTTCGGGGCCACAGAATGGGACTGCAGAGACCGTTCATTTTAGCAATGACAACCTCACTACTGGACCCGAGATATGAAGATGCCCAGAAAGTACTGTAATTCAAAGACAATGCCAAGAGCTGACAAGCCATTAAAGATCTGCAAAATCCCACTGCCCAGGCGCTTTTCCCTGGCACATACCCTTGAACTTGGACCTGGTTGGGAATCCAGGGCCGTGGTGCAATCACCTTCTAGAGCCCAGGTTCCTCTGCCCTGGTCCAACCCATGCCGACCCCATGCAGGGTCGGGGTCACTCCCTCTCAGGTGGCCCTGGTTCGTAGAGCTTTTTCTAGAGCTTTTAATATCAGAATCAAAATCCACCTCCTTGAGGCTTCCACCCATCAGGTCCCATGGTTACCACCTGGGCCATCCAGGACAAGTTGGGACGCCCTTCTTTGCAAACCTTCCATCAGCTGGTCACAGTCACCATGCCTCATGGCCCTCATCCTCATCACCACCCTTCTCTCTGGTCACTGCACGTTCCCTCCATGCATAGGCTTCAGGCCCTGTCACCATCCTGCCCAGTCACATCTCAATTTCCTTCCATTGGTCTCAATGACCACGCAGCACAGCAGCCCATCTGTGACATAAGAGCCTAGCGACGGGCTCTGTCATCCACACATCTCCTGGTAATCCTCAGAACCCAAAATATACACAAAAAGATAAGGGATTCTCCAGTCACCGTCCCTGCTTCTGTAACTTTCCAGATTCCTCCGATTCATTTTAAATGGTAAACCTAAGAAAATAAATGCTCTCCCTGGGCTGGGGTCTGACACCCTCTGCCATCTGGTGCAGAACAAAGTGGCTGTTCTTCAGCAAAAAGAGCACAGCGAGCACCTGCGCAGGGAGAAACTCCAGGGCAGGAACGGCCCAATTTCCATCGGTCACCCTGACAGCCCCGTGTAGACACAGTGTTTCTGGGTTTGCAGCAGCAGGTACTGATGATTCCTACTATTAGCCTTTACTTTCTGAATAAGTGCGCCACAGAGGTAAGAAACGGCCAGAGTGAGAACCTCTGTGCTTAGCTGGGAGTCTAGGAAGACCTTCTCGCAGGGTCCTTGTCGCACACAGCTGGGGAAGGGCACTGAGGTCTGTTCAGGAAGCCGCGAGGGCTCCCTGGGCCAGGCTAAAGCCAGACCCTGGGGGATGATGGAGGGGAGCACATACCCCTGCCCTCTAGAGCTTCGTTTCCTGTGTTTGTGGACCACCAACAGAGTGGCATGGCACGGGCTTCAGGGGCTTGTAGGAGGTGCTGTGAAAGGCACGAACACTCTACGGCTTCTGTTGGTTTTGTCTTGGTCCTGGGAGCCAACTGTGTGACTGGCATCGTGGGCTCTCAGGGCTTTTGGCCTCTGGTTGGATTTGGCCAAGGAGGGGCCACTGGAGACCAGTGGGAGGGAGAAGAGTGAGGACACCCTCACCTTCCCGGTCACCACAGCCGGACAGGTCTCTTTCTTGAAGGCCACAGCTCCTAGCTGGAAGCTTTCCCAAATAGTTGCCCTCTCCTCACCCCGTTACACCCCGGGTTCTACACCAAACCCACTTTCTCCCCGCATCTCTGCAGACAGGCCCAGGAAGACTCCTCGGCGAACCAGCCGGGGAGCCCCATCCCATTCCAGATTCATCAGCTGAGTTTAATGGATTCTACTGACCAATGGATTCAAAGGACCCTGATAAATTTGCTTACTTCAATGGAATTCTATTTTTCTTATACTCTAAAGAGATTTGAACCTAGTTATTTGTTCCAATAGGGTATATTAAAAACCATAAAATTCAACTACTTTACACAAATCTTCTATAGAAGTTTTATATCTGTAATTCCATCTTTTCAGCACTTGGTCAGGCGATAGAGAATACACTAGTAGTAACCAGTCACAGAGCCTTGCAGGAAAGAGAGGCAGAAATGGTTTTTTATAATAGAATAGTATTCTCAAAACATAAAATATAGGCCGGGTGTGGTGGCTCACGCCTGTAGTCCCAGCACTGGGAGGCTGAGGTGGGAGGATTGCTTGAGCCCAGGAGTTCAAGACCAGCCTGGGCAAAAGAGTGAAACTCCATTTCTACAAAAATACAAAAAATTAGCCAGGTGTCGTGGTGCCTGCCTGTGGTCCCAGCTACTTGGGAGGCTGAGGTGGGAAGATCACTTGAACCTGGGAGTTCGAGGCTGCAGTGAGCCGTGACTGCACCACTACACCCCAGCCTGGGTGACAGAGCGAGGACCTGTCTCAAAAAATACAATAAATAAATAAATAAATAAATAAATAAATAAATAAATAAATAAAATAAAACATATATAACTAGCTTTAGTTTCAAGAACAGATTTTTTTTTTTTTTGAGACGGAGTCTCACTCTGTCGCCCAGGCTGGAGCGCAGTGGCGCCATCCCGGCTCACTGCAAGCTCCACCTCCTGGGTTCACGCCATTCTCCTGCCTCAGCCTCCCAAGTAGCTGGGACCTGCCACCATGCCCAGCTAATTTTTGTATTTTTAGTAGAGACGGGGTTTCATTGTGTTAGCCAGGATGGTCTCGATCTCCTGACCTCGTGATCCGCCCGCCTCAGCCTCCCAAAGTGCTGGGATAACAGGCGTGAGCCACTGTGCCCGGCCAGAACAGAATGTTTAATTTGGGTGTTTTACACAATGTACTTTCAAGGAATTAACAGTAAATAAAACTATCAAAAATATCATATATCACTGAATCTACAATGATATGTTCTGACTTCAGATATGTTACAATTTGGGGGGAAAATGTGGCTTTGAAAAAATGAAATATAGACTTTTTCACAAAAGTGACTCATTTGTAGTCTGATAAGTAACTTTTCCTAGGGAAAAATGATACATTTTCTTTTTATAAATAACTTATGACTTATTTGCTATTGGAAAGATGTCATAGCCGCTGACGTAGAGACCAGACTCTCCTAATTAGAGAGTGAGGTGGCTCCCTTGGAACCTCTGCCTTGGACTTCCAAACACACGTCACCCGCTTACACATCCATGTTTGAGACACCTGTGATTTCCTAATATTGGAGTTTCCATGGTGCCTGAAATCTTTCTGCTGGTGTTACCACCTCAGCAGTAAGACCCTTTAAGGAAAGGGGCCCCCATTTGCTGCTTGGACAGAGCCCGTGTCTCAGCCTGGGTATCCACTATTGCCTCGCACACACATACCATCCCACTCACTCAGCAAGTGGACCTGAAACATCAGGCGTCCAACGTGGTCACGGTCACTTGTCAAACTTCCTTCAAACTCACCGGTGCTGAATGGAACACTGGGTGGTGCCAGCTGCTCCATCAAATGTGCAGAAACGCTACTGATTTATTCACTCATTTACACAGCGGTCAACACGTGGGTGGGATAATGAACGTGTATCTAAGTGGCAACGGTCAGTTCCCACCAGGTTGTGCATAAGAAAAAACCACAGACCTCGGTTGGAAACACACAACAAATGCAAGAAGACGCGTGCCTGTGAAAGTGAGAACAAGGCCTGTCCTTAAAGGGAATCTGGCGCCCGCCCCTGTGTGTGCACCTTAGGGGCGTGGAGGGTACAGGCTGCCCACCCTGGGGGAGGCTAACCTTCTTCCCAATCAGGGAGGGGTGGCTGCACGTGCTTGGCAGGGTGATTTTTGCCCAACGGTTGTCTGAAGGAGTCTTACCAACACAGAGCGCCTGCGGCTGATACTGTTTTCAGTGGGAAGGTCAGTGGCATCTGTGGCTGCTCTGACCCATAACCATTATTTTCCACCATCGCTGACTTAATGGGATTATCCTCACTCCCCACAACATGAGAAAAATCGTCTTTTTTTTTTTTTTTTTTTTTTAAAGACAGAGTCTCACTCTGTCGCCCGCCCAGGCTGGAGTGCAGTGGCATGGTCTCGGTTCACTGCAACCTCCACCTCCTGGGTTCAATCAATGCTCCTGCCTCAGCCTCTCAGGTAGCTGGGATTACAGGCATGTGCCACCACATCCAGCTAATTTTTGTATTTTTAGTAGAGACAGAGTTTCATCATGTTGGCCAGGCTGGTCTCAAACTCCTGACGTCAGGTGATCTTCCTGCCTTGGCCTCCCAAAGTGCTGGGATTACAGGCGTGAGCCACCGTGCCCGACGAAAAATCAGTTTTTATTGGCTAAATATGTTAGCAGGAAGCTTACAGGAGGCAAAACAGGAAGAAACGTGGTGAAGGAGAAAGGCTTCTAACCCTTCTGCGGAGGCTGGCGGGCTACTCAGAGCTCCGAACTTCAGCTTCCTGATGATGAAAGAAATGATGCTCCCTGCCTCCGGTGTTATGGAAACACACAGCACACCCCACACTCTGCCCCTTCCCTGCTAACACACGCACCGTGGGTTTGCGTGCTCCGCTCTGGATATGTGGACGGGATGGGCCACTCCCTCTAATGTAGCCACTGTCTGACAGCTCGCAGGTTTGAACCCTCGATCAAGTAGAGTATCTGGAAAAAGCATGGCAGCCATAGAGAAAGAGAAAGGATGGAAGCCATAAATGTTGCCCCTGGGCATGAGACCCTCACTGAAGACACGCTTTTACCATGTCGGTCTCACAGGTAACCACACTCTCTCACCATTGTCGGTCTCACAGGTAATAATTCATGTTCTAACAACAAGGTTCTCAAACTTTAATTTTTCCTTTTAAGTATTCCTTTGTTACAACTGCATTAATTTTACCTCTCATAATGTGGGGGGTGTGTGTGTATGTGTGTGTGTACGCATGCGCTTACCTATCTCTACTTGCATCTATGAATTAAAAAAAAAAAGGGAATTCATTTGAAGGAGCCACTTCAGGAAGCTGACATCCAGCCATCAGTGGCAATAAAAACTAAGGAAGCACTCAGGTGAAAGGAGACTCACAATGAGCTGTGACAACTGGAATATTAATAGAGCCCACATACCAGAAAGAGCTGATGGACATTAACAGAAGAAGTGTTTATCATAACACGTTGCTAAAAGCTGAAATCAAGGCAGGTGTCTGGTTAGTTAAGAGTAACCAATATCAGAGATGATTCCTAAACTAGAAGTGGGCACTGTCCCCAGCAGAGTCACGCAGCATGGCCCACCTTGGCTGGAGAGGACACTCGCCCAGGCTGCCAGGGTGGGGCGAGACCTCAGAACTGGATCAGGCTGGTGGCTGGGAGACCAGCACTCCTACCCGCTACCAGCGACGGCGGCCAAGAGTGATGACAGCAGATTTGGTTGCGTAATATGAGAATCAGACAGTGATGAAAAGGTCCCAAGGGCCCTCTCGTGCCACCTTGCAAACAGAAAGCACATACGGTGACCAGCATTACTGTGCATTTGTTGTGCTAAGGGTGTCTAATTTCACGCATTTGAAAAATAACAGAGAATTTTCCGCAGTGGAGACTCTCTCCCGGGGCACCGCGGAACCCTTACCTTCAGCAGTGCCGGACAGGCCGTCGGCTTTGAAGTTGCTAGTGCTTTTCTTCCTTCGGTGCTTCTTTCTGTTGGCGTGAGGGGAGGGGGGCGGGTCGAGCTTGGGGCTGGTGGTGCTGGAGATACTGGGGCTGGAGCATACGGAGTCACCCAGCCCTGTGTCTGCCATTGGACCGGAAAAGGCAAAAAAAAAAAAAAAAATGCAGAGTGAGCACTTACAAAGCAGAATGCGCAGAAACAGCACAGCCACGCTCCTCTCATACCACACAGGCCCTGCAAATAACATCCCATTACTGTATTGCTGAGTTGGAGGCCTAGAGCCTCTGGTATGAGATGGGCTCAGTCCCCCTTGCTCTACTGTGCCTCCCGCTATTAAAACACAAGCATTTCTTTTTCTATCAGCAGCATGCTATGGATGCATTCTCCTTCTCTCCTCTGCATGACTGGAGCTCTGCAAAAGGAAAGGGGTGAGTTTATGCTTTTTAGTTATCTTTCTCTTCTTAAAATTACCTTGATATATTAGAAATGAAAACGATGCATTTAAGAATACATTTGGAAATATCATCTTAAGTGGGTTTGACTCCTGTGGGTGCACAGGATAAGGGATTCCTGATCCTTTCTTCCGGCCTCAATATTACAGATGACTATAACTTCATCTTGTTTTATTATCAGTGAAAAATTCTATGCCATTTTTTTCTCTCTCTCACCAATGTCCAGTGACAGTGTTTGGAAGTCGATATAGTAGGCCTGCCAATTTTTGATTCATTGAAGCTACTTAGAACAGTTTCAAAACCAGTGCACACGTGATTATTCACTATAAGTGAAACTCTCAATGTATTATGTCCATTTGTATCTTTATCAAAGAGAAGGCCAAAGCGGTACTACATGACCAGAACGCGCATATAATTCAAGCCGGGTGGAAAAAAGCCCACTGAAAACGTGCAGGAAAAACAGGTGGTGCATGCCTACGGCGTCTTGAAAAGTTTTTATTTCACGATTCAGCATCTTTAAGTCCAAAGTCAGAGTTCTGTACAGCACACCGCACTCATTCAGCTGGTATTTTTTGAGCACTGACTGTGAGCCAGCGGCTTTTCAAGATGCTTGGCAGCCATCATTGATCGAGGAGAAACAGATAAACATTCCTGCCCCAATGGGGACTCTGTAAAGTGGAGTGGCAGTGACATGGCAGCCGGGCCAGAACCTGGAGTCCATCAGAAGCTGGTAAGAGTTATGGGAAAGACCGAATAGGAACGCGGGGCATCAAGGCTGGGAGGCTGGGGAGAGGCGGCAGTGATGGGGGGTGTCATTTAAAATAGGGTAGCTGGGGTAGGTCTCGCTGAGCACGGGACACTGAATCAAGACTTGAAAATGGCAGAGGAGTGAGAAGGTAATGAGAGCAGAGAAACAGTCAGAGCCTGGCTCCAAGGAGGGAGCCTGGTGTGTTCCAGAAACGGAGAGGGGGCCCGAGTGGCGGTGGCCGGTGTGGGTGGGAGAGGCCTGCGGAAGGTGGCACTGGAGAGGAGGGGGCTTGCGGGCCACCGTGAGGACCCTCGCCTGTGCTTTGGGGGGAATGGGGAGCCATGCAGGGTTCTGAGCAGAACAGTGACATGATTTCAAATACAAAGATAATGGAAATCAAAATGAATTGAAAATATTTTTATTTTGTGAAGTTCTAGGAAATTTTATCATATGTTGAGAAATGTACAAACACACAATTTAAGGTATCTGAGAAATACATACGGTCCCAAGAACACCCTGATGTACGTTCCTGGCCGCCCTAAGGCAGAGACCCCTCGCCCCTCTCTGCACAGTCGGAAGCGTCACCCTTCATTGCATGCACCCTTTACACATGGAAGAAGAGGGCTGTGGGGAGCTCCTCCTGCGAAGAGGGTGAAGGGCCACCCCAGGGCTCCTGCAGGGCAGCCCAGGCAGCACTGGACACCATGAGACACCTGAGACTGTGTCAACCATGTGCACTCCTTGTGGGTGGTCACTCACTCACAAAAGGCGGAAGTTCCCTTCACCACTTTAAGGAGTTGCGAGAAATGTGGCAATTCGGTGTCTCAGCAACTTTCCCTCTACCAGGCAGGAGGTGCTTCCTATGGACGCACATCCTTAGATGCAGAGGCACACGGACAGGTCACTGTCCCCTGGTGGTAGGTGAGAGGTAACATCAATGGCAGAAATCTGGCTGTCAGCTTCCTGGGGTGCCTCTGTTGTGACTCCACCATCACGGCTCCTCTACTGGCCTTCTCGCCCTCTCCTCCATCCTTAGAGGAACAGGCTCCCCTCTCTCCATCCCCAGAGGAACAGGCCCCCCTCTTCTCCATCCCCAGAGGAACAGGCCCCCCTCTCCTCCATCCCCAGAGGAACGGACTCCCCTCTCTCCATCCCTAGAGAAATGGGCTCCCCTCTCCTCCATCCTTAGAGGAACAGACTCCCCTCTCCTCCATCCCCAGAGGAACGAGCTCCCCTCTCCTCCATCCCCAGAGGAAAGGGCTCCCCTCTCCTCCATCCCCAGAGGAACGGGCTCCCCTCTCCTCCATCCCCAGAGGAACGGGCTCCCCTCTCCTCCATCCCCAGAGGAAAAGGCTCCCCTCTCCTCCATCCCCAGAGGAAAGGGCTCCCTCTCTCCATCCCCAGAGGAACGGACTCCCCTCTCTCCATCCCTAGAGGAATGGGCTCCCCTCTCTTGCTAAATGAACATTC
Organism: Homo sapiens; assembly: GCF_000001405.40. NCBI lineage: Eukaryota > Metazoa > Chordata > Mammalia > Primates > Hominidae > Homo > Homo sapiens. Next base: position 235,965,914 of record NC_000002.12, on the reverse strand, counting down.
CTAGCTTGTCCTGGTCCCATCTTTCATCCTCAGGTGTCTTGGCCAGGTCACTTCCACTCATTCCTCCCTCTCCACTGCGTCACTTCTGTCCTCAGAGGTCCCAAGATCTTTCATGCCCACTTTCCTAAACCCCATTATTCCTTAAAGGGTTATTTCCTTAACCCTTGAAGCCACAGTCTCAACAGCAAACACTCATCCAAAGTTACTACCCAACAGGGGCTATTCCAGGCTCTACCTTCAGCAATGCGTTCAGGACTCTTAAGCAATCCGCTGAGGCACGTGGTATCCCTACCACCTCCACTTTACAGATTAGAAAACCAAGGCACAGGGGAAGGTTAAGTAACTTGCTGAAGTCACAGAGCTCGGTCAGGTCTGCTCAAAACCGCTGCAGACCTCTCCAGACAAGGTTCCTATCCAGATAGAGGGTTTAAATCCACTGTGTTTCTTCCTGACTCCTTGAAGTCTGGCTTCCTTCACCATTGCTTCTTCAAAACGGCACACTGTTTCACTGTGCCTTCCTTCGCCCCCGTAAGACTTCCTTTCCCTTATCATGCTAACTGTGCTGGCCCAAGATGCCATGTTTTCCTGCCTCTCCTCCCTACGTCCACAGGGGCATTCTCCATGTGCATGACACCAACACCAGTTCCAGGCTTGGCTCTACCTGACCCTCTCTTCCCGGCAGCCGGCTCCCAAGAAACAGCACTCACTCTGACCTTTGCATTCCGGGCAGCTTTCTCTGCTATCACCTTGGGCTTCACCCTTGAAACTGCCACTTCCCTGCCACTTCTGCCCAACACTTGCTTTCCACGGTGGACATCTGGTAAACCTCCTTGGTTAACTGTACCCGAGGTGTAGCCAGCAGTCCTGAGACCCCCTGAGCCTGCACTATGACAGTTTGGTTGTGGTGGAACTGCAGAGGTGGGAGCGGGCAGGTTTAAATAAGACACTTCCCTTGCCTTGAGCAGCCTGGGACCTCGAGCTCAGCCTGTTTTCACAAAGCCGCTCCATGACTGCCTGCTCTCCATTTAAGCACCACGTACCCCTGGTCCAGTTCTTACCTTACCCCCAAGCCTAGACTGTGCGGCCAGCTCCACGAGGTCCTTCTCCTCCCAGACTTTCACCTTTTAAGCTGTCCCATGATTTTACAATACTGATATTTCTAAAGTAGTGGTTCTTATATGTATTTCTGAAATACTAGATTCCACTGAATATCAGATAAAAGCTATAGATATCTTGGAAAAAAAAGGGCGAGCCTAATTAATTTTTATTTATGATTTAACAGTGTTCAGAAGCCTCATAACGTTCAGGGGGTGGGGCATCCAGAGACCCCAAGATCATTACCTGATTCTAAAGCAACCCTTCTCTGTGTTATTCAATGCTCAAACCAGGCAGGCAATCTTTTTGCTCATTTTAAATATTTTCTGCCCAGGGTTCCCAAGTCTTTACCATCCCATCCTCTCTATTCAGTGTTAGGAGCCCACTTTGCCAGGTATGGTGCCAGGCCATGGGAAACAATGGTCACTGTGACTGTCTTTGCCCTCAGAGAGCTCAACCCTAGTCCTGCAGGGAGATAAGCAGAACAGGCAAACGCAACTCTCCTCGGCTGCCAGGGGCCGCTATTAAGTAATATTATTATATTAAAATCATATTATTTTACTCTGTCCCTTGGGTGTCCTCTCATTTCGACAGGCCATGTTCATCCCCAACTGTGCGTCCTTCCCTCTGTCACTCTGTGTTTGTAACACTCTCTCCCAAACTAACATTTCTCATCTCTACACTCCCACGGAGCCCACAGTTAGGACCTTCTGCACGAGGCTGCCAGTCGCTTATCTCAATCTAACTAGCATGCCTGTGCCCAGGGCAACCACCAGTGCTCGCCTCCCCTGTGGTGACTTGTGCAATGCTGAGCCTACAGTAGGTGCATTATATCATAAACTCTCTTCCGTTATCCAGCGGTTGTTTTTATGAGTGTACACCGCTATTTCGAAGACACTCAGAACACACACATTAGCTATGCCGTCCACACGACAGGCTTCCACAGGGGCGTGGTAGGTCTACCGCTAGGCTCTCTATTCCAGGCCACCACTCTATGTCTCTGTGTTCTAAGCCTATGTGTTGTTACTCTTCACTATCGCCTTAGTTATGCTTGACCGTTCTGAGCATATACTCCCATATATCCATCCACATCAATGAAAAAGATGGTGAACAGGGTGGAGTCAAGATAGAGCTTCCCACCTTAACATGCACCATCCGCTCCTGGAAGATTCTAAGAGTGACCACTGAGCCTAGATAAATTACACTGTCTTTGTGTTCAGCTCACATATCTTTCAACTTGCCTATGAGGAAACCAAGGAAAAATCTTGTCAAATACTCTGCTGAGGGCTATATGGTACCCAACTCACACGTATTTTTGACAACTGAAAACGATAAAGGGCCATCTATTTGATGTCTATTCATTCTCTTTAATAAACTACCTCTGTTCAAATACATCTGTTTCCTTTTCTATGTGCACACAAAGCAGCCCTTTAACAACTGAATTCAGAATCCCACCTGGTTGTGACCTGACTCACTGGCATCTAGCTCAGAATTCACGTTTCTGGAAATCAAAATGGCACGTCTGTTTCTAGGCCCCTTCCCACTTTTAGCTGTAGAAAACTTTTTGCAAAACAGTTGACAGGGACAGGGCCCTCTCATTTCTAAGCTTTCTCCATATCTTGCAATATTTATAATTCTCTTGGTGAGTCCGAGAAATCCCGGACTCACCTGGAGGAAGCAGCTAAGTGGCAGTCTTGGGAAGGAGACAGCACTTGGAAATACCACCACCCACCTTCCTCTAAGAGACCACCACAGCCAACCCATCAGCATTTCCTCCACATCCACGTTTTCCTTTTGTGTCCTTCCACACGAGCACTTCTAGCCCCATGGGACTCTGGATTCCCACAGATCCACCGGTTCTCCAGGAACCCCCACCCAGGACCTCTGGCAATGGCTGGAGACGTTTCTGGGTATCAAACTGGGTGGAGTGGAGGTGCTACAGGCATCAGATGGTAGAAGCCAGAGGTGCTGAAAAATGCCCTACAATGCACAGGACAGCCCCTGCCACAAAGAACAGTCTCAAATACCTAAAATATCAATAGCGAGAAACCCCATGGAATTTCAACCAGAGCTTCTAGTTTTCAACCTCTCGCACACACCTCCTTTGGAATTTTGGTCTGTCTGCATCTCAGCCTCCTGGGTGTCCTCTCCAGCACCCTGGCCTCTGTGCCACTCCACCCTCATGAATCTCTTCTGCCCTGGACCTCAGACACCCTCTCTCATGGTCTCACCCAGGCTTGCTACCAGCAAGAACCACAGTTTCTAGGGTCTAACTGCCACCCCCACCCCTGCCTCCCCAGCTCACTAGGCCTTCACTCCCGTGGCTCCTCTATGCCCTGAGTTCCATGCCATCTGACGTCCAACCCGCTCACATCCCACGGTTTTTCTTATACAGCCGGGCAGCATCGCACACGACTTGAAACTCACCCTTGTAAGTTTCCCTTCTCCCACCATCTCTCCTGAGTAGGAAGCCCCAACTTCACTGACTTCCAGCCCTCCACCTGCTCAGCACCGTCATGGGCCAGGGCTGGGAGAGGGTGGTGCCATGCACACCGGCCTCCTCTGTGTGGTCAGTGTACCCCTCAGTGGCCTCTGGCCTGCCCTTCAATCCTACCTCACTTCTGTAGTAACCCACTTCCCACTCTCCAAGGGGCTATTTCAAAGCTTCTCCTCCCGCTTCAAACACCCCACGCCCCACACCATCCTCACGATGACCTCACTTTTCACTTCACTGAAACAAAACAAAACAAAACAAAACAAAACAAAACAAAACCAAAAACCAAAAGCATCCATCAGAAGAGGACACCCTCCACCCCGCCCTGCCCCAGCCTGTCCCCAGCAGTCTCCATGGGCGCGGGGCCCCTCCCCTGGGAAATGGATGCTCACCCACCCTCGCTCACCCAGCACCCGGCACTAAACATGAGCTGTCATCTCACTTTTTTGTGCGTGTGTGTGACGAAGTCTTGCTCTGTCACCAGGCTGTAGTGCAGTGGCGTGATCTCGGCTCACTGCCACCTCTGCCTCCTGGGTTCAAGAGATTCTCCTGCACCACGCCCAGCTAATTTTCGTATTTTTAGTAGAGACGGGTTTCAACATGTTGGCCAGGATGGTCTCGATCTCTTGACCTCATGATCCATCCGCCTTGGCCTCCCAAAGTGCTGGGATTATAGGCATGAGCCACCACGCCCGGCCCTGTCATCTCACATTTTTAACACAACTCTCCCTTGGCCGCACACCTCCACCCTGGACATTTGACTCCTGCCCTTCTTTAAAGCACAACTCCCTAGGGCCTGTCCCTCTGCACTGCTGTCCACGGCTGGCCTCACTCCAGTCCCGCTCACATCCCACCAACCACTGGTGTGTCCTTGCTGGGGCCGGCGGCACCCTGCAGGTGCTGCATCAGTGGACAAGGCTCAAAGCAGTCACACCAGTCTCAGCAGCATCCACACAGCTCATCCCTGCCGCCTTAGACGGGGAGCCGTGTGGAGGGGTTCTGCTAGGCAGGCAGAAGGGACACCAGGAAGTTTTAGACTCCAGGAGCCAAAGGAGGAAGCCCCAAGAGAGGCCTTCCCCAAGCTGGCCACTGGCGCATCCAGCCCCTCCCGGCCCCCTGTGCTCCGTGGCTCTCTCCACATGGGGACATGACATGCTCCATGCGTGTTTCTTTGTTTACGGAACATCTTCCCTATGAGCGCTCGAGCTTCAGGAAGGCAGGCCTTCGCTCATCCTCTTCACCAGCACACATCCTTCCTGAAACAGATTCAGGATGAGTAATGGGGTTCGATACGTAATAAAGTTTTATGAAAGAACTAACCTCTGTGTGACAGACACTTGCGCGGGTGGATGGAACGGACCACTTTCTGGTGTATCACACAGCAGTGTATCAATTTCGCGACTTAGTTTTAAAACCAGCCACAAGCACGCTTTTGTGCCAAACCACTGTCCTATGAGTTTCCAACCATTTGGAATCTATTTTTAGGCGAACGACTGAGTCCATGAGTGAAGTCTATTGACACAGAGAAAGCATCTCCCTGTTGAGTGTCCCCACGCACCAAGCGTGCCCTAGGAGCTGGCCGCTGTCAGAGAATAAAGGGCAAGACCCCTGTCCCACGGGGCTGATTTCTAGAGTGAAGAGAATGCCTATCAAATTTCTTGCTTGATGCCTTCCATAAAAGACGATTTTTCTTGGGCCCTGCTACCTGAACAAAGAAGGAAGAGGGGAATCGCATCTCCAGTAAGCACGCCGATAGCAGGGGCCACAGGTGCAGGGAGAAGTGAGGTACGGAAGAGTCCGCACGCCCACCTGCACTGGACCGAGCATACCCAGGCCACCTCCAGCCACCCCAGAGAATGGGACCAACAGGGAGATGAAGGTGTCATTGCACCGGGAGAAAGCCCAGGAGAGGGCTGGGGAGACAGAGAACAGAAAAATGTGAGCCTTGTCCTGGCCACTGCGGGGAGAAGGAGGCAAGCTTTTCAGAGGACACAGGGTTGTCATGGGATAAAAACAACTGCAATCTCAAGAATGGAAACAGAAAGCCAGGCCAGCATTCATGAGCTCCTTGCAGTCGTCCTCAGGAGGCTATGACTCGAGTAACTGACGTGTGCAAAGCACCTGTGATCCTGGAAGCAGCACCAGCCCACGCTCTGATCTGCTGCTTACAGGGCCGAGGTCCTCCAGGGTGGGTCCGCAAGCACCCTCCCCGCCCCCATTTGGAGGCATGGAGTTGAGGCAGTGACTTTCCAGGCCATGCTGCAGGCAGGGCAGGGTGCGTCTCTGCCCACTGCGTTCTCCTGCCACGGCAATGCTCCAACACTCCATAGCCCAGGCCCTGGACATTTTACTCCAACTTTCTTGCTGGAAGGAGACAACCAGTGGCGCCTGACCACTCAGAGGTGGGGTGTCTACGGTGGCCCAAAAGGGAGGCACTCAAGCCCTTAGAGAAGCCACATGCTCTGGGCTGGGGCGGGTGGGAGCAGGTTTGGCAGGAGCGGACAGGCAGCCAGTGGGGAAAGTGGCACAGCTTTGACAGGAGGAAGCTCTGGTGCTAGTTCCAGATGCTTGCCTGTGGGAGGGCCCGGCTGCAGCAGCAGGGGAACCGGCTACACGAGGGAGTGGCCATCATGGTGCTGAGAAGGTGATGGCGGGGTGAATTAGGATGTGAATTGAGGGGGGCCGTGGCAGGAGACAGAAGTCGGGCAGGAAGTGTCACCTGGGACTCAAGACCAGTGAGGAGCGACCAGAGAGGACCCACCTGGAGGCCAGGCCCTGACCTCTCCTGGGCTGGGTGTTCTCATGGCAAGAAGGACCGGGTTCCCGTCCACTGGGCGCTGAGCTCGGCCACGGGAATATGAATGCCCCTGGCTTCTAGGTGTCGAGAGCTCGCTTTCAAGGAGTTGTTTAACATTCCCCTGGTTTAAAATATGAGCAATCACAACGCACTAGGCTTCCACGCTGTGCTTTTCCATTCCAACTACTCCCCTCGCCTGACAAGGTATTCCTCAAATTGAAGAGGCCCCGAAAGCCCCGCCTGAGACACTGTAAATGAGCTCCAGCCGGCCCACGGAGCGCCATCCGCTCCTCCTGGCTGCATACAAAGAATGCATTTTATTTTGTATCAATTACCGGGCACCGGGACAGACGACTACTGTCGACGGCGTTAAGTATGGGAGGGGAGAGGCTAAGAGAAAAAAGCCATGCCAAATTAAAAAAGCGAGCGCCTCATTACTCCACATCTAAACCGGCTCTGACGGAGGGACTGGGGTCCCGAGCTGCGCGGCGCTGAGCCGGGATGGGCCGGCACCATCCCGCACATTCAATGTCAGCCATTAGTTCTTCCCAATCGGGCATCAATGTTCAACGCACACCCCAAAAAATATATAATACGAGCAATAATGATCACAATCTGCAGTCTCTCCGAGCTTCGGAACGTGAAGTATGAGTCAAAGAAGCAGTTTCACTTTTCACTCGGAGAGCTGACAAGCATGACTAGAGGGGGAATAAAATAACATTCCGTCCGCATAAATATCAAGCAGCCTGCTTGAGACTGATGGGCCAGGAATGTATTCTTAGCTATCATTCCGGCAGACAGGCCCAAGGACACTCATAACTTATTTTACAATCATTTAGTTTCAGCTCAAGTGGAAAACGTGACAACTTATCTCTGCTGACAAGATGCCATATCGAACCTTACAATTAACTCTCCTCCGATTATCTGCCCAGCCGATCATTAGCTGGGCAATTTTTGATGAACCATTGCAGGGAGCTCGCCTTGGTGAGGGTCCTCGCCAGGTGTGCTGATAGGTTTTTGATATCCCGGGTGATATTCAAGAGATGAGTCTCTGTGCTTGTGATTCTCATATCCCTCGCGCTCCCGAGGGTCTCTAAATGTGTCCGCTGGGGGAGGTGCTGGGCGTAGGTGCACTTGATCTCTGCAAGCCTCCCTGCTGCAAGGACTCCCGCTGTTACTGCTGCCGTTAGCAGGGCCCTAATCCTCTCCCGGGTCAGATCTTCCCTGACCCTGGAGCCTGGATTTCAGGGAGTACAGGGCCCTCCAGAAACACCTCCAACCACTCTCCCTCAGGGGACGTAGTTTGATGAGGGGCACGCCACGAATTTGCTAGGAGCAGGCAACACTCACTCTGGGAGAGCTGCAATGGTTCCCGAAGGGTTGGCTGTTCATTTTCTACATGTTGATTAAAGATACAAAATGCTTTAAAACATGTTCATAAGAAGCATGCATCTATATGGAAAAAAAGGAAAAGAAAGACAAAAGAAAAGAGAGAGGAAAATGCTAAGCACGTATGTATCGGCCCCCTGCCCCTGCTGACTTCCACCCACACCTTAATTTACCTATTTGGCAGTGTCAGGTACATGACTAAAAATCCTTTTTTGCTTGGTATTAAAATAATTTAAAATTATCAAAGACAGGCCCATTTGTAGGTGCCAGGAGAGGAAATCAGTTGAGGGCTGAAGCCCCCTGTGAACTCAAGATGAAGTCGTTGTAGGAACTCGTAAATTAAAACGCACTTCCTTTGATACACGGCCAACGATATAAAGCTAATTTGGATCTTTAATAAGGGCTCTGTTCTTTCTGAAGCTTACAGAGATGTGTAGGCCGGTAAATAAAGAACAGGCCACCTTTGCCATCCAAGGAAATCACAACATCCTGGGTCTCTGTTAAAAGGTGAGTGTGAAGTGAGGTTCAAAACCTCACCCCTTCGCATAGTCCTTTTGACGGGAGCTTTCAGCGGGAGGAGGTTGACTTGAATTCCCCATCTCTGAAGATGTTTCAGAGACTGGCATTATTGTCCCTTTCCCTTTGCCGCTCACACAGAGGTACACAATGTCAGAGGGGCAGCGGGGACACGGCAGGGGGCCCAGGAAGATGACAGGTGTTGGCGAAAGGAAAAGACAACACAGTGTTAGACTGAGTTATAAAAACGGGGAGGAAAGGAATACAATAGGAGGAGCCAGAACCAAGAGAACACACAGGAGAGAAGAATTGCCTACTTGGGCCATTTTCAATTACGCCCAGAGATCTCTCTAAATTAAGCCTAGTCAGTAGGAATTTAGGAAATTTGATCTTCCATTGAGATGAGGACCTTGATTACTGAAATATGTTTATAAAGCCTTACAAAGAAAAAAGTACATATTCTGACCACCAATTCAAGAACAGAGTTTCCTTTTTGAGACGATGAAAATGTTCTGAGATTGACTGTGGTGATGGTTGCAGGTATCTGTGAGATACTAAAAACTACTGCATTGCACCTGTTAAATGGGAGAAGTGTGTTATGTGATTTTTATCTGAATAAAGCTGTTTAAAAAAAATGGGAGAGGTCGTTGTATTAAATGCTACAAAGCAATTAAATAAGGAAGATTTTAAAACGTCCACTATACGGTCTAGTGAGACGGGGGAGAGGGTCAGAGGGGACAGGAGGGTGGCTGGGTTCCCCCAGAAACTGAAGCTAAAGGCCATCATGAGACTTGGGCCATGAGCTGAGTCTGGATGAACAAATGGACGTGGCTGTCTGGCCTCCAGCCACCTACCAGGATCTGGCTCTACACAGCTGACCCACAGGAGGTCCCAGTCTTGAGCTGCTCATGGGGCCCTACCCTGAAGGGGTGTCCCCCAGCCTCCTCCTGACCACAGGTGGGACAGCCCTGGGCTTCTCAAGCTTCTCTGTGTTCTCGCCTCCCAGGTCATACTCCTCTGCTCTCTCCTCTTGGTTCCTGTCACTTTCTTTGCACCCCATCCGTTTCCTGGTATCTCTCCTTTCTTGTCCACTACAACAGTTTTTTTTTTTCATGCCAGAGGGCCAGCTGGTGCCGAATGGCATCATCCAGTTTGAAGGGATGACAGAAGGAACACAGAGTGGCCAAGTGAGGCAGAAAGCCTGGGGAAGCCGTGGGGAGTGTGACAGAAGGGAGCATGCTTGGGAATGCAATGCATATCAGGAATTTATAGTTAAGGCTCAAAAATCAAATTGTTCTCTAGCTGATTTTTAGCTGAATGCAAGCAGCACAAAGTTTAAATTAATACGGTGAACTCCGATAAATGGGAAGGCACGATGCGCAGCGCTGTTAGGTGGAAATGAAATCATTTTGAGAGATTCCCGCTTCTCCCCAGCCTCTTCCCTTTTTACATAATCAGCCACTACCATTTCTCAAGTTGGGTGCTCAGATCTGCTAAATTGAAAAGAGATTCTGTTTCACGTGTGAGGGTGAGCAGGCTGGGGAGAGACTGAATGCGTCTTGCAGAAAACTCAATTAAATCAGGAAGGTAATTAGATGTAGGAGCCCTCTTTGATCACATACATTTCTCATCTTTAGAAACTTAGCTGTTTCTATGAAAAGTCACATGCAGTCAAATGACCCACTGCTGCACAGGAAAGTGTCCTATCTGAGTGGGGAAGGTGGGCTCCTTAGGCCAGTACAGCGAGGGGCTTTGTCCAGGGTCCTGAATGCACCTGGCCACTTCACTCCGCTCAAGGTACAGCAATACACCAAACTCAGGCCGCTGCTTCGAAGTACATCCCTGCTCTTATCTACTGACATTATGTGGTTAGAAAAAGTGTGTTGGTGTCCTCAGCTATGGGAAAACCTGATATGCAGAAGCCCAGCCTTAAAAAAGAGGCAATTTGGTTGTGAGATATCATCCCATGGGTTGAGTGTTATATGTCATAGAAGATAAGTAATAGGATTCTTTTCTTCTTTAACATCATAAAGAGCAGAATATGCTTTGGTTTGCTTAGTCAGTTCCCAGCTGCTTAGAAGGATTCCAAATTTATGACCATAAATCAGTACTTCTGTGTGTTTTCAGTAATTAGGATTATGACTTTGGGGCAGCTTTTGAGACACAGGCTCATGAACATGAGCATTCGTGGGGCTCTGGATACATGCTGCTGAGCCGAAGTTCTGTGCTGCTCCCACCAACGGTGTGTAAGGATGTCCAAGCTGTGTGTCGCTGGAGCCGACATGCCTGTTACACTTCAGCTCCCACCCTGCCCACGTGCTGATGGAGAGGTCCCCGCTCCTCAGGATGGCCCGCACCCAGGGTACAAGAAGGAAGCAGATGGAGGTCAGGGAGAAAACTGCACAGTGCTCCATGAACTGGAACCGCACAGACTCGAAGGCAGCTCCAGCCCCAGCCTAGCCACCTGGCCACGTGACCCTGGGCATGTCATTTCTTTTAGCCTCAATTTCTTCACACAGGAAATGAACAAAATAGCACCCCTGAACCTCTACCCTCAACCGGCCTCACCCTACTCTTGCTCTCTTCTCCATCTTGGTCAACTAAGATGGCCAAGAGCCAGTTAAAGACTGACTAAGGCAACTCTACCCTCCACGCCAAACCAAGGGGAGGCAGTGCCATGTGGCCCATCTACCATGTGCTTGGTGTGGGGCTAGACAACATCCAGACACATGGAGGGACAGAGAGACCCATGCCCTGGTCAGGCTGTCTCCTAGGAGCTGCGATAATAGCAGTAAATAAACAAAGCTCCTGCCCTAAAGAGCTTAGGTTCCAGCAAACGGAGAGAGTTAATAAGCATATATATGTGTGCATATTGACCACGAGGAGGGATGACAAGGGCTGTGGACAAACCTGAAGGACTCACAAGGGGTTGGCAGGTAGAGGCGGGGTGTGGAGGCTGCTGGTGTGCTGAAGCTCCCCTTGTTCCTAAAGAACGTGCAAACATGGCTGTCGAGGGCCCCCAGCTTTTCCAGACAATTATCATTCACACAGTTAAAACGCAGGACCTCAACACAGAACCGTAACATACGAGATGCAAGTCACTTCCGCCAAAAGATGAGGCATTGTAAGGAGAAAGTTAGAGAACGATGAGAGAGGATGTTGGGAAATACAGTTAGACCTGCCACAATGAAAGCTGCACAAACCACCGTGCCTATGAGCAGCGCTTGGAGGGCTGAAGCCTGCCCTTCAGTGGCACAGGAGGCAGCCTCTCTTCCCAGCTCCCTTGGACACTGCACCCCTTTCATGGCCCTTAGTGTGCTATGATTGCTTCTGTGGATGTCTCCTTTATGTGGCTGTGTCCCTCTGATTTTTTTTTTTTTTTTTGGAGGCAGAGTTTCACTCTTATCACACACACTGGGTGCAATGGCGTGACCTCGGCTCACCGCAACTTCTGCCTCCCGGGTTCAAGCGATTCTCCTGCCTCAGCCTCCCGAGTAGCTGGGATTACAGGCATGTGCCACCACGCCTGGCTAATTTTGTATTTTTAGTAGAGAATAGAAGAAACAAGGTTTCTCCATGTTGGTCAGGCTGGTCTCAAACTCCTGACCTCAGGTGATCTGCCTGCCTCAGCCTCCCAAAATGTTGGCATTACAGGCATAAGCCACTGTGCCTGGCCTGATTTTTAAAAGTACATTTTCTTTTTCAGACAATGTCTCACCCTCACCAGGCTGGAGTGCAGTGGCATGATCAAAGCTCACTGCAGCCTTGAACTCCTGGGGCTCCAGCGATCCTCCTGCCTCAGCCTCCCAAGGAGCGTGGACCACAGGTATGACCCACCATGCCCTGATAATTTCTTTGTAGAGATGGGGTCTCACTATACCTCCCAGGCTGGTCTCAAACTCCTAGCTTGAGTGATCCTTCTGCTTTGGCCTCCCAAAGCACTGAGATTACAGGCGTGGAAAAAATTTTCTTTACAGATGCTCAGTGGCCAGCAAGCACCATGCACAAAATAGGTGCTCCGTAATCAAGTCTGTCAAGACAGGGAGTTGCCAAGTAAGACCACTGCAGCACAAAGAACAAACAAAATTTGAGTAATGTCTTTGAAATGCTGGAGGGAAAAAAATGCAGTATACTTCTAATTGCCTATTTAAGGCTTAGGAGTGTTGAATATTATTTAAATACCAGCTAACAAATCTGTATGAAATATCCTTGCAGTCTGAACATTTTGGAGAATAAAAAATTAACATCTTATAACGATAAATTACGTTTTCTTTTCCCTTGGCCATCACATGTAACCTTTTGTTATGTTAGAAGGCAACTGTGGGAACCATCGGGGTACTTTTTTGGGGGTTAAATCAAATGCTAATTTGCAAAATTCATTCCCCCTTATCTGTCCTCATAGAAATATTTTGTAAACACCTAAAATATTTGAAAAACTTCTTGTTCCAGGTGATTTCAAGACTCTCTCCTAAACTGTGGACAGGAAGTTTCATTATGAAAAGGGATCCTTGCGACTCCCAAGCCTTTATTGGAGGTGGGTGGCATGTCCCAGTCAGCGAGGATGGTGATAGCATCGTGGTGTCAGGTGCCTCGTACAGAAGGCCCAGCCACTTGAAAGAGGCTGTATGGGTCCTTCCGCCACACCTGGCTCTAACAATTGCCCCAGTCAACCGGCTGGAGGTCACAGAGCAATACTCTGGCTCTTGGAGCCGCCCAGCCCATAGGGCAGCTTTGAGGGCTTGGGTTCCACTGGTAATTTATCCACAGTGACCCTGAACAGAAGGCCCTGGGGCTGAGCTGAAGGAGGGGATGCAACTGCTCAGGACCACCAGGATGGTGAGGCTCAGCACCGAGGGACACCATCTTGATGGCACACTCGAAGTCTGTGTGTGCGGAAACTCCAGATATTTACAGATATGATCAACAACTACCCAGGGCCACTCAGGGGGAGGCACTGTTTAAGGCCCTGGGGAAATAGTAGTGGAACAAAACAGAATATTTCCAGTTTTTTTTAAAAAAAAACACAGATAAAATTTACAGTGCAAACACTTCACACTAATCCAATCCTAATTCTATACTGATACAGACTGACTTACAGACACAGGGGCACTCAACATATATTTGTCTACATTTGCATCATGAGCTGCCTGGGGCACCTATCTGGTACCTGGATAACCTTTTAACAGTATAAACATTTTTGATAAAAATACAGGAAAAAAGTCTGCATATTTAAATTTTAAGGATTTGGCTGATGAAATTTTTTTTTTTAAAACCTATGTTATAACTTCTTTGACAGACACTGAAAAGAAAATATTTTTCTCTCCTGCTGTTTTAGGATTTTGCTGGGCCACTGCAAATGACTAATGACTGTGCTGCATATTTTATGTAGATTCTGAGGCTGCGGTTCACCTCTAACTTCCTCTGCTTGAAAACTAGATATTATCAGCCCATTCATGTCTCTGACAAGAGGCAGGTGAGCTCTGCTCAGCACATTCACGTCAATAAGGAAGCTGAAACATGAGGTTATCTGTGCACTGAATACTGGAATCAATCTGGTGTGGTGTTAATGAGAAGATGAGGCTTATGACCTTTCATTTTTGACTACACTATTAAACAACTGTATTTAAAAATAATATATCAGGTCACAAATACATAGCAGGTAGGATGACAGAAGGTTCCCCAAACCAGATGGTAAATGAGTAGATCAGGGTGGACCATTTGTTTCCACCAAAAATCTGTAGCTAAGACTTCCTCTTGAAAGGAACCTGACAGTTTCCTGCATTTATGAAGCTCTAAGTTTGGCTGGTGTAAAAACTGCCTGTGTGTGATGGGACTGGGAGACTGGTGTGGTGTAACTCATCTGCAGCCCAAGGCTCCAGTCATCCAGGATAGGAGGAAATGTTTATTTTGTACCAACAGACAACAAGCGATTCCCGAGAATGAATCAGTGAGAAACAACAGCTGTAGCAAAGGGTAGTGACACGAGCCACCTTCCCCAGGGTGGGTGACATTCATTCTGCCTTTCCCGGGACAACCTCTGTTTACGCCTGTTTCTCAGTGCAACTATTAATATGTGGTCATGGCAATCTTAAACCAACCCTGCAATCATTCCAAAAATAACGAGAAGAACAAAGTTCAGAGGAAATCTCATAATTTTGACTAAGCTTTGGGCAAGTAAGAGGTTTGAAAACCTGCTACACATTTTTCAGTTCCATGCTACTCTGTCTCACGATGACTGACAGCATTGTCCATAATCGTACCTGGGGCTGGTAACTGCTGGAAAAGTTTGTAACATGAAAGATAATTTGAATGTGCTGTGGACATCGATCGAGTATTCTACTTGGGATAACTATCTCCACCAACACCTCCACTCGTGAGCATCTTCATCCGCAACTGCAGATCAAAGTCGGAAGTGTCTTCTAAAGCACAGCCTTTCAAAGCAGCTCCATCACAGTGGCCAAATGTGTCTTCTTTATTTCGTATTTTCCACAAAATAAGAAATCATTCAGAGTGCAACCTCCAGAATTAATGATATTTAAAAACTAGAATTAAATTTACTTCCAGCAGAAAACTATGAGTAATTCACCATTACTATTAGATACTATTAGAATATTCTTTTTGTAAAAAAGAACTGACTTTGTTTGCACCACCAAAGTTTTATCATATTATTTTTACTAGTGTCTTGGAATTTGGGCTGTCCAGCCAAAAAAAAAAAAAAAAAAAAAAAAAAAAAAAAGTGCTTGGAGATCCCGAGTTACATTTGCTGTGAGTTTAAAGCATTTCCTTTATCAAGCTAAAATTTCGTTAATACAGTTCAGTCACATACTGTGGTTGATCTTTAGGGAAAATTGCTTTAAAATAAACTGAAAGGTAAGATTGTGCTCCAAAATGTAATAATTGACATTTTCCTCTCTTTCTTTAAGCAAAACCCTGACCTCCTGTGGCTGCTGGAAGGGTCAGGGGTGGATGCGGCAGGAAGCAGAATCCTGGCTGGCTGGCTATTCAGCAGAGAAAGCTCTGGTCATTCTTCCCTACAGCAGCCTTCATCCCCTGGGGTGAGGTTAAAATCGTCAGTGACTATCCACCCACCTCTCATCCAGAATCAGGGTCCCTCCCTCCCTTCCCAGCGCTGCCAGCCCCCAAACCTCAGGAGTACATCCCTTTGCTCCTCCTGCAACTCCTGCAGGTTCCCACCAGCCATAATTTTCTCTTGCATATACTCCCGGCATTTGCTCCTGCCCACACACCCTGTGATATCCTATGGCACAGCCATGGCCAGGTCTGGCTGGCTGGCTCCTGCTCTTCTTTGCAATTCTGTAGCTCACCAGCCCAAGTCCTTGTGCTGGGCTAGGGAAACCCGGAGTCACCACTGGGAGAGAAGACTTTCCCTGGGCACTCTGGCCATGAGACTGGCGGGAGTTTCTTACTCCAAATTTGTCCAGGATCACTGGGGCCGTAACCCAGGCTAGACTTTTACACTCACCCCATTTTCTGCGCTCTCCAACTCCAGCATGGACCTTCACCCATCCCAAATGGCTTTTCCCAGCAAACACCTCACTCTCTGTGCCCAAGCATCTCCCAGCAACCCTCCAGGGAGCTGCTTCATTGCTATTTTTGGTGTCTTCCCAGACTTCCCAGCGCTGGCTACAGAAAAGGAAGAAACAGGTGCAGTTTCTTCCACGAAATTCCAGTTAGTTTTCTAGTTCTAGATCCATGATACTTTTGCCTAGGCGAGGGAGTCTATTTTTCCTGGCAGAACTTTCCATTCTGCATGAGCTGTGACTCTGGCCTTTGGTACTGTGGTGATCAGAGACGAGCACAGGGTCCACGTGCTCGGGGGTGCGGCGTGGCTGGGGTAGCTCAGCCCCAAGGCTGTTTATGCAGCTGGACCAACTCATGTTTTGCTTTTGTTTTACGAGGATAAGTGGAAAATGGAAAGATTTTAACTGATATTAGCAAAAAGAGCATGGCGCTCATAAGCTTACTATGCAAAAGAGGCACAAAAGAGCACAAAAATGGAATTCGCTAGGCATGCCCAAAGCGGCAAATCTACACAGCCTTGGGTGTTCGAGGGATTTAAGCAGATCTGTTCAGTTGTGAAGAAAGAGACTAAGATGATGATCCGGAGACACGGTGCAGAAGAACAGGCGGAGAGGTGGCATAATCAGGAATTTCATGGTATTTTTCAGCTCCTTGGGAAGAGCACCCCCTGGCCACCGCCCTCTTTTGAAGTGGTATGGCAGCACTTCTTACCAATTCAACTTCATAGGTGTTTCCAGAAAAAAAATTATCATGGAAATTACAGGTTGAGTATCCCTAATCCAAAAATCCGAAATGTTCTGAAATCTGAAAATTTTTGAGTGCCGACATGACGCTAAAAGGCAATGCTCAATGGAGCCCTTCGGATTTTGGATTTTGGGTTTAGGGAACTCAACGTGCATGTATGAAAGAAGGGGCCTTCCTGTATTTGACTGCACATCAGGCACTTTACAAAAACCAATCTGCTCATGCCATGCTTGCCTCACCCAGGGAGAAGGGGCTGGGGCAAGAGAGGATTCAGAGCCTTGCTCCCCATCTAGGCAGGTGAAAATATTCACTGACTATTAAAAATTATAATTCGCTTAATCTAACTAAACTGTAAGTTGTGATTCATCGTATTGTGGACACTGCGTTTGTAAATAATTCCAGATAACACTGGAATGCTGTCTGCTTTACTGGACACGGGATAGGCTCTGCAGAGCAGCACTGTGATTTGATACCTGGCTGCTCTGTATTGAATTGGGTCTTCCCGTACACCTGTCATTTTCTTGACTGTGTGGCAAGTGGGAGGATGGGGGCCAGGATCCTAGCATTCTCACTCTGCCCTGACACATGCCTCTGCCTGGCTGCTGTGCCCCCACTGTCCCCTCCAAGTCTCAAACACCCGCCTCTGCCCATCCTTCTCTATCATGGCCAGCTGAGGACCCATCTCTAGCGCTACAAAGACAGACTCACTGCACTCACTTTTTAAATTAAAGTTTCAAACTAAACATCCCTACTGCCAAAGCGGCCATGGAAATTCTCAAATGTTCACCTCTCAATTTGTGTTCTCGTTATGAAATTCGTATTTTAAAATAACTTTATTTAAAACATTTTTAGGCCAGGCGCAGTGGCTCACGTCTATAATGCCAGGAGACTTTGGGAGATGGAGGTGGGGGGAACACAGAAGCTCAGGAGTTCAAGACCAGCCAGGGCACGATGGTGAAACCCCCATTTCTACCAAACATACAAAAAATTAGCTGGGCATGGTGGCGCATGCCTGTGGTCCCAGGTTCTCCGGAGGCTGAGGTGGGAGGATCCCTTGAGCCCAGGAGGCAGAGTCTGCAGTGAGCTGAGATCGTGCCACTGCACTCCAGCCTGGATGACACAGTGAGACCCTGTCTCTAAGACAAAACAAACAAACAAACAAAAAAAACCCCAGAAAACCTGGCACACTTTTAGATGAGTATGTCCTCATTACTAAAAGCTGAAATGGAACAGGTAAAACAGGTAAACCTTCCCATGAGTCCCCTGCCCTCTTCATTCACACGGCCTTCATGCGGACACCTGCATTCAGGTGGGCACACAGGGAGCCTGGCCTAGCCGGCCTAGCCCAACGCTCAGGCTTTGATCCGTACATTGCACGCTGGATCCTCATCACCTGCACACTCTTGCACAAGTTATTCAAATTATTTAGGACTCAGTTTAATCATTTAAAAATGAGGATAATAGTACCACCTCAGAGAACTTCAGCGTAGACTTAACAAATAGTACCTATAAAGCATTTAATCCAGGGCTTAGACACTGGCAAACAGTAACGTTCAACTGCTCATTCTACCACCTGATACCTGGAAAATTCACTCAACAGAGGCTGACTGTGCCCCTACTGATGGAGACACTGTTCTAGGCTTTGAGAATAGAGGCAAACAAGACAGTCCCTCCCTTTAGGAAGCTTAAATTCTGGTCGGGGGGAGATGACAGATCAGAACATTGATCCAGCAGTCCCACTACTGGGTATCTACCCAGAGGAAAATAAGTCATTATACAAAAAGACACTTGCACATGCATGTTTATAGCAGCATAATTTGCAATTGCAAAAATACGGAACCAGCCCAAATGCCCATCAATCAACGAGTGGACGAAGAAAATGTTATATATGTATATATAATTATGGAATACTAGTCAGCCATAAAAAGGAACAAAATAATGGCATTTACAGCAACCTGGGCAGATTTGGAGACCATTATTCTAAGTGAAGTAACTCAGGAATGGAAAACCAAACATGGTATGCTCTGACTCATAAGTGGGAGCTAAGCTATGAGGATGCAAAGGCGTAAGAGTGATACAATGGACTTTGGGACTCAGGTGAAAGGGTGGGCGGTGGCGAGGGATAAAAGACTACACGTTGGGTACAGTGTACACTGCTCGGGTGATGGGTGCACCAAAACCTCAGAAATCAGCGCTAAAGAACTGATCCATGTAACCAAAAACCACTTGTTCCCCAAAAAACTACTGAAATCAAAATAAAAACCAGAAAAAAGGAATCACATTTCAACCAGTTAAGTAAAATATCTATATATAATTTTTAAAAAAGGAAAGGAAGGAGTAGATGACAAAGGCTGTCAGAAGGTGACTGGTGGCACGCAGAAGTAAGGTGGGGAAGAAGGACATGGGCACGTTTAAACTGGGGTCAGAAAGGCCTCACGGTGAAGGTGGTATTTGGTGGACACAAGGGTGGGGAGGGGTTCCCAGGCACAGCAGGTGAAAAGGCACTGGGGTGGCAGGGATATGCCTGGCTGGGCAGAGGGGCGGGACCACACAGTGCTGCCTCCCTGCTGGTTCTTAGAACAATGACGCCTGGCGATTTCAATGGCCAGCTTTCCAAGCTACTACATAGAAAGCAGCACTTGAATGGCTGCCCAGCCTCTCCTTGGAGGGGCCCCCAGTCCCCTACTTCTGGACACAGAGATTGTTTCTAGTTTCTGAACTGAGATTGTTTCTAGTTTCCACACTGAGAGTGTCGAAATTTTATCTATTTATACTTATTTTCTTTTAAATGCTGTTAAGTACATGAAAATATTCTAAGACATGGAAAATTTTAGTGGACATATTACATGTTTAAGTGGAAAAGGCCTGGCCGGGCACAGTGGCTCAAGCCTGGAATCCCCAGCTCTTTGGGAGGCCGAGGCAGGTGGATCACCTGAGGTCAGGAGTATTGCTTGAACCTGGGAGGAAGAGGCTGCAGTGAGCTGAGATCACACCACTGCACCCCAGCGTGGCTGACAGAACAAGACTCTGTCTCAAAAAAAAAAAAAAAAAAAGGAAAAAAAGCCTATTATGATCCAATCCACTTTGGGGGAATAAACACATAACCACACACACACAAACTGGAAGGGTATACACCCCCAAAATTAACAGCTTTGTGTAGGACTGAGTTTTTTAGAAACCAAAGAGCTTATCTGCATTTTAAATGTTTCTACAATGTATTTTTTTTTTTAATTAGGGGAAAAATGCATAATTTGGATCTGTGTCTCCGCCTGGATCTGTGTCTCCACCCAGGTCTCATGTTGAATTGTCATCCCCAATGCTGGCGGTGGGGCTTGGTGGGAGGTGACTGGATCATGGGGGCAGAGCTCCCTCTTGGTGTTGGTCTCATGAGATCTGGTCACTTAAAAGTGTGCGGCAAGTCCCCCCATATCGCCCCCACCACCACCGCCAGCCATGTGAAGTGCCGGCTCCCCCTCTGCCTTCTGCCATGATGGTAAGTTTCCCGAGGCACCCCCCCGGAAGCCAAGCAGACGCCAGCATCACATTTCCTGTACAGCTTGTGGAACAGTGAGACAACAAAACCTCTTTTCTTTATAAATTACCCAGTCTCAGGTGTTTATTTATAGCAGTGTGAGAACGGATTCATACAGGTACCCACTCCCGAATCTAAGAGCTTTGTGTAGGACTGAGTTTTTTAGAAACCAAAAAGCTTAACTGCATTTTAAATGTTTCTAAAATTTAATTTTTTTATTAGGGGAAAATGCAAAGATATTATTGTAAAATTAGCAAAGAGAAATGGTAGTTAACCCATATGTTAGAAGAAAAAGGCAGATTTGTAGAAACAGGCTGAAACATGTGCAACAGATACCAACATCCTGCTGTTCTCCAGCCATGCACTGTGGCCTCCATTTAATGGTGGGACTTTTCTGCTAGCGCACGCGTTAACCATGCTTCTGTAATGAAATAATTTTATTGGGAGGCCAAGGTGGGTGGATCACGAGGTCAGGAGATCGAGACCATCCTGGCTAACACGGTGAACCCCCCCCCAACTCTACTAAAAATACAAAAAATTAGCCGGGCGCGGTGGCGGGCACCTGTAGCCCCAGATACTCAGGAGGCTGAGGCAGGAGAATGGCGGGAACCTGGGAGACGGAGCTTGCATTGAGCCGAGATCGCGCCACTGCACTCCAGCCTGGGCAAAAGAGCGAGACTCCGTCTCAAAAAAACAAAAAAGAATTTTAAAAATGAAAAGCTTCACATAATTTTAGGAAAAGAGAAAAGTTCTTTAAAAGGACAAATAATTTCTTTTTTAAAAAATTAATTGTCAGGAACTTGGATTAGCAAGATTTGATCAATAACCTTTTGGTTTACAACGATACCACCGTCCCCCAGGAGAAGGTCCTATGTAAAAGCCGGGTGCTGGTCCAGGTAATAACCCAAACCTTGACTGCTTCAGAAGGTGGTGTAGGATGATAATTTTTCCAGAATGTGTGGTCAGAATCGATGCCGCAGCCTCACAAATCTCATCTGGGGGCCTGACCCGCCTGTCTTGCTGTCGCTGCCACTGCCTTCTGATTGATGAAGGCCTGACGTGCCCCCAGACTCCAGTTCCCCTCGTACCACCCCCATAAAGGCTCTGGCAAAGAGACACTGACGTGGTGCCTCTGGACACACAGTCAGCCAGATGACTTCAGATGTATCACTTTGGGGAGTGGAGATACTTATTTCAGTTTCTGCATTAATGCAAAGCTTGATATAGAACAAAGGATGGGTCAACAGCTGGTTTGAAGTTGAGTTTCCCAACTTGGAAAGCTTAAAATGTGGAAGTACATAAAGAATTTGTAAGTAGATGGAATTTTCTGATTCTATTTTGCATAGGAAATAATTCTTAAGTCGTATGCTTACCCAGTTATGATTTAAAAATCCAGCAAAGGACTATTTATCTACAAACATTACAAAAATAGAGTACCTAAAAAGATAACTGGTAAGGTTGTTAACTTGATGAATGCTCAGAGAGTAAGCCTCCTACTAGAGCTGAATTCTTGAACTATGACCAGATGGAATGATCATGTGTGAGAATAGTGTGATGTATTTATCGATAATTTGAAGCCCCCCATTCTGTTTTCTCAATGTAATTATAATTGTTTCCTGTAAATAAGTATATAATTTAAGAGGATCTGAAATATACATAGAAATATTTCCCTGCAACTATAGTAAGATTTTAAAAATCCCGCTGCAGAAATAATGTAGCAATTAAAATAGCATTTATAACTAAATATGTTTAAAATGTTTCTTCTCATATAAAAGAGTAAAATTTTAAGTCATTAAAAATAACCATCTGCTTCTGTGTGATATAAAATTTTTAGTATCATTGTATAATTAATATTAATATCACTTTCTGTTAATAACCTTATCTGTCACATAATAAAGCCAAGATGTAACATGATATATTCATTGAAAGAAGTTTAAGAATGCAAAACCAAAGTAACATACAAATCCTAACGGAGAAGCTGGACAGTGGGCTTGCTCAGCCACACCCCACCCTCTGTCACCCATCTCTGGCTGTCTCTCGACCTAGCCATGTTATAACCATCTTGTAACAACTTGTTCATTTTAAACACCACTCTTCTCCAACACTCATTTCTTCCATGCCTTTCTTTCTTCTCGATACCCCCCAAAATTTTAAGTGGCCAGGCATGGTGACTCATGCCTGTAATCCCAGCACTTTGGGAGGCCGAGGCAGGTGGATCACCTTAGGTCAGGAGTTCGGGACCAGCCTGGCCAACATGGCGAAACCCCGTCTCTACTAAAAATACAAAAATTAGCCAGGCATAGTGGCATGCGGCTGTAATCCCAGCTACTAGGGAGGCTGAGGCAGGAGAATTACTTGAACCTCAGAGTGAGCCAAGATCGTGCCACTGCACTCCAGCCTGGGTGACGAGTGAAACTCTGTGTCAAAAAAAAAAAAAAAAAAATTAAGTCCTTTAGGTCTTTGCCTTTTTGCATGTGTTTATAAAATCTACAAAAGGAAGTGAGGGAGGAAATGAAAAAGATTTGACCAATGTTATTCTAACAGTTGACAAAGTCACCAGGGAGGCAGTATGATTGACGGTTCTTAACCTGTTGGGTTCCTAGGTTGTGGAACTGAGCAAACCACAGAAATACAAAGTGAATATTTTCCTGTCCCAAGAGTTGTATAAAGTCATGTGGAAAAAAAGTCCTGTATTGCTTCAAAATGTACATTATAAAATCAGACGTTCTAATGTTGAGAACACAAAACATCACAAAGTTTTATTTCCAGTTGGAGAAGCAGCACATATATTTGACAAATCTTCAAATATATGTGCCTCTTGGGTAGCTGGGACTATAGACGCACACCACTAGGCCCAGCTAATTAAATGAATTTTTTTTTTAGTAGAGATAGGGTCTCTCCATGTTGCCCAGGTTGGTCTCAAATTGACAAATCTTTTTATACTGTACTACCTATTCCTAATTTGAAGCTAGGATAGTCAAGATGCTTTCTATCTTTAAAAAAGTCCCCCTGAAATTGAAAATTTGCAGCTGCAAACATGGGGACTAAAAAATTAATAAAATGCTAAATAATTTTACAAAATTTTAGACTTCTGTATGCTAGGAAATTTTTAAAATGTAATTTTTTTTTTTTTTAGACAGAGTTTCGCTCTTGTTACCCAGGCTGGAGTGCAATGGCATGATCTCGGCTCACTGCAACCTCTGTGGGTTCAAGCGATTCTCCTGCCTCAGCCTCCTGAGTAGCTGGGATTACAGGCATGTTCCACCATGCCTGGCTACTTTTGTATTTTTAGCAGAGACGGGGTATCTCCATGTTGGTCAGGCTGATCTCAAACTCCCAACCTCAGGTGATCCGCCCGTCTCGGCCTCCCAAAGTGCTGGGATTACAGGTGTGAGCCACCACGCCCAGCCTAAAATGTAAGTTAATGACACATTGTTGCCTTGAGGCCCATGAGAAGTGACCTGATTAAAAACTGGGCCAAGCAAATGAGAAAGGAACCAAAGAACGAGATGCAAATTTCAGTGACGGCTCTACCCGTGGCTACTGGACTCCTGGAACCAGGGGAATCGCGGGTTGTCTGCAGTGAGCCCACTCTGCTCTCGATTAACGCAGCCTGGCATGAGCTGTCTACACAGCAGATGATAACCCAGGCTGACTCAAGAGGGATCTTTTCAAATCACATTCCTCTCTTCCCTAGGAAATGATGAGAGCAGTCATGGCTGGGGATATGAGCTTGGGTATCTTGAGTCTAGAGGAATGCTCAGGCCTATTTCAAGAGGAGTGCAGGGAGGATGGGAGAGAGCTGAGTTCTGGGCCACATCCATCAGGGCATTCTGCTGGCTCAGGATCACGGGCAAACCTTTTTAGAATGCTTTTCCTCACTCTTCCATACCGGGCTGGAACGCTCCTTCCTTCCTCTGTGCTTCGCCTTCAGTGTCCGCCCTTCTTACCCCCCCAACAACAAAGCTCCATAGCCGCACACACCCTTCCCTTCGCATGGATCCCACACTCCCTTTAGCCTACTGAGTTCTTGGCAGCATTTGATTGGATTGGATCAACTGATGTGTCCATCTTCTCTGGGGTCACTTCCCAATGTACCCTGGGACACCACTGCATACGATAAAGCGCTAGTTATATATTTGTCAAGTGAATGGAATGAATGATGAACAGATACATTGCTGTGATGGTCTCAGTTGAAAACATGCTTAGGAATTCGCACACTCATGCATGCACGACTTGACTTCAGAATGCGAACGTATGCCTTGCACCTGCTCACCCTCATTTTACTTTTCACCACCTGACAAAGCACATTTCAATTTGTTTCCTTAGTGATTATCCGTCGATTCTTCTTTTGTACCTAGAGAGACCTGGGAACTCCGTTTGGATTCCTGCTCCACTCCCAGGGCCAGGGCAGTGGGTGGCCACAGTAAGTGGTCAATAAATACTTGTGGACTAAATGAAGTTACATAAGAAATTAAATTGTTGTGAAATGTATCTAATCTACATAATCCCTATTAATTTACACCACTGACTTTACTTATGATTCAGGAACAGGCTAAGATGATCCGAGGGAGGAAAACCAGTTTCAACTCTAACTACTTATACTAATTTAAGAACCTGTTGCTGAGACTGCTGCCAGTGTTTTCTGCCATAAACTGTATACACTGTGACCAACATGCTCTGTCTTAAGGGGCACCAGCACTGGTTCTCTGTTAAGAACCAGTTTCTAAAGCAATATGCAAAGCATTAAGATACTTAAAAATTCAGAAGATTATATCATATAAAACTGGCAGAATCCTTGGAGCTCATTTTGCAAATCGAACGAAATACACCAAGCCACCCCACCCCTGCCACCACTTGGACTATTCCTATTTGGGGATGCTATCCAAGTGTGCTCATTCACTAACTCAGCATATTACCGTGCAATGACATTGTGATGATGGGATGGACACAGCTCCAGGTAGTCAAGAAAGTGGAGACAGACAAGACCCTGAAGCCCCTCTCTGTGGTGGAGTTAGAATTACTGCAGAAGACACATAAGCAAACAGGATCATTTCAGATAGTGACAGATGCTAGGAAAACAATTCAAGATGCCAGGGGCAGGATGACCACTTGTGACTGGGTAGGAGTCGAACAAGAATGTGTCCAGAGTAAGTCAGGCCACAATACATGCTGAGAAAAACAAGAAGTCTGGGTAACCGCAAAGAATGGGATGGAGAGTGGCTGTCTGCAGTGATGTACACACGCTGGAGCTGACGTCTGGGCGGAAGCCTGAACTATCTGGTGGATGACTCATCCCAGATCTCAGCAAAGCCGCCGGCTGGAGCCATGGAGAGGCGGTCAAAAAACAGGGGTCAGACCAGCTGGGGCCTTGTCAGCCAGAAATCAAGAATTGGGAATCTATTCCACTGGCAGTGGGAAGCCACTGGAGTGGGTGTGGGGAGTGGCAATCTGGCTCATGTTTTGTTTTTTTAAAAGGTGAATTTGGCTGCAGAGAGAGAGGACTTTTGGGAAGTAAGAATGACAGGCCAGAGATGAGTTAGGACCGACGCAGCAGAAGGACCAGGGGAACACAGAGGAGGTGGAGGTACAGGACAAACCCAGCTGGTATTCTTGGAGGTCAAGTGGAGGGAACCAAGCAAATGAACAGACTGTGAGGTGAGGCCGAGGGAGGGTGTGCAAGTGATGCTTTGG
The DNA here is from genome assembly GCF_000001405.40 of Homo sapiens. NCBI lineage: Eukaryota > Metazoa > Chordata > Mammalia > Primates > Hominidae > Homo > Homo sapiens. The sequence continues at coordinate 235,940,111 of NC_000002.12, read as the reverse complement.
GTGTGTTTTGAACTACTGGGAGGATAGATGGTGAAAAGGTGGGTGAGAAACAGACGCTCTGGATGAAAGCTGGAGTTCTTCAAATATGCTGAGCATGAGCCGCCCAACTCCCCTCCGAGCAGGTAGCTGCTTACCTGCGTTCAATGAGGAGAGAGGAGTCATGGCTGGGGATGTGAATTTGGGTATCTTCTGAGTCTAGAGGAATGGTCAGGCCTATTTCAAGAGGAGTGCAGGGAGGACAGGAGAGAGCTGAGTTCTGGGCCACATCTATCGTCTGAGGTCTGCTGGTAAAGGAGGATGACACAGGGGGCAGCCAGAGAGCAGCAGGAAAAACCTGTGTGTGTCTTCAGAGAAGCCCAGAGGAGAGAGGGTTTCAAGCAAGATGTGGAGTCAGCAGGTCTCCCACTATGAAGATTACCACGGGAACCAAGGGGTGCTCCTGGGACTGAAGTGGATGAGAGCAGTGTTGGAGGGTGCTGGGCTGATGACACATGGGAGAGGGTTGAAGAGAATGTGGGTGGTAGCTGAGGACAGACGAGTGTCCTGGAACGTGTGGTGAGAAGGAGAATAGAAGGAGAGGTGGAAACTGCAGAGGGCCATGGTGTTGGGCTGAGCGATGGCCGAGCAGGTATGTAAGCTGAAGGGAGTGATCCAATACCTGGGAGAAACCGCTGGGACAGGAGAGAGGGTGTCCGCGGAAGCAGAGTCCCTTGGAAGATGAGAGGTGATGAGTTCAGAGGTGGAAGGGATGCCCTACCCCATGTCCAAGCAGGAACAGATCATACATGGAAGCTCCAGAGGCTGGAGAGGCATGGGTTTTGGCATGGGAGAGAAGTGGGGACGTTCCCCAGTTTCATCGGGAAAGGATGCAGAGGGCCTTCAGGCAAGGGAGAGGAAGGCAGAGATGCCAGAGGAGAAGGCTGGAAACAGTCGCTGGGACCTGTCTCACTGCATCATACTACTTGGTGTCAAAGTTGTCTTTCCTGCAAATCCTACCCATTGCTCCCAGTTCAATTCTCTGGGTTTATACAGAATCAGGATCAGATTTTGTCCTATAACCACCATTCACACACATCATTCAGGTCCCTCTGAAAGAGCTTCTCAACCCTGGCTGCGCATCTGAAACCCCTGGGGGACATTCCACTGCTTGGGTTCCATCCCAGGCCAAATGGACTAGATCTCTAGCGGCTGGCCCCAGGAACAAGTATTTTTAAAAATCGCCCCCAAGAATATAATGGGCAGCCATTGGACGACGCCTTCCTGAGAGGGTCCTCCGGCCCTCCCAGGTTTTCAGCCACGCTAGGTGTTGTGGGTTTCAGGCCCCTCTCCCCATCTCGGCCCTCCGCTTCATGTGCTTCCCAGTGTGCCGATGTCTTTCTCAAAATGTGGCCCCCGAAAGGATCCTCGGAGCCCAGTGAGACATTCAGAACCTCTCTCGTCCTCTTAGTGCAGAATGTAAGTCTTGACAGCGTTTCTGCAGACAAACCACACCCAAGCCTTCCCCACCAGGTCCGGTACTCCTGTTCCATTATCTGTACTGTTGGTTTGTTGAGCCTGAATTCAAGATTTTATCTCTGTTTCAATTTGTTAGTTTCAACCCATTTTGTAGTCTCTAAATCTGGAGATTTCAATGTAGATTATGTCTCAGCTTGTGGCATCCACACATCTGATGGCCTCACCCTCCCTGTCTTCATACGCGCAGCAGGGGGACACGCTGCGCACCCAGCGTTCTTGGAGGCGGTCGGGTGGGCAGGAGAACAGCTTAGTGACAATTATGACACAGGCTGTTTGAATCTAGCCTTGACCACCGACCTGCTGCTGCGATAGGCCCAACTGCCTTCTGCCCCTGCTTCCTCATCTGAAGCGGGTAAGGCTCTGGCACTCATCTCCTCATCTGAAGCAGGGAAGGCTCTGGCACTCATCTCCTGGGGGCCTGTGCCTGGCAAGCAGTGAGTTCCATGAATGTTACATCACATCTACGCTGGTGGCAGCAGGACTGCCGCTGAACCGGCCGTGCCGCCAGGCGGATGCTCTGAGAAGCTGTGTGGAAAGCACCCTGAGGATCAGGCACTGCTCTGGGTTGGCTGCAGTGACCCTCTTGCAAACCAGAAACCGGCTTTCCTTTCTTTGGGAAGGATTCTTACTGAATTACTGTGCAACGCAGCAACCGCAGCTGGAAGGGGCCAAGGAAGCGAAACTTTCATTGTCCAGATCGGGGCTTCCTGACCGTGGCACCGCTGGTGTTTTGGGCTGAATAACTCTTGGCTGTGGGGGGCTGGTCTCTGCCCCGTGGCACACTCAGCAGCACCCTGGTGGCTTCTACCCACTAGCTTCCAGTAGCATCACCCTCCCCTATGTGACAACCAAAAATGCCTCCGGACATCACGAACTGTCCCAAGGAGACAAAATCACCCCTGGCTGCGAGCCCCTGGAATAGGTGAAGACACGCCGAGGGCCAGAGGGCCAAGAGGTCTGGTCCGGGCACTACAGCAACTAGCAACAATATCCTTCTCTACTCCCTGTTTACAAGCATTTCTAGATTTTTTTTGCCTTGCAACAACATGAAGATTTCTGGTCTTCGGGAATGAAATGTGCTGCCCCTGTTCGGTTTTGATCATGGGGCAGCATTTCACTGTCCTCTGTTTCCCCTGGTCAGCAGCTACTGCTGAAAATAGCTGATAGGAAGGAACTAAGGAGACAAAGTACAAAGTTACAACATTCTGATTGGGAGGAAAAAAAATCCACCTTTCACCCCCTGTGTCCAGTTACCCCAGGACGCTTCTGCCTGCTCCTCGGCCACATGCAGAGACAGGAAAGCAGGCTCCGAGCACAGAAGGGAGCGGGGTCAGCCTTTTAATTAGGCCGGCCAGCCTGGCGAGCCGAGCAGCCCTCCCGGCGGTGAGGCAGGGAGTGCCCAGCTTTGAGAGATGAGAGCCCAGGGGCCTTTAACACTGAGCTAAGCTGAAGGTTGATGACAACCCCCAGGGAACGCTTTTGAATGCCAGCCAAGATTTGGGAAGAATTGATAAAGGAAACTTCAGCATCAGTGAGAGAAGACAAAATGTCTATCCATCTTAGAACATATTTCCTTGAAAAGCAAGCGCTATCAAAAGACAAACAATTTTTATGATACAATGTTTTAGTACTAAGCATGCGTTTCTCCTTAAAAAAAAAAAAGCAGAGGGGAATGATTACAAGCTTTGAAATCAGAAAGATCTGGGTTTGAATTTTGGCTAATAATGATAAGTATGGTCTTGGTTTCTCAGCCTTTTGGAAGCTCAGTTATCAGAGATGATGATCCCCAGGGAAACGAGTGTTAGGCATGAAGGTCACAACAGCGGAGGCTGTCAACACATGTATTTCCTCCCCACCACGCTTCACTGATACCCTCCCATCAAAGAAGCTTCCAGGTCAGAGACCGGCAGTATCACATTACCGCCGCCTGCTGGTCATACACTAAAATTGTCAGTATAATATCCAAGAAGAGAAAAAAAATGCTCCAACTATAATGATTAAAATTGATGAATGGTGTGGACATGCTTGCTGGAAAGTGTGGTTCAAATGCATTGGCTCCGAAAGTAAGTGTGGGACAGACAGCTTCCGAAGCTGAAACTCATGTTTCGAACCCCCATCATCAAAATCGACGTGCAAAACATTTTTATAATGAGAAAAGACATTTAAAAGCTGGCAAAAACTCAAATGCTTTCCATTGAGGATCGGCTGCTTTATAACCACAGAGTCTACTGGAAAGATATAATGATTACGTGGCCAGAAGGAAACAGGGACCAGAGCATACACCCGTACACACACACATGTGATACACTCCTTCCATGTGGAAGATGGACATGGTGTTTGTGCTCGATGGTGACGAGGCTGCGTGGTGGCCTGGGGGAGGCCGAGGGAAGTGAGGCTCAAGAGCCACATGGAAGAGTCACGTGAAGAAATGCAGTATTAACAGTGATGGCCAGTCAGCGTGGCAGAAGATAAACTGTTGGACTGAAGCAATCGGGGATGGGGTGGAGCTATCAGAAGAACCTGACAGTCCAGGGCTGGGGGAGCGAGGCTGCCATGGCAACAGCATTAGCTGAGACCACCCGACGAGGCTGGCCCAGGCAGGAGCCAGCGGGGAGGGCCGGGCCAGGCTCACCCAGGTACTCAGGAGGCAGGCAGGCAGGTGAGCACTCTGGCCCTGAGGACAGGTGTGACGCATCTCAACGTGCATCTTGTCTTGAAGTAAGACAGGACGGCCAAGTATGCCACATACGACCCCCCAGGGCCCCTGCTACCCACAGTGATGCTGACTCGTGGCTAACGCTTCTAGAGGAAATTACCTATGGAGGAAATGATTAATCAAAAAAAATTACAGGCTTCCAATAAGATTCAAGAGAACCCTCAGCCAATAGTTGTTGCAGAGATAATTGTTCTGAATCTATCAATAAAGCAAAGCTGCCTCTTCATTGACTGCAAACACCAATTTCTTTCACCCAGGATTATAAGTTGGTGGTCACGGGCTCACTACTGCCATTACAGTGATAAACAGTTTAAACCACAACAGGATCTGACATGTAGATCAATTCTGGGTCCATAAAGAATCTACACAAGAGGTTGCAGGACAGGAATTTACAGCCACCAGTTTTTATTCTCTCTTGCTGCAAAAATTACTTCTGTCAAACACTTAGAAGAGTGGGAAAAAATGTAAAAAAATTAATTTTTCATGTACTCCTGGAACGGCCTTTTTCAATGCAGAGGCTCAAGATGAATATGTTTCTGCATTTAAAAAATTACGCTCAGCAGCATGTGGTACTCAGCAGAGGAGGGATCCAATCCTCCGTGCGGCTTGCAAGCCGGCAGACGGCAATTTGAAACCCTCAACCGAGCTGTCTGCATTTTCTCTAAGGGCAGATGCAGGTCTCATGTTAGCAACGCCAAATTATATTAGACATTTAATTTTAAACCTCAGGTACTTAAATGTGAAACCTTACAACAGTAATAGTCATAAAGCAGTGGGCATTCCATTTCACGAAATGGATTCTTTTCTTCTTCCCTTAATTTAAGCAGCACCTCCTGTTTTGTAGGTTGCCCCTACAAAGGAATCTATCTAATTAGGAGTTTCTCACAGCTGCTTTAAAGGAAGAAACCCCGGGGGGACCGGTGTGTCTAGAGAGGAGACTTTGAAAAGTTCTCCAGAGCCAAAGTCTTAATTTAGGGTGGACGGGGGGCGGAGAAACAGTGAATCCCAATGTTGCCGTGATTATTATGTTTTAGAGTAAGAGTGCACAACAATGGGAAGGCACACTTGCCAACACGGGCGTCTGTATTCCAAAGCTGCTTAGGCTCTCCCCATTCATTCCTGCTGCCAGCACAGAGTAAGCGACTCTGAAATCCAAACCAAAGACTAGGGATGGGGGCAGATACATTCGAAAAGGAAGTGGGGGCAGGGGGGACTTATATCACCGGCAACTTAAGAAGAAAGAGCATGACAGAAAGCTCTTAATCATGTTTGTTTCTTCTGTGATTATTTTCTAAGCCCTGCAGGGAATGTTTATGCCAAGGCTGAGTCTTGAAATCCATTCATAAACACGTTTTCTGGAAGTTGTCCATCAGATCCTGTGCCCTGGTGTTCACTAAACATTGCTGGGGTCTGGCCACTTGACGAAGCAGCACACTAAAGGGGGGAATGACGCGAACCAGAGGGACGCCGGGATGGTACCCTCGGCGCAGACAGACAAGGATGCGTCCAGCAGGCCTGGGTGGAGCCTGAATTCTGCATCACCAGCCAAATCCCCGGAGCTGTCAAATGCCACTTGGTCCGTGGACCAGGCTTTGGGAAGTGAGGACTTACAGCAGTGGTTCCCAAGCTTCAGCATGCCATGTGATCCCAGAGGGCTTGCTATACACAGGTTGCCTGGTCCCATCCCCTGAGGACTGGATTCAGTGGGACTGAGACAGGGCCTGAGATCAACATTTCTAAGCAGTTCCCAGGGGCTGCTGCTGCTGCTGCTCCTGGAGGCACACCTTGACATGCAGTGATGGAGAGCTGAATCGGGCCACCTGAGTTTGAATCCTGGCCCCTCACAGGATGTGACTTTGAGCAAGTGACATTTAATCCTTCTGTACCAAAGGCAGCCCCTGTAGAAGGCAGGTAACAACAGGATCTACTCTGTGAGGATCAAATGAGATTATCTACATAAAGCCCTCAATAAACTGTAGCTCTTATTATTACGATTATTGTCTCCCTTTTCAAAATATTTCCGGTATGACATACTATTAATCCTTAGAAAGGCCGGGCGCGGTGGCTCATGCCTGTAATCCCAGCACTTTGGGAGGCCAAGGCGGGCAGATCATGAGGTCAAGAGATTGAGACCATCCCGGCCAACATGGTGAAACCCCGTCTCTACTAAAAATACAAAAATTAGCCGGGCACGGTGGCGCGTGCCTGCAGTCCCAGCTACTCGGGAGCCTGAGGCAGGAGAACTGCTTGAGTCCGGGAGGCGGAGGTTGCAGTGAGCCGGGGTCGCGCCACTGCACTCCAGCCTGCCAATAGAGCAAGACTCCATCTCAAAAAAAAAAAAAAATCCTTAGAAAATACAGGAATCAACCAAGACCCCCATAAAGCTGTAGGAATCAGACTTCTGTGCACCATTCTGCTGTCTTTCTGGATCTTTGCTCTGTAAAATGTCAGCTCCCAAGTCTGAAAATCAGATGCTAATTTGGCAGTGCTGGGCTCTCAACACTCATCTCTTCTGGTCTCTCCTCATTTTTCTGCACCCCAACTATCACCTTTCACTTCACTGCGGCTCGTGGCTATTCCATCTTCCCTTTTCCTCCTCTCTGGGTCTTTGTCCGAAGTGCCCCAATGCTTATAATAACTTCCTCCTGCTGTTTTGCACAAAAAAATCCATCTGGTTCTTTAAGCATTTCTCAAGTTTGATTTTCTTTGGGAAGCTTTCCTTGATCAACTCTATCAATCCTTAAACGACCTGCACAATTTCAGCCCTGGGCTCTCCCTACAGCTCTCCTTCCATGTCCCTCAGCAGGCTGACACCTGGGGCATCCGCTTGCTTGTTTCTTATCTTCTATGTTCAGGGTTCAAGATTTACGAGGTCAGGGAGCATACTGGTCTTTAATGGACACCCACGTGTGTTAATATTATAGAAATTGCTTTGTGAATAAAAAACTGGCATTCAAACGTAGGCGACTTTAGTCTCACATGGGTACTGTACAAATGCATGCGTGCAGACAATGCAGCCCACTTCCATGGAAAGAGACTTCCAACCAAACGGAGGCTCTGGAAAGCAGTGTCTCACGATGTGGCGGTGTGGAAACGCCCACTGCACATACGTACAGCTCAACAGAAAGAGCTATTCAGTAGAGGGAAAGTTACCTAGTGAGTTTTTATCAAACAGGTAAGTGTGCAAAAGGAAAATCTGTATAGGATGAATTTTAGATGAATACTTAAACACCTGTATTATTGGCACCTAGACTACTCTCACTCAGCAGAGGCTGCTTGGTAAGGCAAGGCCTTGTCCGTGTCACCTGTGCACCTGGCTCCAGAAGGCCCAGCGTGCATCTCCCCACGCCCTCAAACGTGGCCCTATGCAAGAACACCTTCACGAGATGGCGGCCACAGAATGAAACCTTATCAAATAGTAATACTAATTGATAATACATATTTTAAAGTATTTGATAATGAAACGAGTATGTGAACTCTCTGCTCCTCCTAAAGGAACCATGATTAACAGTGGTTCTTCAGTCACGAAGAGCCTACTGTCCTGTGTTGTGGCACATGCCTAACTTCTACGTAAGGGAGGGGAGAACGTGTCCATTGAACAGATAAGAAAACGGAGGCTCATGGAGGTACGGAGGCTCATCCTAGGCTGCCTGGCTGGCAGGTGGCGGGGCTTCAGCTGCAGCACACACAGGGCTGATGAAAGGCTGACTACCAGGCCCGCTGGGGCATGCAGTGGTTACAAAGAGAGTAAACTGTAGACGGTTAATTTATCATAACTTCAAACCTCCTTGTTTGGGGTTTTCAGGGTTATCATCGTGATTCCAGATGAGGCAGAGAGCCTTAGAGAGCCCTTGAAGAAGCTGCAGGCAGATCTTTGCTATCTAACAAAGCACCTTCTTTTGAGGGAAGGAGCAAGCCCTGGCGCTGGGATGGGAATGGGCCAGCCGGGGCAGCCGCGTGACGCTGTGTGTGTCTGCTCCAAGTCACAAGGCTCTTCCAGACCCGCACCGCTATGGTGTGGAGCTACCTCGCTGACTCCGCGTCTCCCGGCTTGGTTTGGAGATGTCTTCCTTTAAGGCTTCTGCTTGGTGGCGTCTGCGGAGCCACTAGAAATAAGGATGATGTTTACCCAAAGCAAACGTCCTGCTGCAGCAGCTGGTGGGTCTACAGGGAAGACCTGATGCTGAATCTTTTAATTAGAACAAATTATGCTAAGATTACTCTAAAACCCCGTCTGATAGATTACATACAACAGTGGGAATTCCTTTAAATACCGGTGAACAGGCCAGAGACAAAACGCCACAGGCAAACCCTGCTGCAGCCACCAGGGTGCCCTCGGTGCTGCGTCATTCACGCTCCACACAGACGGCGAGATCGTTTCCAACGTGCATGCTTATTCCCCAAAAAGCTGGATACACTTGTCAAAATAATAATAATAATAATAATGCCAAAGGAATTTGAAAACTGAAGGATTACAAAGGGGACTCCAGAATTTAGAGGGTACACCAGGAATTCTGGAAAACAGACAAGGAGACTGAATTCACCCTAATGATATAAAATGTGCACTAGTGGTGGAAGAGTGTGGGCCACGCCACGTAGGGCAGTGTGATTGGGGAGATAAAATCAGATCTTATTTCTCAGCGCTGCCACTTCTGTCACGTGACCCTGGGTAAGCCAGTTGCCCTGTCTGCCGCCTCAGTTTCCAAACTGACCAAATGGGATGACTACCTCCTCCCTGTGCCAAAGAGGAACAGATGAGATGACAGGGGCAAGACAGCCTAGCAAGGACAAAACGTTCCACAGATGAAAGGCAAGATGTGAGTCTCTGATGCAGCCGCCCCACAGGGTGCTGCGCTCCCAGAGGAGCATGAGAGCTTAGGGCGTCCTGTCCAGCCCCTGGCTTACAACGAAGGACCTTGAGGTGGCTGCGGGTCCGTGGGGCTGAGCCCCCTCTTACCACTGCTGATGGCCGAGTTTGCAATGACCGTAGCCTCACTCCACTGGTCGGCACTGGAGACTGAGTAGGAGCGCTGGTGCATGCCGTCGGGTCGGCTGTTGAAGGAGACCAGGCTGATGCCGCTTGCCATCTGAGACCCAGATGCACTAGTGACATTCCCTAGGAATAAACAAGTCAGGTGAACACCACCGCGGACTGCAGACCACAGAAACCAGCGCGAGTTAGTCTATGGGACCCACACGCTGGCACATAGTGCACCTTACCACCGAGAGCAGCCCCTGTCCTGCCTGCATGGCAAACGGAAGCGCCAGACAGAAACTATTCGGGAGGAATAAAAGGGGGACGCCAATCTTGATGGTGCCTGACAAAGCAATGTGAAGGGACCCGATGCCACAGATGGCTCGCACCGAACAACCCTATACAAAGACGCAACCCAACCGCAACCGCAACATCGAGTGGAAGTGAAGACAAAAGACCCAGCGAGTCTTAGCAGAGACACCGCGATCCGGCAGGCCGGCAAGATGGGGGCTCCAGGAGCCCGGCCATGTCACCCTACCAATGGAACAGAAAATGATCACCCATTGAGAGTCAACTGTCTGGTGCCAGAGGATTATTTTCATGGGGAAGCCATACTTTATGATCAACACAAATCAAAGTCCCTAGACACGACACGGAGGAAATGCAGGCTCTTCAACCAGATAAGTTTACTCTTAACCTTGAAAAGACTAAGCAGAGGAAAAACAACCTGCGTGACTTCATAGAGCACAGGGGCTGTGATGAAAAATGATTCCATTGTATACTTAATGATTTGAATCAGTTGCTCAACATCAAAATGAATTATTATCTGGTCATACCAATTTTAGACTCAAAAACATAATTAAGTGCCTTTCTCTAAAGCTCAGCCAATCATACCCTGCTGCCAGCGAATTAGTCTGTTAGGTCTATTTGCAGATCTTCGGAGGTACTGGGGCTTTTTTAAAAAAAATTTTCTTCCAATTGTTTTAGTTCAGAACCAGCTAAGTTCTAAGCTGTCTCAACATAAGTTTTTCACAGTGCAGGATTTTATAATAAATACGCAGCCCATATTAGCAGTTCTTAAATCTGGCCAATTACCAGAATTTCCTGTGGAGCTTTTTAGAACTAGTGGCTTCAAAAAATACAGATTTTGATTCAGAAGCTCTGGGAATGGGGCTTGGGAAAAGATGCATTTTCAAAAGCACTCCGGTGATATGGATGAGAAGCCAGAGGCAGGAACCAGGTCTCCCCTCAAACAAGCGGCCTCACTGCGATCCCGTGCAGCACTGGGAAGCCACGGAACCACGAGCTGAAGCGTAGTGTACGAGCCCTACACCCAATCAGCGATTAACAAACGACGAGGCGTTTGGCTTTGAAGAATAGAGTTCTGCCTTAAAAAAAAAGAAAAGATACCTATTTTATGCTGTTGTCTGAACTGAGTACATTCTGAACGTCATAAGGGAAATTATTCATAGGCAGGTCTGCTTGATTCCAGAAAAAAGCCCACAGTGATGCCCCAGGGAAGGAAGGATCGGAAAGCCACAGAGGTTGTGGTCTTCGGACCTACAGAAGCAGCATCGCCAAGAGGCATTCGAGAAATGCAGAATCCCAGGCCCCACCTGCCACCTGCCTCTTAGTAAGATCCCAGGCAATCTGTGTGCACATTAATTAAAAAAACCACTCCAGCCAGAAAGTCACCACCATAAAACAAAAAATCACAATCAAAACTCCACCACGGCAGACCACTGGCATCCAAGGGGCTCAGGTGGGAGGAGCGAGGGCAGTGGCTCGGAAGCCTCGGGTCTGGGCTCCCCTGCTTACATGTAGGGTCTTGAGGCCGTTTCTCATGCCCCCAAGCCCTGATGTTCTGAGAGCTCCATCTCAGGGCATGGGCGTGCCCTAACGCCCTAGAAACACACAGCGTCATTTGGAGCCCACATCTTGAATGACAGTGCCATGTGGTGCTCCCATGCTTGCTCTTGCACCAGGCCTCACAGCAGCCGGGGGAGGTGGGCCAGGCATGTGGCATCTTAAGAGACGTGGAGGAGCAGCCCAGAGCTGGCGACATGGCACTAAGGGGAGCACTCATGCTCCTCCCTGTATTTTCCACGTGCCACCATCGAAGCCACCCTGTGGCTGTCCTCTGGGTATTGTGTGCCTTAGCCAGATCCCTATTACAATAGGGCATTCAGACCCCACAGAAGGCAGCATCCCTGAGGAGCAGAGGAGATACTCCCATCTCGGGACCCCCTCCTGGAGCCCGTGCCCACCATGTTCCTGCTACATCCCTTCACATCCCTTCTCCGCCCTGCTCTCCTCCTGGGAAGGCACCCATATGGGCTGCACCTGTTGGCTCCAGCACCTTCTAGCTTCTCACTGGGCTCAACCAATGGTGAGCATGGCAGGAATCTAAAGGAGAGAGGAGGGTGAGGGTGGGTGCTGACTCCAGGGCTCGTTCCCCGAGCAGTTGTCTTGCTGGGTGACCCCCTCTCTCCTTGGCCCTTGGGGCCCATGGGTTGTCCTGGTGCATTTCTGCCAGCCCTGGTGCCTGCACTGTCCTGTGTGCTTCTCTTCCCCTTCTCTCTCTCAATCCCACACATCCACCCATCGAAGGTGCGTTTGGGGAGGAGGCGCCTCCCAAGAGTGGCTGCCGGGGCTTCCCTGGCCTGGTTCCGCTTTCATCACGTGAATTCTGAGCAGACAAAAGGCTTCCAGACACTGCTGACACTGTTATGGTGGGCGAAAGGACTCCGCAAAGGTGGAAAAGGACAATGACAAGATGCCTGCAAGCAGCTGGGGGTGCGATTGGGGGGGCACCTCCCTTGCTGGGACCCTGACTGCTGTGCCAGGCACTTCTGGGCCTGCTCTACCTGCAGGGACACCTGCTGTGTAGGTAAGATGATAAGGAGGTAATTCCTTCCACACTGCAATGCCCAATCAGACCCCTGTCAAGTCATTATTAAGCATGCCATCTGTCCACAGACCTCATTTTATACCAGCTTTAGGCACACAAGGTCCAAATACCTGAAAAACAAAAAGGAATTTCACTGTGTCTGTCTGTCCCTCCATCTTTGGGACAACGATGACAACATGGCACTCAATAGAGCACCGCTTCTCTTGCTCCTTCTCCCTGGAGAGTGGTTCTCCGATGACAACCAGGCCTAGAAACCTTCCAGAACAATTTCCTTTAAAAGGCAGAGGACAGTATTTCAGTGCATCCATCACTGACTACTTGCAATAAAGCTCCAGAAGTAAGTATCAACACACAGTAAGGAGAGCCAAGTCAATCTCAACCCCAGACAAGGGACCACGAAATGTTCCAATGGAGGTTGCTGATCAAGAACTCATCTTAGGTTTATGAGTTCTTCATCTCATGGCCAAACATCACACTGCCAAAAAGGAAGGGAGAGATTCCTTCAAGCCTACACACTAGGAAACAACAGGACTCTGCTGTGAATGCTGCTGTGAATGTACTGGTTTTCAAACTTCTGTCTGTCCATCAAAATACAAGGACAAGTCCAATCCACTGAGATGCTGGTGCAGCAGCTCTGAGGGTGTGGCTCAGAGCCCACCTTCTGCCTCCTGAGAGAGTCCCCAAGGAACCAACCTGGAACCTCTGGGGTGACGAACCTCCTGGCAAGACCACATGCTCCTGGTGTCCAGATGGAAGACACCAGACCAGCTATCCACAATCCTTCTGACGGCAGACTCTTAGAGCCCTATAGCTCGTGAAGGCCCCCCAGCCCCAGCCACACCCACTTCCCACTGCGGGACTACACTGAAACAGCATGACTGAATTTGGGCCACATCAAGGTGTATACATGGACAAACCGTGATAAAGGTGAAACTTTCAATCAGATCCACAGACTATCGCCTGACGTCCAGGCTGAGCTCATAGAGACATTTTTACTTAGTTGATCATTTTTTTCAAAGTAGAATTAAATTGGGAGATTTCATTTAAAAATTGGTGGTTTCTGGCATCACTTAGAAAATGAAAGCATCTGGGAGCTGTGGGCCTGTGTTTATGAACAAAGAGCTGACAGCCTCTCTCTCTGGATCTGTCTGAAGGATCTGAGTGGGTTCCGGGGTTGCCCAGGCTCACACCTGCCTCCCCACACCCCACTGCACTCAACCCACCTCACTCTTGACCTCTGGTCAGGACCTTCCAAAAATATGCGGAGGAGGAGGCTCATTCCATAAGCAAAACATTTCCGATTTTCTCTTAAGGGAGTAAATCTCTGTTTCAAAATATACCCATTCACTATATTTGAGATCACTTAAATTTTCTTTCAGAAAAACCAACAAAAGAAAACAAAAGTATTTTGTGTGATAATGCAGAAACATATTTGACTAAAAAAAATTACACAGGGTCAGAAATATTGTTTCTGGGATCCAAACACAGTACCTGCCTTTCAACGTAAATGCATGAAGACATCTGCTTAAACTCTGAGGCAAACCAGTGGTCCACGACCTGAGCCACGACACTGTGGAAGCTGCCATGCTGGGTTAACACGCCCATGGAGCATCTCGTGCCATGTGTCAGCAGTCCCAGGCCAGTGGCCACAGTTTTGAGGCATTTCCACTTACTTTCAGTAAATCCACCCGTCAAAGAAACGAACCACCCCCAAATGTGGAGTGAATCTTTTTAATAATCATGCACATTCCATATCCAATTATAGTGTCATACTTTCTCATGCATTTTTTGATACAGATATGCATACAGAGTCTAATATGTAATCTCATTTCTGTTCTTGAATGAATGTCATTAACTAATTGACCTACTAATGCTGTCCTGGCATCCAGTTTTGTTATGTAAGCATCAAGCAATACCTGCCCTATGTGTTACCACACAGGAGTTTTGAACACTTTTGGAAATATCTTTAAGCATAAAAAAAGCCTCTGTTTAAAATCACTGTATTCTCACTCAAAGTACTCGAGGGCAACTGTTTTCACTCACTGGAATTCATTTCACGTTAATGAGTTATTAATTAAGGCTGAAGGTCTGAAGTTCTCATTTGTGAAACAAGCTGGATAACTTTTTTGATTGCTTGAGGGGTAAGGATCCTGACATCAAGACAAGCTAGGATACAAGTGCACCAAACACTGTTCTAAACACAGTCCAGGTCAGCTCGAAGCAGTCCTGCCGAGGTGGAGGCCTCATACCCAGCAACCAGGCTGAAGGGCAGGGGACCTAAACCCACGTGGCCGCCGACAGTCAACAAAGACACCAAGCTCTGCTGCTACTGTGTTGATTAGTTAAATCACATTTTCACACCTAGACCTGATAGCTAAGACGGTGAGTTTAAGGAAACGCCCAAGTGCTTGCTACCCAGGCATTAAAGTTGCCAGTTCAGGAAGGCTAATAGAAATAGAGCTACATTCAGAAATGCCATGAGGATTGCAAGGTGCGTGGGGTCTGCAGGAAGCCACGCCCCAACCCTCAGCCCCAGTAATGCCCAGGAAAGAGAGCCTCTGGATTGTCTCCATCAGGGACCACCTCAACACACAGCCGTTTTGCTACAGAATTTCATTCCCGTGTCTAAGGAGTAAGATATGAAGCTGGGGTCGTTTAGATGTGGGAAAACTCTGCGCACCATCGTTGGAAATGTTCTTTGCAGGCATGTCTGTATTTCCCTAGAAGGAGGAGATTGTAAAAGCCAGATTAGAATGCCCTCCTTCCTGGAGTAGACGAGGTGAGTCTAACAAGTGGTCCTAATTCACCAACCTCAAGTCACGCGCAAATACAAGGGTCTTAAAGGAAGCTTCTACCCCGGAAGCCGAGGGTACACTTATACTCGGGGATAAGTACAAGGATGTGGCCTACTTTGGGGGGTGAGTACTCTCCATTCTTCCCTTCCCTTCCATCCTTCCCTGACTTCCACTCTCCCTGCTGCTACCAGCACATCCCACCCCACTGTTGCTGGCAGCCAGCTCTCCACGGGCCTCAGTTTCTTCTTCCTCTGGGTGTGGACACGGGCAGGTGCTCTCTGCTCTGTGTTATTTTGCAGGGGATGTGGACAGAGTAAACAGACTGGTACAACAGGGGTAATGTCTACTTTAAGAGGGAGCACATCTGTTTGCTGTCTGGGACAGTAAATGTCGCTCTCCACAGCAAACTTTGGACAGGCTTGCTTACGTGCTCTTATTAAACACATGGGGTTTCCTAAGCTTGGGGTTCCTCTTACAACATGAGTTACTGTGTGTGCTGGTGTCACCCTGTGGGAACTGAGGCTTGGGAAGCCAGTGCATGACAATGCTGATACTCTCACTATTGCTATTGCTGCAAGAGACTGTCATTCATTTTGATCCAGGAGTCTCATCACCCAGGAACCTAGGGCAGGCTAACCTGCTAACTCGCGAGTAGGGGAAGATGGGACCCGGTATGCAGAAGCTGCCGCCTATTCTAACATTGACCTTCTAGCGGGCCGAGCAGCCGCATGGAACTGAGCCCCTACTGCATTGGGCACAATGAAGGAAGGAGTCCCTGTCTTAGGGAACCTACAATCTAGTCTAGTAGAAGGTATACAGCAGATCCACATGTGGCCCAAACGCAAGGCAGAGTAACACAAGAGCAGCCAGAAAGTATGAGGGTCAGGGAGCCCACCGCTGCTGGAAGGTACAGGAGAGGCTCCAGGGGACACTGCAGCTTTTAGACTTTGGAATTAGGCCCATCTAGATAAAGAATAGATGGAAAGGGGAGATACTGCCTTAAGTCTACCTAAGATACTACCTTAAGATACTACCTTAGACTTAAGGTAGTATCTTGCAAGGGATGTTGACAGAATGAACAGACTGGTGAGACAGGGGTAGTGTCTACTCCCAGCGAGGGGGGCACATCTGTTTGCTGTCTGGGACAGTAAATGTCACTCTCCACGGCAAACTTTGGACAGGCTTGCTTACGTGCTCTTATTAAACACGGGGGTTTCCTAAGCTCGGGGCTGTCCCAGGACAACCTACACCACTCTTCTAATTGACTTACTGGATGCAAAGCTTTCATAAAACATTTCAAGTCCACTTCTTTTTTTTTCCTCCTTTAAGATTTCTCTTCTCCTTTCACATCTTTCAGATTTAAATCATACAGATGCACATAAACATGGCCACCAAAAAGTAGGTGCTAGAATGTTCAGAGCAGCACTGCTCATAACAGCCCCACGCTGGGAATGACGGCACTGTCCATCACTGTAGGTACATCACGGCACAACGGAACATTACCCAATGACAACAAGGAACTACTGACACGGGCCACAACTGCGGTGACATCACACACAGAACACAGAGCCGGAGACAAGCACGAGAGTGCCAACTGTTAGGATCCCGTCCAAGGACAGGCGAAACCCATCTACGGAGTGAGAAATCAGATGGTGGTCACCCTTGTGAGTGGGGTGGGGTGGGGTGGGGGTGCACGGGACAGGAAGGGGTCCATGAGGGCTGGCTACCTGCTGCTTCTGGATGTGAGTGGCGGCCCCTGTAAACGTGGCTATGACTTATGATTCTGTGCGTCTTATGTGTATGTTGTACCAGTAACACTTATCCAAAAACCTAGAAAATGTCATTGGAATGGCTTGTGAATGCAGAGGTCAGGTCAGGAAGTGTAAGAGACAGAACAGGGTTGTACAAGGAAACAGCTGTACCAGCAATAAGTCCTTAAAAAGTGGCCCAGCCCCAAACAGTATAGGATGCTGGCTTCCACAGGAAGGCAGTCATAAAAGGACCTTTTCGGCATCGTCCCCCAAATATTATTTGCGTTACCATGAAATACATGACTGACGACATGGCCCATTCTGAACTCAGAAAGAGTGTTTCCTCAAATACCCCATCTACGGATCAGCTGGTACTCGCCCCGATTAGCAGGGGGTGACTGCATTACCATGCTAATCCATGTCCTCGCTGCGCCACTTCCTTGATATGGATATGTGTGTGTGCTTACTGAGCTGCCTTGATTAGTGCAAGCTTCCATGTGTCAAAAGCGCCAGATTCTTTCCAAAGAATAATTTTAGCTGTACTTATATCCCTAAAGTGGAAGAGTTGATTTGAAAAGGTACTTACCTCCACCATATGCTATTTTTCTTTACACAATTTGCATTTCAAAGTGAATATGGCATTTATATCTGAATGAATATCAGTATGTTGCCTGAACTGATCTCAAATGAGCATGAAAAAGATGCTGGTTTTCTATTGAACAAGAATGTTTTCATCCACCAAATGACATCAAAGACAGAATCCCTCTTTTAAGCTATTAGCTTATTACATTAAAAATAGCCTGTTCTGATTTTTAAAAATATACTCTGAAATGATGGCTTTTCATAGCATTCAAATAAAGATTCATCAACAAATCTTTACAATAACAATAACAAAATACAAAAGTTCATTCCCTGCGCCTTCCAATTTTGGTCTGTCTTTACAAATAGGACTTAACTTCACCAAAGCATTTAACTAGGAAAATAATAGCTGGCATTTGACTTATTGGTTAAGTAAGCCTGAAAAGAGGAGCAACTCTTGGTGATGGCGATAGGAACTTTCATGTACATAGAAAGAGGGCGGGGAAAAAGCCAAAAAGGATTCTATGAGCACTTGAGTGTAAAACAGACGTTTATTCCCACTGCAGAATTGTATACCTTCTATTTTAACAAATCCTAATTACAGGAATATGATTGACAAGAATTCACCCTTCCCCTATGGAGCCTTCACCCTTAGAAACATCCAGGGACGGCTTTCTTCGGTCCAATCTCATTCACAGGCAGCTTCAAATGCTGTAAAAACTCAGCGTGAGCGGCTACCTTGCAAACCCTACAGCTGCACCACGCCCGTTGTGCGCATGTGTGGGAAAACCGGGTTCCCTGGAATCACAACTGGATGAAGGAGGCGACGTTAACAGTCACATCACTTCAAACTAGGCCTTCGCCATCTGTTCTGTCCTCTAATTACAAACCCAAAAAGAACAGAATTCACAACACTACCATAAAAAGTGAGACACACGATTTAAGGCCTGTGAATGGGGCCCATTCGCTCCTGTATTTGCATTGGAGATCTGCCTTGCTTTTGGCAAGTGGAATTTCAGGCTGAGAGGATTTTTTTTCCAAGGACACATTCAGTATCTTATAAGATGTAGGCATTCGGGACTCTGCATCCTGTGATACTTGTTTTGTAAAAGAGTACAATTCAACATATCTACTAGGAAGACACAAATCTGGTGTTTCTTGATACCTTTTGTTTAGTTAAGAGATTTTCCATGTTATGTTTATCAAGACAGAGTACAGAGTTCAGACCTAGTCACAATGACAGATGTAATTACTACTAAATACAGCAACGTGGCCAGGCTTAGGATTCCACATCCTGGAATTACACAGCTCTTTCCTACAACGTAGAAACAGCTCATTGTATGCTGCTTTCTCCCTGTTCTAAATTATGATGTCAAGGAAAAAAATAATGGGGGCCTATTTTGTTGTACTGTTAAAATATACTTGGCAAAAGTACAGATATACAAATAATGTAAACTAAATCCACCAAAATCTCGTCTAACAGATCAATTTTTTATTGAACATATGCATACATTGTTCTTGGTTATGGCCACAGAAAAGATATAACTTTATACACTTCTTTAATATGATTTCCTAACCATTTTCCCCATGTTGTTATGTAATCTTCATAATTTTAGATATGTAACATTATTGATTTAATGTAGATAATTTATATCACCATTTTTCTACTTCTGGATAGTTTTGGTTGTTTCCAATTTCTGGCTATAAACAACACTGCAAAGGACATCTTCTACTTTTGAATTTTCCTTAGAAGAAATTCTCAGCAGCGTTATTACTGGAACAAACAGCATAATATATCTTTCTGATTCATGATATATGTTGCTAATTAATTTTCTTAATGACCAGTAACTAAAAGAAGATGGAACCTGGGCATCTTTAAAGCAATTTAGTCCATAATTTCTAAGTGGATAATAATAATAATGAAGAAATGGTGATAATGATAACAGTATGCCCCATGTGGTTAATATAATGATCAAATTATGTAAAGCACTCTGTAAACTGTAAAACCTCTGCAGATATCAGTTATTAATCTCATCAACAGTGGGTTTTCCTATCTCTACAGTTTTTTAGCAAAAGCTTAAAATGGTGATGTTGCTAATCTTGTTTGTCTTTAAAATCTAAAATGTCTGAATATTTTCCTTATGTTTCCCTTGTAATGGTGTCTCTTCATGTATGAACTGTGCATGCCATCTGCCTCCTGTTTGCTTTAGTGCTGTAGTTGGCATCACTTTGCTTGAGCTCATTCATTCCCTCTGTGAGTACTTACTGAACACCCACCATCAACTAGTGAAGTGCTTGGTGCTGTGGAGAACTCCACGGCACCCCCCATCTTCCAGCATCCCAAAGGTCTGATGATCAGAGCGATGCCAATGTTGTCAGAGGTACAGTTTACAAAAGAAAGGAAGGAGAGAAAAAAAACAACAACCCTGCGCTTGGGGCACCATGCGCATGCAGCGGATGAAGGACATGGCCTGACAGCAGGTGACAGTGAGCTGGAGCGCCAGAGTCATCCCTTCCCTCCCATCCCTGGGTTACTGCTCCATGTTGGGAGTGGATATCATGTGGCAATTGGTACAATTTAAGACAAAATATTTACCATGTCAGACGCTAAGTTCTCATTTAAGTAATTATATTTAGAAATAAGTGTAAGTATTTATTCTAAAGACAAAGTTGCTTTCTCCAGCCACACAGTTCTACATAACAGAAAAAAGAATATACAGAATCCAGACCCAGTTGCAATGACAAATTTAACGACTACTAAATACATCAACGTGGCCAAGCAGAATTCAACATCCTAGAATTAGACGGTTCGTCGTCACTTCCTAAAACGTGGAGTCTTATTCCGACCTTTGCAAAACAATGTGTGCCATTCTCATTTTGCCATTTTTATCTGCTGAAGGAACACGTGCTGCTCCAGATTCCGACAGTGTTTATGGAGAGCGCCATCGTACGGCTTGTCTTGGCCACAATCCATCTCCTGGTATGGGTTATATGGACAAGCTGATGCAACAGCGAGGATGAGGGGTGTAAGCATTGTGAAGACGGAGAAGAAAAGAATTTTTCTTTGTTTGGTGTCTTCCTTTGCCATGAATAACGGTTCCATCTTTACAATATTCTTTCTCCTTTATATGATAAATGCAACAGGTGTGTGTGTGTGTGTTTTTAACATGAAATTCATTTTCATTTGACAACACTGTTTTGAGGGGAGCGTTCCCCGGTCATCTCTGAATTTTACAGTCCCCTTCCAGGAGCAGGTGGCCCCACAGCTCTATCCTGAGAAGTATTCACTACTACTTCTTTCTCTGCTTTCCAGTTCTTACAAAATGATCTCACAACTGAATCCAGCAATGACACAGGGAAGACAAAGCACCAAGGAGTACCCCGGGCTCACAAGTCTGATAACATGAGGCGGGTTTTACAGGTTTGCTGGTTGGGATGTTACGGGGTTTGACCACTCCCTAGAAATACTCCAGAAACGCAAACGTTCACTATATGAGTGGTAACTCAAAACAATGGGCCACAAGGTTTCGAGATGGAAAAATGTCACGATTACTTCGAAAAACTCTCCTCTGCCAGTGTGGGAAAGGACTGCAGGAAGCAGGGAAGCCACGGACTCAACTCTAGCCTGGAAGAACCAGAAGCCCTTTCCCAAGGCCTCGGTTCTCACTGGCCCCCGGGGCTGGCAGCTGGCTCCCTGGTGGAGGGGGCGCGGGTAATTCACAGAGGCTCTTCCGGGCACCTCCTCTTTCCCACAGCTGACCCTGCAGACCACTTCGCTGGTCTCGGAAGCATCAGTTCAGCAGCTGAAACACTATTCCTCCCTGCCCACACACATTTTTGAGAGAAAAAAAGTGTTTGAAGCACCTTTTATTTACTTGTAGGCACACCTGTTACCACATCCAACTCAAGGTCCTGGCCATCCCCTGATATGTCTCAGCTGAAATCATCAGGAATCAAGTTGCTTTAGTTGGTTCTTTCAGAAAAGAACACTCCACTTAGAGTTCAAATAATTGAAGCTATCCTTAATTTAGGAAGTACAATACTTACTTCTGAATTACACACCAATGCTCAGGACCACAGAGAGCTACTACAGGGGAACATTATCTGCAGGAAAGCAACTAATCTCCTCAACATCCATCACTTACATTTAACATGATGGGTAACATGCAGGAATATATACCTAATGAGAAAATAATTGCTAGGTCACAAAACTAAGAGAGGATAACAAAGAAAGAGAAGTAACAGTGTATGCCTCAAAGAGTTTACAATTTAATGATGGAAACAATACCACACGAATTTGCCTAAACCTCAGTGGGAGCAATGTATAAACACGGAAACAACTAATAGTGAGAACGCATTGCTCATAAAAGCTGAAGATGCTGCAATTCTTAAAAAGAACTAAGATGAACTTTAGTGTCCTCTAATGTCAGATTTAGCTAACTTTCTGATGTCTGAGAAGCCTCACAAAACATTAACATTTTCCCTAAAAATTGTCAAATAGACATTAAAACCAATTCCAACAAAACCTGGTTTATGAAAGCAGATATCACATGCTACTGATATTGAGGTTTTATTTCAGAAAAATAATTCTCGACCAGTAAGGCTTCCATTTGCAAATGGTCTACCAAGGTGCTAGAAGGGTACTTAGCAGAAGCTTCCAATTTATATGTTGTAACCAAGATCCAATGTGTGGAAAACTCCCGAGTGACCTTGGTCGACATGAGTGGGAAGCAAGGATCTGTGTTCCACCAAGCCTTGGCCACACCGCATGCCGGCAGGGGACAGGTGTGGACTGACACTGCTCATCCAGGGCCCACAACAGACTCCGGACTCCAGAGTTATTATAATGTTTTCTAGACCGTTTGAAACTAAACAAAGAAAAACTTTCTTTCCATGAGACAACAACGGGTCTAGTTTTGATGTCACGTTATTTTTTTTTAATAGCTATTACCACTGAAACAGCAGCTTCGCGACTCCGCGTCTGCAGTGTGAGCAGTTTTGATAAACAGCCTCTGCGGGCCACACAACGGGGATAATGTATCCTTAAGTACCGCCAATGAGCTGCCATTCTGCACAGCCAATTACTTCTGTGCGTCTGTCACTCAAAGGAAAAATGACTGAGCCCATTAGATCAAACCTTTGTCACTGTTCCTAATGCACTCTTAGGCCTCATTAATCTCCGGGAGCAGCAACAGAGCCGCCGGTGCCTCATTGCCTCCCCCGAACAGGACCACGTGAAGCCTCTCATCTCTCCCCCAAGTGCACCACGTTAATCAAGCTCTCCTTATTACCCCGGTCCCTGTCACGGCGGAGAGCGCTCCCTCTTAAATGCTCTCATTATGACCCATCTTTAGAGCCGGCTAAGTGGAAAAAAAGAGAGGGAGAGAGGGAGAAAGAGGACGAGAGAGAAAGAGGAGAGGAAAGAGCAAGTCCGATCACATTAATATTCATGACAATAATTAGTATTCTAGGTCACTGAATATTCATGCTATTAGTTTGGTTTTTTATGGGTTTGCTGGATGTCCTGATTGCTGAAGTGTGGAGAAAACAGCATGGTTGAGACTTTAGATGTCAACGGCAGTTCAATACTCAAAACACATTTGCTGTCCCCGCCTCCCCCACCTCCCCTGGAAAATCAGCTTCAACCCTCCTGAAGGCTTTAATATTTCGAAACCGCTGGGGGCCTCAAGTAGGGAAGGGGGGGATGTAGAGGAGAAGGGGAAAGGATTCCTTTGACAAAGGTCTAAGCATCAATCTGGTTAGGATAAAAACATATCCATAGTTGCAAAAACCCAACAAAGACACACTTTAGAGACAAGAAGGTATCTGTCATCCTAGAACAAAAATGTCACAACCAGGAGTTACAGAATAAAGTGACCACAGGACACAGAACTGGAGCAGACAGCTCCATGGACATCCATGAAAGTCCAGAAGAGCATTTCTTCTGTCTGCCCCCTTGCTGCCATGATAGTGGGATGCTGTCTGTTGGGGAGCATGGGTTTGTGAAGTCTAAGCCCTATGTCCATTATGTCCACTCAAAGGCTATGTCAATGCTTTATTGTATTTGAAAAATTAATTCAAGAACATAATTTCTTTCCCCTCTTCCTTGCTTTTGGCATAACCATGATGATGAATTAATGATGTAATTCTGTGAAGTCAGCATCGGCCAAGCTTTTCAAAGGAATGCCGTGTGTTCTTCTCCATAGAACAGAGGTGGACATCATTTCCCCATTTTAAAAACAAGGAAGCTGGGGTTTAGTGAGACAACTTCAGAAGGGTCTGAGACAGGAGAAATGGGATTCTATTCAGTGATTTGGACTCCGAAACCCTTGCTCTTGGACATTATGTTTTCCTGCTCTCTACTTAAATGTGAAAATAACTGTGGAAGCTAATACAACTCTGCATTGTTACATGTGGATACAGCTTCACCAAACTAGGCTGGCCAAACATTCATGTCAGAAAATACCTTGACGTTTTACCTCCTTCTCTGGACCTATACCTGAAATTCAAGTTGGGAAGATTCTCCAAAATGTGGCTTCTGGTGGATCCTCATTAGAATGGCAACTTAAGACTATGTAAGTTCCAGGCCAAAAGAATGGAAGTGGATAATGGCCATGCACATCTTGAGAAGCCAGTGACCTTGAATGAGGAAGGGAAGGTTTAACCAGGCCTGAATATCTTTTGGATTCTTCTTTTTTTTTCTGGAGTAGACCCTTCAGTAATTTTTTCAAAACCCTTTAAGACAGAGATGTTGTATAACCCTGTAGGTTGTCTAAAGATGTCTTTTTTTTCTATCTTCATTTGATTAGTAGTCGTCTTTGCATAGGCTTCTAGGTTCAGAATTATTTGTCCTTAGGAGGGAATATTTCCATTATATTTAAGAATGCATGTTGCTCTTGAGAAGTCTACAGTCAGATTTCTCTTCTTTTGTAGGTAACCTTGTTGTTCTCCTATTTTTGGTGTGTTTTAAGATTTTATTTGTATTTTTGCAGAGCCTCCTCTCCCATCCAACTTGATACTTGACTCTTCAGATATCCTTACTTGCTTCTAGCATATATTCTTCTGTTACATCTTTGACTACCAACATGTCTTTAGCCACGTTCTTTACAGTATTTATCTAATGAATTTTTTATTTTCACAATCTTTATTCATAAAACTTTTTCTCCTATAGTATTTTCACATACTCTTTATTTTTTTGACACAGGCCTCACTCTGTTGCCCAGGCTGGAGTACAGTGGCATGATCATGGCTCACTGCAGCCTTGACCTCTTGGGCTCAAGCTATTCTCCCACCTCAGTCTCCCCTGGGACCACAGGCACTCGCCACTATGCCCAGCTAAATTTTTGCATTTTTTGTAAAGACAGGGTTTCACCATGTTGCCTAGATTAATCGGTCTTGAACTCTTGGGCTCAGGGGATCTGCCTGCCTCAGCCTCTCAAAGTGCTGGGATTACAGGCATGAGCCACTGCGCTGGGCCAAACACGTGCTCTCTGTTTGCCTCATTTTATGAGTATCATTAATAACTAACGTATTAAATCCTTCTGTTGATAGGAGTTATAATTTCCTTTTAAATTCCCTTTCACTAAAATGTCACTCTTACTAAGATCAGTTATCCTTCACATTTTACTGTTGGTTCCCACAAACACCTTCGTTGTCCATTATCTATGAATAAGAGCATGTGGGTTGATGAGGCAGATGAAGGGGTTTTCTCTGCAGCCTTGGCCAACCAGAAGGCTGGTTGTGGGCTCTGAGCAGGTGTATGGCCCATAATGACTGGCGGGTTTCATTTAGACCTACCGTGTGGGGGGCTGTGAGCTGGCCGGTGCACTTCATACCACCTACGGTCAGGGCTGCCTTGCCTCTCCATTTCTTTCTCTTCTTCTGAGACTGAGGATGTTTGAGTTTCACAATCATCTCTGTTTCCCTTTTTTGAGCACCAGCATCCACATCAAAAGGTTCTGCTCTCCCTAGGCATGCTGCCTGTTCCGATGCATGCTCTCCTGGGGGTGTTGGTGGCAGGGACAACACTGGCCAGCTCTCCTTGCTTTCGTCGCACAGCCTGCTGCTGTGCCCCAGCCCACTCCTGAACTCCACGACCGCCACAAGGAACCCAGAGCCACCCCATCACCATTGCAGCTCCTCTGCTCTCCTCAATGCATGAGCCCCAGAGGGTGGCCTGAGCCCAGTCATCAGCAGTGCACAAGGCAGCTGCTCTGACAGTGCGTGTTTCTTCCTCTCTCCCAAGCCCATGGCAAAAACTGACATGAAGATGACCACATTTCCAGCATTTTAAAGTGTGAAATGTAGTCACTATTTCAATACAGGCAAATCACTTCCCAAATGCTAGGAATACCCCACCCCCGAGCCCCTCCAGGTATTTTCTATTCAATTGCCCCATATGGCCCTTCAGCACTTATCATTCCTTACAATGATCTTACTTGTGTGTTTATCTTTGGACTCCTCCACCCCCACTTGAGTGTAAGGCTCCTGGAGAGACGTCTTGTCCTCCCCCCACCCCAATATCCAGAGCATTAATCAAGGGTGGGCATACAGCAGACTCAGTAACAATGGAGACGAATGGCACAGGAGGCAACACAATCCAGTCTCTGTATCAGTAAACTGGTGGCACACAGTTAGGCATTATAGTATTTGAAATATGGAATGCATTATGACTGTGTGCTAGAGAATCAACAGAAACATCCAGTAGCTATTCCAACTAACAAGAGTTCAGCAAGATGGCTGAATAATAGAAAACACAAAAATTAGGAGTTTTATTTCTGACCAATTAGATGACATAATAGACCCCGCCTCTCTAAAAAGGATTAGCTTCACAATGCACCAAAAATTATAAACAGAATAGATTAACAAGACATGTCCAGCAGCTAAATAAAAAAAAAAAATGCTGAACTTTGCTGGAGGCTATAATACAAATTTGAATAAACTGGGAAAGAACAGTGTTCCACGATAAGGAACTCCACACAGTAAAGATGCCACTTCCTCCACAATTCATAGCTTAAAAGCAATGCCAGTTAAAAGCCATGATAGAATTATTTTTATTATTTTATTTACGTGCCCGTATCACAGCCTCGGGAGGTCCTGATGTCATGTGCACCAATGAGGGGATTATTTTTATCAAGGAGGAGAAGGTTTCAAGTTACTCTTTAGTTCATTTGAGGAAAAATAAGCAGGCAGCAGTAGCCAAGAAAAACTGGAAGATAAAAGAGAAATATTCAACTGTGTTATACTACCAGATACAAACGGAGTCATACATCTAAGACACTGTGGTAAATCTACATAAGGTAAGACAATGCAGGGACACCAGGTCTCGGAACACATCTGAGAGGCCAGAAACACAGCCCATTTGATGAAGTGATTGAGTTCTACAACAAAGGCAACATATGGAATTAATAGGGAAAGAAAAAAAATTCAACAAAGAGAAAAACGACAGTTGATTATTTATTTGAATAAAAAATTCAATTAGATTTCTATCACACACAATAGACACAAACAAATTAAAGGTGGATTAGGGGCTAAATACATGCATATACATGTATACACACACATACACACAGATATATATGCATATACATATATTCACACACATAAACACATACATATATTTTTTAAGGGAAAAAAACAATAAAATTAAAACTTAGAAGTATATATATGTAAACTGTGATCTGGTTTCAAGATTATGAAAGGTTTTCTAAATAGCTTAAAGTAGAAATCACAACAGTAAAAGATAATCTGATTATAAATAAAAAAGAGGGAAAACCTTTTTATGTAAAGAAGACCATAAAATTTAAAAGGCAAATAATAAACTGGGGAAATACCTGCAAAATATATTCATATCCTAAATATACAAGGAGTTCTCAGATATCAATAAGAAAAAGAACCTAGTGCAAAAATGGGCAAAGGATACACCTAAACAATTAATTACAACGTAAGAAACACATACACCTAATACATGTGAGCTGTTCAACTTCATTACCGATTAAAGAAATCCAAATAAACAAAACATGAGGCATTTTTATCGCTCATCAGATTAGCATAAATTCTAACAATAATATTAATAGCATTAGCAAGTGTGTGAGGTGAAACTGGTGATGGCTATGGATGGGAAGAGTTTTCATGTAAAACCTTTTAGAAGTTAATTTGGAAATGTGTATCAAGAACCCTGTAAATGGTTATACCAACCGAATGAATCATTCCATATATGGACAGTTATTCCAAAGCAATAATAAGTGTTAACCACAAAGATTTAGGCTCATACATATATCAGGTCTATGTGAATGCAAGTTACGGGAAGAGAAGGCATAAAATGTTGATCTAATTCAATCGCATTAAGAAAATGAATACAAAAATGAAAATACAAAGAAAGAAAACCCTCCAGTTCACCCAGAACTGAGACAAAACAAATGAGTCAAGAGTGAAGAATAAGGTTAAGTATTCAATTTTTTGGCAAAAACAGCTCTCTAATACCTATTTTTAGCTGGAAGTCCCGTCTCTTAAATGTAGCCTCAATTTATTTCAGATTGAATTTGCTGTGTTGGAATTCCTCAGGTGAGAGGACATTTTGTGAATGATGATTTTAGCACAAGAAACTCAATTTTCAAAGAGTATAAAAACTCAAATCCCCAAATGCTTTAATTTCTTAAGCAAGAAAGAACGTATCACTTTACAGATTCATGTTCATGTTTAGAGAAGGTGAATGCAAATTAAAATTTCCCAAGATTTTAATGAAGCTGCTTCCTCTTACAGAAGTGCCTCCGCCCATGGCTTATTCTCAGAACCCAAGAATGAAGCTGAGCAATAAACAGGGAGCTGCTATCTGAGATCTGCGCCCTCCTGCCGCACACCAGCTGATGACTTCACCCGCATGCTTGGTCAGGGTGCCACTTCCCTTAGCACTGCTGTGGCCGTGAGGCACTTTCTTCTTCCCAAAGTGGCAACGCCTCTGTGCTAAGGTCATACCTCCACTTCTCTATCCCTAGTTGGAATCCAGAGAAGAGGGAAAGTCAGCCAGGCCCCTGTGTGGGATTAACCTGTTTGAGGGTTGCGGAGATGTCCTGTTACACACTGAGGGCTGTGACCATGGAAAAGGGATTTCAATCTTGTCGCAACCCTCCCATTTGCCCAACAGGGGCTCTTAAAGAGAATGAAACTGGGCAATGGGAAATGCCTTCCAAGGACACACAACTCACTCCCTCAAAGAGAAAGGCCCATGCCACAGCCGACTCCATCAGATATGGTACGGTTTATAGGGCCTTTGTATTATCTACTTAAAATCACACATTAGTGTTTCCCTTAGGACAACAGTGGCATTTGGCTCCAAGGAACATAAATCTCAAGATTAGGAAGTTCAAAATCCTACTTTTACATAGTGAACGCTTCTTCACAGAATTGGTGCCCTTCCTTCATATCTGTGTGCCTGGCAAATTCCTATCCTTTATTCAAACTCAGCAGGTAGCCCCCATCCCTTGAAGCCTGGCCTACCTCCTGGGGAGCCGACCGCAGCATCACTGGGTCTCCAAGCCCTGCCCTTTACACAGCCCTCCTGGGGCCTGTGGCTCCGTGTGGCCTCCATCTACTTGTCTTTCTCCCCAACAACAGGGGAGATTCCTGAAGGCGGGAACTGTGACTCAGGCACACGTTAGAAACTCCACAAATGGCATGATTTAGCCATTCCACAATGTATACATAATTCAAAACACCATGTTACAAAGATCAATAAATTTTTATTTAAGTTAAATTAATTCTATTTAATACATTTTTATCAATTTAAAATTATAAAAATGAAACTCAATAAATGCTTTTACTTATGTAACTAGATGACTAGATGTGATGGTCAGAAGGGAGGTGGAAATGGAAGAATTCTAGAGGTTAGGGACTCCGTATCTGCAGTGCGCACAACTTCTGGCACAAAATAGGTGCTTGATAGATTTTTTTTTTTTTGAGACGGAGTCTCACTCTGTCGCGCAGGCTGGAGTGCAGTGGTGCGATCTCGGCTCACTGCACTCCACCTCCTGGGTTTAAGCGATTCCCCTGCCTTAGCCTCCTGAGTAGCTGGAATTACAGGCGCACATCTCCACACCCAGCTAATTTTGTATTTTTAGTAGAGATGGGGTTTCACCATGTTGGACAGGCTGGTCTTGAACTTCTGACCTCAGGTGATTCACCCATTTTGGCCTCCCAAAGTGCTGGGGTTACAGGCGTGAGCCACTGCACCTGGCCTATAGATATTTTTTGAATAAATGCATGAGTTTATGTAACGTACTAATGTAATAAAGCCTTCAGCATTTTACTCACTACGGATTGTTTTTTCTTTCTTGTGCCCTTCTTTTCTCTCTTCCCACCCCATAGTTAGCACACCGCTCTAATAAGAAAAATCTCACGGATGTCTTGGAAGAAAGGTCAGCAGGTCATAGAAGCCCCTGGAAAAATACTGTTCTCACTTTTTTGGGAGGCACTAAAGACTCCTTTAGCATAAAGCCAGTTTTAACTTTGATTAGAAACAACAGCTTGTGTTTGTATCCAGCTTTCCCAGCACTTTCATGTTGTCTCCTCTGACACCGCCCCCCTGCAACACAGGCAGGCCAGGCAAGAGCACCCCAATGTGGTGGGAAGGAACCAGCTCAGTGACTGCCTAACACTATGCAGCGGAGCCCAGGATGGTGGACCCAAATTTGAACTCCTCTGTACCATCTTGCTCTCACCTACCAGTGTCGTTCATGCCTCAGAACCAGGCAGTCAGCACCATCCCTCTTTAAAAGCACTTGATGTTTCAGAAGAGGAAAGTGCAGCATCAAAGACCAGAAACTCTCATAGGAGAGAAATCTGTTTTTTTTTTTGAGATAGAGTCTCGCTGTCACCCAGGCTGGAGTGCAGTGGCGCAATCATGGCTCACTGCAACCTCTGCCTCCTGGGTTCAAGCGATTCTCCTGCCTCAGCCTCCCAAGTAGCTGAGATTACAGGCACCTGCTACCACGCCCGGCTAATTTTTGTATTTTTAGTAGAGACGGGGTTTCACCAGGTTGGCCAGGCTGGTCTCGAACTCCTGACCTCAGGCGATCCACCCGCCTCAGCCTCCCAAAGTGCTGGGATTATAGGTGTGAGCCACTGCGCCTAGCCAGAAATCTGTTTTAAGAAGACTGGATGTAGGTGGGAGAGAAGAAAGTTCTGGACTTTCTGCAGGAGAAAATGCAAATTCTTGAAGGGATGTCCCCATGTTGAAGGAGCCTGACTCTGTGTGTGTGTTTATGGGAGGGCTCAAGAGGATCTTCTCCTTATCTCTGATGAGCAGACATGGGAAGGTTCATGACACAGGGCAATTATTTGCAAAAACGTAAATAAAATGAACAATGTCATTTTGGATGGCTTGCAACTGGGCACAGAGGCCAGGAATTTCTAAACACATCAACATTTGAGAAAATACAGCTTTCTCTGATCCTGAATGAAAAAAAATCTCCTTTAAAAGAGAATACAGAGAACTAAAGTTGCATTAAAGAATGGCAGATAATTAAAATATAACAACACAGAATTTACATTTTATATAGGTCAAATGGTTTCCTCTGAATCTTGCTCCGAATGGTTTTTCCACTTTCATACATACAGTTATCAGAAATGAGTTAATCTTTGACACTTTAACGTTAATTCACGTTTTTCAGAAGGATCTTAAAAACCCAGTTCACATGTTAACTTCACTTTCCACTATGCAGCCCTGGAAAGGCCTAGATGCATGGTTTTTGCAGCTGTGACTCAAAGCACCATTTGCTCGCTGGCATTTGCGGAACTGAAAGTTTAAAGGAAATGATCAGCCACAGAAGTGATCAGGTTTCTAAACCTTAATCTGTAATGTGATAGTTACTGTCTCCACTTAACCTAGGAGTCCAACATTATCCTCGAGCCTGGACCACCTGTTGCTGTTGAACTTGATTTGTTAGTGCATTTGCTGTAAGCTTACCTGAATTGGGTGAGATGTGTAAACTGCTCATGTCCTTGGATAGGCCATTGGTTTTAGGGCTGGAGATGGGTGCGCAGGCTGACGTGGCTCGGGGTGGCCTCTTCCCTGGGACTTTCACAGTGGTTCTCAGAAGGTCAATCTCCTTACCATGAACATTCTGCATGTAATCCTGTTGAAAATGTTAAACATCCAAGAGAGATAAAAAAAAAAAAAAGACCTTTTACAACCTAGAACAAAAGGGTCTATCAGACGTCATGAGTTAAAACCCTATGACCCTTCCACTGTGGAAAGTACTTTAAAAATCATGAGATTTTTATCTATAGAGTACTGGTAACATCATTATTATATTTAAATCAGAGTTTTGCTTCTGTGTCCTGAACTAATCCAGGACCTAGAGATGTAAGGAGAGACACAGCAGGTGCCTCCTTCAAGGGTCATTAGGAAGTAAGTCTACACACAAAATCTGATTTTTTGAACTCTTGCTTATCAGAGGGTACATTAGGCTCCTCCTATAAATTCCAAGTAAAATTCCATGGAGTAGGAAACCATTTTGTAATAACCTTTCTGTCTCAGATGGGAATATCATTAAAATCTAGATAAGACTGAAGCTCTCTGGTGAAAAATCAGGTGAAAACTGGAAGTAAAAAGGTCAACTGTTGTGCTAAGAACCAGGAAGATGTCCAAGGGGTATCTGGCTTTCTAGGCCTTGGAAGCAAATGACCAGCAGCAATCAGAGAACTACAGGGAAGCCTCGGTGGACAGTGACTGCTCTCTGGCAGCTCACTTAACTCACTGTGGAGTCAAACACTACCTGGAAACTGGCTGATGGGCAGGGAACGGGGAAGGTGAACAAGCAACTGAGAGCCGGGGGATGGGCCTGCTGGCCAGTGAGTTACTGATCCTTTAGTGCAGCATCATCATCACTCATTATTATTATTGTTATTATTATTATTTCTGGTAATGAGACTCCCTGTCTGCAAACACAGTATCTTAAGCATTCTGGACACATATTACTTGATATCACACGTTAAGAAAGAATATACACTCAGCCCTCTGTAACAATATAACAATTAAAAAAAATACAAATAAGAAAATATTGCATTTACATTGCATGAGGTATAAGTAATCTAGGGATGATTTAAGGTATACGGGAGAATGTGTGCAGGTTATATATAAATACTATGCTGTATTATATAAGGAACTTGAGCATCTGAGGATCTTGGTATTCTGGAGGGTCCTGGAGCCAATCCCCCATGAATACAGAGAAATGACTGTATTTGAAAATTACTCTTGGAAAAACAACATTTCAAGTGTTTTAAGACTATGCAGGAAGTGGGAATAAATATGCTCTTTCTTTGGCAGCATCTTGGTGAATTCCCTTTAGATGTGAAAACCAATAAATTTGTCTTTGTTAAAAGTAATTAAGTTCAGGTGACCATAATTCCATTTCATTTATTAATTTTTTTAGAGATGAGGTCTTGCTAGGTTGCCCAGGCTGGTATCCAACTCCTAGTCTCAAGTCACCCTCCCACCTCAGCCTCCCAAAGCACTGGGGTTACAGGCACAAGCCACCGTGCTCAGCCAACGTAATTTTAGAAGAACTGCCAAATAAACTCACATGCTGGATGCAAGGGACCGAGGCAGGGTGGAGAAGTGGGCTGCTGTCTTTTAACTGCCCAATGGCAGTTACCCGATGCAGAGAGATAGTTGGATCAAGTTCTAGAATCACTATGCAAGGGTCGGAAGCCTCTGTCTCAGGGACAAGGAAACTTGGCCAAGTGTATTGAGGAAGCTGCTGGGACACAGGGTAGGGTAGCAGAGAGGCCAAAGCGAGATCCCAGTGGCTTCCAGGAAACGGGCTGTCTACCTTTTTGTTTTGTTTTGTTTTTTGAGACAAGAGTCTCACTCTGTTGCCCAGGCTGGAGTGGAGTGGCATGAACTCAGCTCACTGTAACCTCTGCCTTCCGGATTCAAGAGATTCTCCTGCCTCAGTCTCCCGAGTAGCTGGGATGACAGGCAAGCAGTCCACCTTTTAATTGCAGGGCAACACCCACACTTGTGAAGGAGTCACGGGTTTATCAACAAGTAGATGTTTGCTGATAGAAGAAAAGGCACAACAAAAGCCACAAAGTACACAATTCCAGTTCAGGGGAAAGGAATGAAACTGTGGGTCCTCAGGGCAGAGGATGAGAAGAGCTGTTTTCTCCCTGCCCAACCATGGTCAGGTGGGTGAGCCTGGGGTGTGACAATGTAGACCTTCCCGCAACCAACATGACTTACAGGCTGCCACATGGAGTCAAACCAGACTCAAGGGAAAAGGGTGCAGGAATTCTCAACGGCAGGACGGGCGGGAGGAGAACCTCTTTACATGAGGGCACAGCCACACTGGCGGGGGACACTCTGGCAGATAAATACAGAACCCCAGCAGGCTCCCCTACATCAGCCCCAGAGGGACAAGATGTTTCAGGGTCCCTGGTGACCCCTGAGGACGGAAGTCTTGGTGCAGACAGAAAGCTCAAAACACCAGGGTCAGAACCAGGAGGAAGAACAATGGGCTGAAGACCACTGGAGAAAGGATCAGAAACTGTGCTACAGTGGGGCAAATTCAGAGGCAGGGGCAAGGCCGGGCATTCCCCGGCAAAGGACAGACAGGCTATCCAGGCAGAAAACCCTGGCACGCGTGCATCTCACATCAGCCCAGAGGCCGGGAGCAGAGGTGCCCGGCCACCCGAGGCTGGTGACTGGCCATTTCATTTTACAGGGTGGCTCAGGGAGGATGGCCTGACTCTCAGGGCAGGCTGGCTGGAGTCAGCCACAGCCCCCTTGGAGGAAAGCTGTCATGGTGGGTTCGGGTAACGGGAGGGTGGTATCTGGGCTGGGAACAACAAATCTGACTTCACCAGCCCCCGAAAGGGATTCCACTTGGAAGTTGAGATGCTGGACTCCACAAAACATAATCAACTTTGAGAGGATGTAGACCAAAGACAGAAAGAAAGTTACTATTGAATTAACTCTGTTAAACTAGATGGAAGGAAAGCTAGAGCTGGAAGCGGCACAGGAATTCTCAGGACTGCGCTGTGTTGAGGGTGACAAATGAAAAGCACATCAGGCGGGGCGCGGTGGCTCACGCCTGTAATCCCAGCACTCTGGGAGGCCGAGGAGAGTGGATCACTTGAGGTCAGGAGTTCAAGACCAGCCTAGCCAACACGGTGAAATGCCTGCTCTACTAAAAATACAAAATTAGCCAGGTGTGGTGGCGTGTGCTTGTAATCCCAGCTACTTGGGAGGCTAAGGCAGGAGAATCGCTTGAACCTGGGAGACAGAGATTGCAGGGAGCAGAGATCATGCCATTGCACTCCAGCCTAAGCGACAAGAGGGAAACTCTGTCTCAAAAAGAAAAGAAAAGAGAAAAGAAAGGAAAAGCACACCGTAGAGTGGTGAGTGTTGGTCACTTCCTAAAAAAGGTTTTTCTCAAGCATCTTTAGTTTACTTCCATTAATATCCACTGAAAATATGCAAACCCAACTTTCCAAACCAAAGTTAATGCTTGTAAATAATGAATTCCTTCTTGCACAGTTACTCCTTTAAAAATATCAACTTGCTATAACTTTCTTCCTTAATGCCAATTCTTAACAAATTAAAATACAATAACAGGAGTGTAATTGAGCATTTATTGCTTATGGGCTCTAAAATGAGGCTAATCAGATAGTGACTAAGCCTCAGCATGGGCTCTTTTAATAGGCATGTTTTAACATACAATAACCACGATATTTTATTTAAAATTATTATAGAAATGTACCAAGTGTCTGCTCTCCAGATTCGAAAGCGGCAAGGGAACCCATTTATCTTTAGCTCAGCATGGGCTAAGGGATCTGTTTTCTTGCCTGAGTTAGGCGTTACAACCTCAGAAGAACTAGCTCTAAAAAAAAAAAATAAATAAAATCGGTATTTAAAATAGCCAATTCTTATATTTCAAGGCACTGCACATTTTTAAAAATTTTACAAAATGCATTTCCTACTCAATAAAAGCCCTCCGACTCAGCGCTTCACACACAGGTGGGAGATAAAGACACATGTATCTGTGGCTTCAAGTTCCTCCCAAGAGAAACGACACTGAGCTTTCTGGTTTTGAAAGAACTGATCCTTTTCATCTCTCCCCAGCTTGGTACTTGAGGAATTAAAGCTACAACCACTAAACAATGTCCTCCGTAGAAGTCAAGGGGCTGTGCAGACCCTTCACGGGTCTGAGTTAGGGACCTCGGTAAAATTAAGACAGGAAGCTTGATTTTGATATGCAAATGTTACAGATACTACCCTTCTCCATGTTCCTTGTTGAAAATGCTGATCGAAGATAAAAGAGGAAAAACCCTTTAACAAGGCGTGAGGGTAATTCAAAGCCAAGTACTTTTAAACAGCACTTAACAAGTCCCTGGGGCCCACTCAAGAGCCAGGCCCCCCAGAGGTGCCATCTCCTGCCCCTCAACAGCTTGAAAAAGTAGTAATTGCAAACCTATTTGCATTTTCCTTCTCAAGTTGTCCATGATCATCATGCGGCTTATTTTTTCCAAGCAGGCGCCAGAGCAAAGGGACCTGTTTCCGAACCCGCCAATTGCTCGGTAACTGTGCCTCGCTGTCCCCCTGCAACCCTGCTCCGGCACCTTTGCCATCCCTTGTTTTTTACATTTCGCTCCTAATTATGTTGCATCTATTGCCGTACACTTAATTAGCTGCATTAATGTGATTTCTTTTCACATAGTCAAGCAATTAAGAGCTATGATTGAGTTTCATTCAATTAGCCTCAACAAACATGCTAATTGATGTCCCAGATGCAAATGAGGTGCAATGAGAGAAACCTGCTAGCAATTGAGAGCCGTGTCAGAGACCCATAGCTTTCAGCTTGCTGACAGCAGCACAGCTTAACGTGGCGCCCGCCTTCTGTGGGGCTGCCTTTGGAGAAGGACGCGGAGTCATTAGTATCTCGGTGTACCAGATCCCTCCTGATACAGAGAATTAATTGATTCGCTGCTGTATCACGTTGTCCTAGAATTTCACAGTTATGTGTTCCCAGGACCGGGAGGTTACCAAATGAGTAACACTTGGCTCCAGCAAGGAGGGTGGTACAAAGTCCTCATCAAAATACCGTATTAGGCTACTAAAAAATATACAAGAATTCTCCCCAAAACTACAAAGGGAAAGGTGTGTACATCTTGTCTTGGCAATCCCAGATCCCACTATGTGCCTGATGGCCTCTCCCGTCCTCAGTAAATGGTGAGTTCATCTTAGTCAGCTCTGGGGCCTTTGGCACTTGAAGTTAAGCTCAAAATACAGCAATCCATCAACAGTCCCTAAAAATACCCTTACTATATTGATTCTCACTGCCTCACATCCGGAGGTTACCTTTGGCTGTCTGGTGAAAAGATGGTTTGCTGATGTGTTCACAGGGGTACTAAAAGCAGTTAACAAGATCTTAAAGCTAAACTGAAATGCATACACTATATGATTGGCATCTCAACATTAGATCAGAAATAACCATATGGCTTTGAAAATCTGACAGTGCTTAAGCTCAACTTTCTTCAAGGATAGAAAATGTAATCAGCATACTCCATTTTTACGTATACTTCAAAAAAGTATTAAGACTTTAAATTTACATAGTTAAATGATGGAAAAAAATAATGGAAAATAGTGGCAATCTGTTCCAATTCGTTTTCTCCATTAAGTTCTAGTTTATAACTGTACATGTATGTTGAGAAATATAATATTTTATATTAATATATAATACTGAAAAGATAGATCACTTTTCAGACAAATCAATAAGATTTTCAAAACAATTCAGATACAGTACTTGCCTTTTTATTGCTGTGTTGAAATTTGTTTTGATGGTGCAAACATGCTGGTGATTAACATGAATCAAAGTAGTAGCCCCAAACTGTACTAGTCATCATCACATTATTCACTGGCATGCTCTTTAAGTACAAACAAAAAAGTCTCACAGATGCTCTGAATACACTTAAAAAAAGAAGTGCTACCGATTTTTAAACATTTCGACCTTTGAGTCCATGTCTTCATTTTCTCAGGTATGACATGGAAAAAGCATGCATAAAGCATTTTTGCTGGCTACCGGAGGGTGATGGTTGTCTTGCAGAAACGCACTTCTGCAGCTGTTGGAGTTGCAAGCTGAACCAGCCACTTTTTTGGTGGGACAAGATTTTTACCTGAAAGAATGACTGTGCCAGACATTGACTGACTCTGGTTTTCAGTTCTATGTATGTGGCAAACTTGTATCTCTAACTATGAGCTTGACACCTTCCAAAGACTTAGCAACTTTTCTGACAAGATTGGCGGTGATACAAATGAAAATTTTTGATGTTATATGATGAAAACTATCACTATTTAGAAATCTGCATACTTCATTTCAAAAATAGTTTTTCTTGAAATGACCGGGGTATGACATCACATGCATGGATGCATGTGGATATGCCTGCATGGATAAAACACACGTAAAAGATCATTCAAAGGGCAAGTCAGTTGGATGGATTTTAAGGTAGTAGAGGAGGAAAAAAAATAGTGATTTCACATTGCATTACTAAGCTTTAAGAAACTATCACATGTTGAGTTTTGGTGAAGTGTGCAAGAGGAATATCCACAATTATCTGAAATGAGGGTTGAAATATTCCTCCCTCTTCCAACCACACATCTGTGTAACGTGAGATACTCAAAGACTAACCAAAACAACCTATCACAACAGACTGAAGCAGATACGAGAATCCAGCTGTCTTACACCAAACTGGGTATCAAAGAGACCTAAAAAAATATAAAACAATGCAACCCTTCTCATGATTTTTTATTTTGAAAATTATACTTTTCACAAAAATATTATTTATACTAACATGTAATGGGTGGTTTATTGTTATTTTAAATGGATTACATATTTTCTTTGTTTGAATTTCTAACATGATGAATATCAATAGACAAAATCCATATGAACAAAAGCTCTTTGGGGTCCCTCCATAATTTTTTTTTTTTTTTCCGAGACGGAGTCTCACTCTGTCGCCCAGGCTGGAGTACAGTGGTGTGATCTCGGCTCACTGCAATTTCTGTCTCCTGGGTTCAAGTGATTCTACTGCCTCAGCCTCCTGAGTAGCTGGGATTACAGGCACGTTCCTATGCTCACCTAATTTCTGTAGTTTTAGTAGAGATGGGGTTTCACCATGTTGGCCAGACTAGTCTCCAACTTCTGACTTCAGGTGACCCACCCGCCTTGGCCTCCCAAAGTGCTGGGATTACAGGTGTGAGCCACCACACCTGGCCCATAATTTTTAAAAAGATAAAGGGGTCCTGAGCCCAAAGTCTTGAGAACCACTAGTCTAGCTTCATGTCTGCAAAGCAGCCATTGGCTCCATGTGTATGCTTTTATGTACACAACCGGGGAGGAGCAAAGGGTTGGACTGTGGAAAGATATTGTAAATGTTTTCACATTTGTTTGTTCCTCCTTCTCCTGGAGGAAAAGAATGACTCATTATTCCCTATTTTCACTGCACTTCATGAATATCCAGTATCAAAAGGAAGCAGTAATTTGTGAAGTTCTATTTTTAAAAAGCCTCACTTCTGGGCTCAAAAAAAAAAAAGTATGTAAGAGAAGCCATTGTAAAGTTCACTACTATTCCCAAACTCCATTTAATATTATATTCAAAGGAAACTAATCATAAAGACATATATAGGACCACCCATTCAAAAAGATCAAGCAAACGTTCACATCCCACATTTATGAATAATAAACAATGGCCTTGTACGTAGTCACAGGTGCAGACCAAAGTCATGCTCCTAAAAATACTGTGAAAATATTGTAAAACTATGAAAAATCTTCTGGCCACATCCCTTCAGATCACAGAACTCAAGAAGACAATTACTCTTCTCCCCAAAGGATCATAGTCACAATAGCAAGGTAGGAGGCAGCTTCAAAGGGAAAAATCCCATGAGAAATAACTTTGTTTCCCAAGACAGCCAAAAGCATTCCAGTGTTTCACTTTCAGAACTGCGTTCCTGAAGACTACCTGACCCATGCTTGTAAGTGCATGACAGTGACCAGCAGCCATGGCAGGAGGAAGGCACCTGGCCAATCAGATGTGTAGCATGCACAGAGGCAAACAGCTCATGCTTATGGAATTCACTGGTCTTACCATGTTCCCCATCATCCTGAAGCAGCTGGATTAATAGAATGGTGGAATGGCCTTTTGAAGTCACAATTACAATGCCAACTAGGTGACAATACTTTGCAGGGCTGAGGCAAAGTTCTCCAGAAGGCTGTGTATGCTCTGAATCAGTGTCCAATATATGGTATTGTTTTTCCCATTGCCAGGATTCACAGGTCCAGGAATCAAGGGGCAGAAATGGAAGTGGCACCACTCACCATCACCCCTAGTGACCCACTAGCAAAATTTTTGCTTCCTGTTCCCACAACATTACGTTCTGCTGGCCTAGGGGTCTTAGTTCCAGAGGGAGAAATGCTGCCACCGAGACACAACAACAATTCCATTAAACTGTAAGATTGTCACCTGGCCACTTTGGGCTCCTCCTACCTCAAAGTCAACAGGCTAAGAAGGAAGTTACAGTGTTGGCTGGAGTGACTGACCCAGACTATCAAGATGAAATCAGTCTACTACTCCATCATGGAGGTAAGGAAGAGTATGTGTGGAATATTCTTGACTTAGTAAATGCTTTATTGGGTCTGGGTCATTATGCTACACGTGGTAAACGAGAAGGCTGGTGAGGCCTTGTTGGGGACCAGTGGTGGCAGCTTCATGTACAGTGGAGAGTCCCTACATGATGGCAAAAGCAGACTTCTCTGCTTCATGTGCTGCGGAGGCCAGTGTCCAACATGCGTGGGCTCAAGTCCACCAGTCCAAAGGGTTAAGTTATTCTACTACAAATCAAAAAGCAGAAAATTCTAAATCGAATTATGAATACACCTTTTGCTTCTTGACTGTATCTGTCTTGACTGACCTACTGTATTGAGGTTTACACTGCCTGAAAGATTTTTCTCATTCTAGGTTAAATTGAGTATTACGCAGTTGTAACCCATGCCTGCTCAAACCTAGCCTGTACGATGCATGCCTCGGATATGAAAACAGCTGCTTGTCTCTACACAGTCACTGTAGGCCTCTCATTACAATGAACTTCAAGGAGCCAACACAATTCCTTTGCTGTCCTAGTATTTTAATATTTGAATATGGCTTGAAACAACTGGATCAATAGTTAGATCCTAGAAATTTTGACTTATAAGGAAATGTTCACCATGGTGATACTGCCTGTCTGGGTCTCTTTAAAACTTCAGATTTCTTTGGACGAATTTGCTAAAATGTGCAGCGCTAAAACAAACAGTATATATATATTTTTAAGACACAGTTTCGCTCTTGTTGCCCAGGCTGGAGTGCAGTGGCATGATCTTGGTTCACTGCAACCTCCGCCTCCTGGGTTCAAGCAATTCTCCTGCCTCAGCCTCCCAAGTAGCTGGGATTACAGGCGCCTGCAACCATGCCTGGCTAATTTTTGTATTTTTAGTAGAAACGGCATTTCACCATGTTGGCCAGGCTGGCCTTGAACGCCTGATCTCAAGTGATCCGCCTGCCTCAGCCTCCCAAAGTGCTGGAATTACAGGTGCGAGCCACCGCGCCCGGCCAAACAGTAGAGTTTTAAGACAGCAGAGCATATACATCTGTCCTCTGAGGTGAATATCGATTGCTACATCATGTCTTCTGCCATGAGACCTAAGGTAACACGGACAAACTCCCACTTCAGTTTTTCCCCTTGACAAAGGGTCAGTACTTCTAATTTTTAAACTTTCCACCTAGGCCTATTTAGAAGTCTTCTATACGTATTTTTCCCATGCATTGCTTTTACAGGAACTACTCTTGTTTTCCTAAACATAATGCCTGCCAAGGGAGTTCACAGCACCTTGTATTAGATTCCATTCAAATGAATCAGATAATTC
This sequence comes from Homo sapiens, assembly GCF_000001405.40. Taxonomy (NCBI): domain Eukaryota; kingdom Metazoa; phylum Chordata; class Mammalia; order Primates; family Hominidae; genus Homo; species Homo sapiens. The sequence continues at coordinate 235,898,918 of NC_000002.12, read as the reverse complement.
ACTGATAACCACACTTTTCTGATTTCCTAAAGAAGTCTTTGGAAGACAAAAGTTGACTTTCTCTTGGTCAGGGAATAAGCCTCGAAATCAGAGTGCCTCCACTCTCCTCCGAGTTGCACACTGGGGGCCTGTCATTCAGTCACTCAGGGTCCCCATGTCCACATCTTTAAAAACAGTTCTAGCTTCATGATACTGTTGCGAGGGTTCACTGAGATAATACTCAAGTGCTTAACAGAGCGCCAAAGCCCTCCATAAATGTTAGCTCTCACCACTCTTGTCCAATAAAAATACTGAACTATTTTCCCTTTGACTTTATGTGGCAATTTCTTGGGCTAAAGGTGTTGTTCCCACTTGAGGTAGCAATTCTGACATGATAAGTCATTAGGGTTGACCTGCAAAGCCATTTTTCACTTTGTAGCACAGGCGGGGGTGGGGGTGGGGGGGGGAACCTGTCCTCTGCAAACGCATGACATTTTCTGCTTTTTCCTCCTTCTCTTCCCCCACCTTTTTTTTTTTTAAATGGGGGAGGCATGTATATGGTAGTCAGACATTTTTATTGCAAAATGCCGTCTGGAAAAGATGCAAAACAAAATTGCTAAAATGCAAGGGGAAAAAAAGAAGGGGGAAAAACAAAAGGCCCCGTTCCCTTTGCTTATTGAGTTCAAAGGCAGAACATGTAGCACCCTGCAGCAAATGGGAAGCTACACTAATTTTAAAGCCATAAAATGCTATCAAGTGCCCTGCGGGGCAGGACTACTCTGAAGCTAGTGGCACCTAAATAAGACATGGTTCATTTACTTCGCAGCTTAGCCTAATGTAATCATCAGCGGATTTTTAGCCTAGAGTTGTAACAGGCAAATAGCCGATGCGGCAGAGGTGGCCCTCCCAGCCATCGAGGGGGCTGCAGCTAGATTGCTGTTGATTAGAAAATTTTTCAGTTTTGACAAGCACTTAATGAACATAAATCGCACCTTGATTGGTTTCCATCTGGGGCCACAGGCACACCTGAGAAGAAACAGGCCTCTCCAGCCCTGCCCCTCCCTACCTACCTTCCAAGACCTCAGCAACAAGCCCGCAATCAGGTTATAAGCCAAAGAAGAAAATATTTATAAAATATAATAATGAAATTCAATTTCTTAGTAGAAGTAAAAGAACATTCCTCATGACCCCCCACAGTCATCCTCTCCTACTGAGTCCTCGGCTGTGACTTACTGTTGCTGAGGAAACCAGAGGGATTTGATTTATTTACCTTGTGTAAGAATTTTTGGCCTCAATGAGTAACACGAAAAGGCCAAAAATGGAAAACAAAATGTTATCAATTGGGTACAAAGGACGGCCAGAGACGATCTGACATATCACGCGGCATACTGGTAGGACGATGTCCCTTGGATTCCACTGGAAGCTTAGAGACTCAAACCCTCCAGCCACACTGTTAAATCTGCTATTTATAGAAACACACATATATTCTATTTTTTCATTTTAACTAGAAATGCAAGAAGGCAGAATTTTTCAATGTTGAAAATAGGTTAGGTAGGATCTACACTATTTAGTGGTATAATTTTTAGAAACATGAGGACTTGGTCAGGCGTGGTGGTTCACGCCTGTAATCCCAGCAGGTTGGGAGGCCGAGGTGGGCGGATCAGTTGAGGTCAGGAATTTGAGACCAGCCTGGCCAACATAGCAAAACCCTGTCCCTACCAACAATATAAAAATTAGCCGGGCATGGTGGAATTGCTTGAACCCTGGAGACAGAGGTTGCAGCGAGCTGAGATCACGCCACAGCACTCCAGCCTGGGCAACAGAGCAAGACTTTGTCTCCAAAAAAACAAATAAAACCAAATAAAACAAAAAACAAACAAAAAAAGAAATAAGAGGACTTTATTTTGTCCAGTCTCACCCTGCTTCCATTCACTGTGTGTCAACAACATCAATAATGAAATGTCGTGAGGATAGCTTTCGGCCCTTTTATTTTTAAATCCCAAACATTTCCAAACCCTGAGGGTATATAAAACAAAGAAAGAATTACATAGACAGAAATAGACTTTGATACAGAGTCCTTTTCTGTGTTGGTGTAACACCAGTGAGTTTTTAGTAGGCTCCATTTCCAACAAAAGTTGTCACTATGCCCTGAAAACATTTCTACTTTTATGGCGGCCTAATTCCTTGGCTTTGGAACTGTTGACACATGGGAGAAACAACTGATCACATTCTTTCAAACAGGTCACATGAATGACAAAGTTCTTTCCCAGGTCACCCAGGTGCTTAGCAAACTCCAGGAGAGCCCATGTGACCATGTCATTGCTGGGTGGTTTTCTTCTTCTTATCACATGGCTTCCAGACCACCATGCATGTTATGAAGCCTGCACAGTTCACTGTGGTCAGGACTGGGCCCAGCAAATGTACCATGACCAGAGTGCTGGTAAGGTTAGGCAGGTTTAATATTCAGCCATACTCTGTAGCTTTCCCATGTTACAGTTTTTACATTTAAAACCCAAGCTCTGAAGAGTTATCTGTATGCTCACATTCCTAGCAGCATTGTCCACAGTGGCCAAGAGGTGAAAGCAAGTGTCCATCCATGGACAAACAAAATGTGGTGTGTACATATGACGGAATATTACTCAGCCTCAAACAGGAAGGAAATTCTGACACACACTACAACTGGAAGAATCTTGAGGACATAATGTTAAATGCAACAAGCCAGTCATAAAAAGACAAACAGCATATGACTTCATTTATATGAGGTTCCTAGAGCAGACAAATTCATAGAGACAGAAACTGGAATGCTGGTTGCCAGGGGCTGAGTGGAGGGGGGATAGGAATTTGTGTTTATGCGTAGAGTTTGTTTTGTAAGATGAAAAAGTTCTGGAGGTTGACTGCCCAACAACGTGAACGTATATGATACTACTGAACAGTATACTTAAAATGATTAAGGTGGCAAATGTTGTATGTATTTTACAATTAAAATGAAAAAAGCAACAAACAAAATCCTGAAGCTTTTCTCCCATCAAGATCCTTCTTTAAGTTGCAGCAAATGGAGCCAGAATATGGCTGAGACATATTTCTGCTTCCTAAAAGTGTTGCATGGTGGATTCCTTCCACGAGGTTTTAGGAACTCTAGTCCGACACATTTAAGGAAAGGTTAAGCATATGGGCTAATTGTGCCTCCATTCATCCATCCATCCATCCATCCATCCATCCATCCATCCATCCATCCATCCAACAAGCCAGTGTTCCAGATGTTAGAGATACATTGGTGACATATACATCCTTGCCTCAAGGAGCTTCCAGTCTTGTGGGAGAATCAGAGAGATGGCCCAATAGAGTAACGTGAGAGCACACACAGCATGGGTGCCCAAATAGGCCGAGTGTGGGGAAACTCCCAAGAGGAAGTAGCATTTAAGCCAGGATTGGAAAGAGGAGTTAGTGAGGCAAAGAGATGGGGCAGAAAAGAACATTCTCAACAGAGGCAACTGCATTTGTGAAGACCCGGAGGCCAGATAACATGGCAAGTATGAGAAACTAAAAGAAAACAAAGACAGCGATAGAGCAGGAAGCAGGTGAGAGGCCAGTCTGAGGAGGCAAGCTGGGGCAAGAGCAGGGGCACGGACATCAACCAAGCGGGAGAGGGGATCTTCTCCATCATGGAAATACATAAAAGAACTCAAAGGAGGGAAATCAACAAAAATATGATGAGAATCACAAGGTGAAAGTTAAAAGCAGCTTAGGAGTAACCGCTATTCTTCATACAGCCTACAGGTTTTGGAAAACTTTATGAGCAGGCCACTGCGCTAGCTGAACTGAGCAAAAATGCAGGCCTGCACACTCAGGGGAGTATGGTCTGCAAGATCACCTCTGTGTGACTTCTGGCGTCATTCTGGATGAATTCCCAGGAGGAAGAGAAAACGGAGGCCGAGGCCGAGGCTGTGGGTGGAGGAAGAAGAGCTACCAAGCAATCACTGCATAATTGACCTTGAGAGGCTCAGTGATTCTCACACTGTGCCTGAGTCCCAGGACTCCACAAAGCCACGTTGGAACCAACATGGAAGCGGGTGGGGCAACGGCAGAATCGGAAACCACAACTGATTCCCAGCTCAGTGTTCTTTGACCTGCACACCAGAAGGATCAGCTAAGAGAGGAGCCGAATCACACTTTAGAATAAAGGAGGGAAGAGATCTTAAGATGGAAGGAGGTAATTTAGATTTGCAAGCCACAAAGTTCCAATGCCTTTACTTCACAATCTACAAGTTGAAATGAAGTTGTGCCCATAGCTGTGTGTGTGTGTGTACATGTGCATGTGTATGTTTAAGTGTGTGTGTATGTGTGTGTGTATGATGTATGTATGGTCCTATGCATGTGTTCACAATACATTTTCACATCCATTTTCTGTTGGAAGCTGCTTCAAATCCTATCTTGGGAAGAGGCAGAGCTGCAGTATGACTTGAAGTAGGCAGTATCTACACGTCAAGGTTCTTGGGGTGACATTCACACCACTGGCTTGAAGGGCCAGATATCCCTGTGAAAGCAATCCACACGGAAAGCTGGACTCTGGCTGTTCCCAGGGAAGCGAAGAACATCACGGACTCAAGGATGTGAGTGTAGGCTCTGTTCAATGGGGATTATCTCTTCGGTCCCAAGAATAGCCAACCAACTGGGGATTCTTCCTGCTTCCCCCGAGCTGACTCCTGCCAGTCTTAGAAACTTGCAGAAATACCCGTTGCGGTTCATATTGTTTCCAAAAGCATTCCCATTTGCCTAAAACAGGCAGCTCAGGCTAGAACAGCAACGTTGGTTTGTTGCCATAGTTCCAGATCTTTGTTCTTTAATATCCGTACAATCTCCTCATATGCCTCTAAATGGATTGCTTTTTGGATTCCAGTGATGTGTTTAGATTTTGCAGCATTTGTAATAATGCCACGTGAGGCAGTGATTACGTGTGTGTGTGTGTGTTCACCCAACCCTATGTCAGTTTAGGGAGGTCATGTTGTAAGACATGGTGAGTACTGTTAGTCTCAATCATACCACAATCTGTAGAGCACAGCCAGGATTGTCAATGTTGAGGGCTGGAGTCCAGGAAGTTCAGGAGCAAAGATGCTGAAGGAGTCACACGATTGGAAACTTCATTGTGGTGGCACTCAAGTCACTGTGACCGGTGTGTACTAAGCAATACCTATGTGCCACTCACATGACAGCCCCTGGGCAGACTGTGGGGAACACAGCCCTCCTCCTCAATGACATACACTAGATGGGGCAGAAAGGGACATTCTCACCCGAGGCAATGATGTACACTAGATGGGGCCTGGGAATCAGGGAGGGCCATGAAGGCACATCTGCATGACGGACACGGCGCACCCTCATGATGGACACGGCACACCCGCACCACAGACATGGTGCACCCTCGTGGACATGCCACACCCACGCCACAAACATGGCTCACCCTTATGATGGACATGGTGCACCCGCACCACAGACACAGCTCTTCCTTATGATGGACACGGCACACCCACACCAAAGACACGCTACACCCACGCCACAGACACAGCACACCCCTATGATGGACACGGCACACCCACACCACAGACAAGCCACACCCATGCCACAGACACGGCACACCTGCGCCACAGACACGCTACACCCACGCTACAGACACGGCGCTTCCTTATGATGGACATGGCACACCCGCGCTACAGACATGGTGCTTCATTATGATGGACATGGCACACCCACGCCACACCCGCGCCAAAGACACAGCGCTCCCTTATGATGGACACGGTGCACACTACGCCACAGACATGGCGCACCCTTATGAGGACACAGCACACCCGCACCACAGACACAGCACATGAAAGGCCAAAGGACAGCTCCAAGCACCTTAGCTTATGACCAAGAAAGCAAGATGAAATAATTTTTGATCTTAAGATGAATCACGCCTTCTGCAGCAGCGTGCCAGACTTGACATGTCTGACTACGCTCTTCTCAGTAAGAAAGGGAGGTCTGTCTTTTTGGTCTTCCCAGCTTCACATCTGAAAATCTGGCCTTCACATTTGTCAGTCCAGTAGCCTGCACAGGAGTTATTCTGACTGTTTCAATGTTCTGGGGAAACCAGTGAAAAGTTTCTCTGAGTGTAAATGAATGTTCACGACCTCAAGAAGTCTGAGGTCCATCCTAGCAGACAGTGAAGGTGGGTGAAGAGATGGATCACAGATTCTTCGTGAATCTTCAATCCTCAAGTAAAATGTTGCAGTCCTATGTGAGGAATTCGTGTATTTACAAAGGCAGTTACAGGCACTGAGCACAGCCACGAGCTGCTATTCTCATAGCAATCTTTTTTTTTTTTTTCTTGAATGATTTCTTTTGAGGAAAATACCTACTTAGGAATCATCACAGATCTTTTTGTTGTCTTTACATCAGTAAAGAAGTGGGTCTTCTGTCTGATTTTGAAACTAGAAACTTTCTGAAATCTGCATTCTGATGATAATTTTAGAGAGTCCAAGTTTGGCTGCCCTGGCTTTGAAAGAACAAAACCAAACTTTGACGACACACAGAATCAAAGGGTTTATGTGTTGCAGGAGAGTCCAAGCCACTCAGATAGAAATTAACCTGCCTAGTAATGAAAAGAAGAAAAGCTCTTTAACAATTTTAAAGGAGGAAAATTTAAGAAGGAAAATTCCAGTATTGCAGGTCAGGGAGAAATGACAGAGCCACAGCTGTTTTAATGTGGGCACATGCAGAATGGAAAGGAATCTAAGAAGGACTTTTTTTTTTTTTTGAGATGGGAGTCTCACTGTTGCCGAGGCTGGAGTGCAGTGGCACCACGTCGGCTCACTGCAACCTCCGTCTCCTGGGTTCAAGCAATTCTCCTGCCTCAGCCTCCCAAGTAGCTGGGATTACAGGCACCCACCAGCACACCTGGTTAGTTTTTATATTTTTAGTAGAGATGGGGTTTCACCATATTGGCCAGGCTAGTCTTGAACTCCTGACCTCAGGTGATCCATCCACCTCAGCCTCCCAAAGTGCTGGGATTACAGGTGTGAGCCACCACACCTGGCCAGAAGGAGGTTTTTTAAAAGTCTGACCAGTTCATGCACGTCTGCCAGGTATGGCCCGGAGGGGAGGAGTTTCACAGCTGCCAAACGACCTCCTGAGGAAGCCCAGAGAGCCAGGACCGGAACACTGGTGAGCTTTCCTAGACAGGGGCACCTTGAAGTCCTTGGCTTGACCGTGAGGCCACTCAGCTCATCCTTCCAGGTCCACTTAGGAATCTCACTGCACACATCTTTGTCAGCAGGGAATTGCAGCCTTGCACTCGACGGCCGTGCTTGCGACATGGAAGATGAATAGGTGGCCACGCTGAACTGTGAAGCCCTGAGGTCCAAGTTCTTTCTCATTATGCCTCCATTTTTCTATCAAGGTGCTCCCTAAGGCTCACATTTAAGTCCACAGAAAGGGACTCTCAGGGTCTTAGAACAGGCTGCCCTCGATCCACCTGAACTGTGATCCAGCAAAGTGTCTGAAAACCATGAGACACTCATATATATTTCCCCCAAGAAAGTTAAGCAGTTAGGGCTTTTTAAAGGTCTTGGAGACATACAATTTTTCAAAGACACAAAAATGTAGACCGCAGAGCAGCAGCATCAGCCAGCGTGCTTGCTTTGACCGTGTCAGTCTTATTTAAATGTTTAGGGTTATCATTGCAAAATGCGAAGTGGAGATAAAGGAGCTGTTAGGGCGGTCAGTACTGCAGCAAGTGCGGCCAGGTCCCAGATTGCCTGGGACTTCCCTGATGTTAGCTATGAAAGTCCTGCACCCTGGGAACCCCTCAGTCCTGCAGAAAACCAGGGCAGTTGGCCACTCCATTAAGGCAGTTTCATTCATTATTTGGTTGAGTTTTCTATCTGTTATCTCAACTGGGTTTTGGTTTCATTTAATAATAGCATCTTGAGAAAGAAAGATGAATTAACTGAGGTGTTTTTTTTTTTGAGCCTCAGTTTTAGTCTTACACCCAGTAGCTTCAACTTCAGGACAGCGTTTTCCTTAGAAATCCAACTAACTCCATTAGCTTGAGTTTGCTGAGAGTTTTTGGTGAAAGTTTTAGAGCTCACATTCTTCAGAGTCTGAAGTGACCTAGAAGACAATGTCATCAAACTTCCTACCCAGTGAAAGAATTCGTTCTCCATGTTTCTAAAACGGACACCTTCCAGCCAGTTTCCCAATGTCTACCTTCAAACACACCCACTAGAACGGATGTAGCCTGAGCGTCTGCAGCAGGGCACCTCTGTGTGATCTGAAAGCTATGCAGGTGTGCTCCAGCTCCTGGACAGGCTGGGCAGCCCCCGCCCACTGTCAACTGGTGGCTGAACATACTCTGTGAGGGAAGCAATGATGTGGACGCTGTAGGTTCATTCACCCCTCCCCACTCTGGTGCTGTCCTTGTTATCCTGCCCCACCACTGGCCTTTAGGAATAACCACAGCTGGGCAGAGTGGCTCATGCCTATAATCCCAGCACTTTGGGAGGCTGAGGCGGGTGGATCACTTGAGGTCAGGAGTTTGAGACCAGCTTGGGCAACATGGTGAAATCCCATCTCTACTAAAACAAAAAATTAGCCAGGCGTGGTGGTGCATGCCTGTAATCCCAGCTACTTAGGAGGCTGAGGCAGGAGAATCACTTGAACCCAGAGGTTGCAGTGAGCTGAGATCGTGCCACTGCACTCTAGCCTGGGGGACAGAGTAAGACTGTCTTAAAAAAAAAAAAAAAAAAGGGAATAACTACAGTGGAAATCTACCATCACTTCCTCCTGTGCCCATACCTCCTTCTCTCAACCTACACAGCATGGAAGTGCAGGGACCCCATCATCCTGAGGCAGCCAGTGCTAACACCTCCTAAGCCTTTGGGGAAGAGCTGAAGGAGGCTGGGAGATGTGGCTGTGGGTGATGGCTGGGGTCAAGACTTCACAGAACCCAAGCTGAGCAGATCTGGGGCCTGGAGGTTATCACTGGCATAAACTTTCATGGAGCTTTCTTAGTCTGAGTTGGCTCCATGTTTTGCTTCTTTTCCCCTCTGATTTCCAGGGAAATTATCACATCCTATGACCTGGCTATTCCATAAGCAATTCTATTCCACTGCTTAGAAACAGAGGTTCTCTCCTAAGAAAAAGGTTTGAGGTTTTCAACAACATGAAACAGACCTGGAGAAAAAGGTTTCCCTCCATATCTTCTATCTGTGGTGTAGGAAGGGTATGTAGATTTAGCTTATGTCCTAAGTAAAGGACAGAGTGAGGCTGAGCTGCAAGTCAAAGGAACTAGGGATTACTGGTCTCCTAAACAATCTATGTAAGGACTGAGCTTGGGGCTCAGGGCTAAAAAAAAAAAAAAAAGGCAAAGACACTTTTGGGGGATGACGAGAAAGGAAAGAGAAATCCAAAGCAATTAAGTGGGAAGGAAAGTGACATCCCAGGGCCACCACCCAGCTGAAGTCCCTTGTCATGATCTTCTGCAAGTAGAAAGCTGCCCCAGTTCTGAGGGAGACACGCAGTCCCTGGGGATCAGTATTCGTGAGGTTCCCAGGCAGCCGACCCATTCTAGGTACATTTTCAGCCTCACACCAGCCCCACGGTGTCCTGCAATGTCAGGTTTCCCCAGTTTCATGACTGGCTGCTTTGTTCTGAAGCCACAGTTTCAAAGAGCAGGTCATCCTGCTGGGATTCCACGAGCTCGGTGCACAGCACGGCCACATACCGACTGTTTGTTTGGCCAAGAGCTGGGTTTATTTTCGAACACACCGATGTGTGGAAAACATCTGTCTGGGACTGATACTTGAAGTTCGTGTCCAAAGGTGATCGATCTTTCACACAAACACTTCCGTGGACACTTGTGCAATAAGCAAACTGTGTTCAGATACCTCAGGAACAGAAATGACCTCTTCAGGGAGATCTTTTCCTAAGGGCATCTAATGAAGACATTGAAAAACCCTCACCCAGAGTTTTTGGCAAGGTTAGGAAATGGTCAGTCTCCTGCTTCCACAGTGTGCAAAGGAACTGAAAGCCAGAGCTCCCCACTGCTGGGGTGTCTTTCCCAAACAAAGGTATGAGGATGCTGGCACTGCTGGGAGCACGCAGGAGCTGAAGTGGCCACAGGGAAGGCTGGGGCAGTGGGTGGCCGCTCTACCCGACAGCAACAAATGCTGTACCTGCCTCTATCAACTTTTTTTTTTTTTTTAAAGACAGGGTCTTGCATGGTCGCCCAAGCTGGAGTGCAGTGGCACGATCATAGCTCACTGTGAAGCCCTGACCTCCTGGCTCAAGTGATCCTCCTGCCTCAGCCTCCTGAGTAGCTGGGACTACAGGTGTGCTCCACCACACCTGGCTCACTTTTTTATTTGTTGTAGAGATGGGGTCTCTCCATGTTGCCCAGGCAGGTCTATCAACTCGGCCCTTGCTTGCCTGTCTTGTCTAGGGAGGACTGGTTGGGGAGCTCGCCTGGGAATTTAATTTGGTTGACTAATGCAGGAGCTGTGTGGAGCAGCCCTAGGAGGGGAGTCGAGCCTTCTAGACCCTCCTATCCCACACAGGCAATCCTCTGACATCAGCTACTATGCCTGAACATCCCTGTGTCACAGAGGGAGAAAGACAAGGGTGGTAAAGACCCTCGATTCCACCTTCTCGGTTTGATCCTAAAGAACAAATAATCCTGAGATCCTCCTGAACTACCCGCTCCCCCGCCCCCTGCCCATAACCACATTGGCCTATTCCGTTTAAACTTGACTCAGTTGTTTACTCTTGCTCCAATGTTCCTTGTGTGCAAGACCCTCTCCCCAGCTCCCTGAATTTAACATGATAAGCAAATGGAAGGAGGCTGGTGGTGGCACCAGGGCGCAGCCTTACGTGGACTGTGAGCGGCACACACGTGGACAGAAGATAAATGTCTGTGCCGGAAGGGAGAGGCCTCACCACCACGAGCAAGCGCTGCCGGTGATGGGCTGCCGCACGGCCCTATCTCATCTCTGTCTGAATCTTCCACGTTTAATACAACTGCAAGCCTGGCGCTCTCAAGTCAGCACCCCATAATAGAAGTATTAGCTGATTAGAATCCCGTCTCCCCAAAAGCATGCTAGTTTCCTTTTTAGTCCACTAATTACCTGGGCTTCTTAAATTAGTGGTATACACCAGGAATCGGTGCAGCAACCTCACTATTGATACCCGTTTACATCTTTGTAGAAAACTAAAAATATCTGATGGTTTGGCCGGGATTTTTTTTCCTGGGCTCTGTGGAAAAGAACGGGCTGTAGGCTATGCTATATGAGATCAATGCAGGCCCCTGCTCCGGGGGCTCTTGTGTTGGAACCTGGGCCCCATCTGCCTTTGAGAGAAAAGGTGGATGAGAATAGTGTTCTCAGAAACCAGATAACATTTTCCTCTAGTGTAAAACAGGGAGTTATTCTGGTCCACTGACAGGTTAACATCTACTTTTAATGACTTGATATAGGTCTACAGAGGCTGGACATGGGCCTGAATCCCAGAGGAGAGAAAAGGAGGCAGGTTCCCATGTTCAGACAATAGGGTGTTACCAGGGAGAGGCCCCACTTCACGCTGTGGTCAGTAATAGAGTTAGGAGCAACAATAATGACTCTGAAACCCAAACACCAGCAATCCTGGCAGCTTTCCCAACACTTGACCACTTATGCCACCACTGCATGTGGCCAATGACTCTCAGTGGTCCTTCTGCCGTAATACATCCTGGAGATAGCCAAGGATGTGGGTGTCACAGCATGGTCCGTGTTTAACTGAGATCATCTGGTTCTACGATCTTTTGAAATTTTCCAGACTGAGATAACTGGGTCACTCTCACGGTGTAAAATTTTGGGACCTGAACTAGCAACACATTTGCACATTCTCAAGTTTCTTATGAAGGAAAATCTGGATTCGGCTCGTGGGTGTCCCATTGAATGCCTCTTCCCATTTTGAACCAAGACCACCAGACTAACTCAGCTGGTGTGGGTCAGCACTTCCCCTAACAAGTCACAACAGAACGGACTCGTATGCACCTGTCAGAGAATACACCTGGAAGTCACTGCCTCTCCACACTTTTATCCAATGCTTGGCTGTGAAAATGAAACCCATGAAGGATTACGTGGAAGGTCATGCCATCTCTTCAGGCTCTAGTGATTCAAATCCATTCCTGGATTAAGCCCCTTCCATAGGGAACTACGTACCTGCATCAAAAATTTCAGTTCCAAGGAGACTGGCATTAAAAGGATTGCATTTGAAAATGACATTGGCTCTTGCTTGCTATACAATTATACAACAAAGCCCCATTGCGCCCCTCTTCCGTACTCCAGTAAGATTCATGCATACTTATGAATGAAGGAGAAAGGATGGAATTGGCAAACACTGAGGGACATCACAAAAAAAAGCCTGTGGATAGGAGAATTTTTGAAGAACTGGTTGTGATTATATACTCAAGGGATTGGATGAAAAGCAAACAGGCTTTAGGCCTCCTAAGGGAATCTTCTGATACATATCGTTGTTACCATATCTGCCCCTTGGCAAGAAGCAGCAAACATCCCTTCGACTGAGCCTGAGCTCAGCAGTGAGCATATGTTGACTGGAAATGTATCATCCATCAGCTCTCACTTTTTACTGGTCAGTGAGTCTTACCAAGAATGATATTTTGATTGCACTTCTCTAACTTACATAAAGCGACTGGTTCAATAGTTAGACCTCTGCTCTCTGACAGGGTCCATAGGAGGAGCTAAGCCAGTAACAGGGCAGCCCGGCCACTGCTGATGGAGCAACTTTGCAGAGAGAATCCAGGGAAGACCTGGTGCCTCGCTGTTGTTCTGATGGATGGAAGCTGGGTGTGGAGAGGGCTGCAGAACTGGAGACCTACATGGGGCAGTCCTGGAGAGATGCCAACCTGGTCCCAGGTGGGCGTCATGGAATGGGTATTACATCTCTTCGATCTGAAGGCCCCCTGGAGAACCAGTCTGACTATATTCCAAAACTAAACTAGCAGGACACTGAGCACAAAGGAATTTCCTTACTGCAATAAAGAATATCTATGTAAGAATCTATCCATATCTGCATCTCGAATCCCACTGAATAGTAACGCATGGGAGGTGCTTTCAGTAACAACAGAAACCAGTGAGAGATGCCGACGGAAGACCTGCTTTGCTGCGTGGTTCTGAAAGGTATAGCTACGCTAAAAGACAAGGAGACAAGGGCAACTCAAGACGCCAGCAAGCGAACTCAGCATCAAGGTTCCCATGTGCTACCTATCATATTAGGAAAAGCTCTTCTTTCTGAAGGTAAATGTTCTTGAGAGGGCAGAGAAAAGGCTCTCTTATACACTGCCAGATGAGATAAACTGATACAACCTTTCTGGGAATTTGACAAAATACAGCAAAAACCATGAAAGCACATGCGACTCTTCAACGCAGGAAGCCAATTGCTAGGAATGTATCCTAGGCAAATTGGACAAGGGGACAGAGAGATAAACAGAGGAACGTTGATTAGAGTTCTTTATGACAGTGAAAAAACTGAAAGTAAATTTATCTGCCAAGGTTCATTTTTCAGATACCGTGGGATCAATGAAGGCACATCCACACAGTGGAATATTATATAATCATTAAAAATGGTGGTGTACAAGTATATTTCTTGACATGAAAATATCTACTATGAGTGAGGAAGGCAGGCTGTGGGCAGTGTATACACAGTGACCATGTGCTTGTGGAAGGAAAAGAGAAATATACATAGAAATAGCCGGGAGTATGCACCCTAAAATGTGAAGTCAGGTTCCCTAGGTGGTATTTTAGGAATGATATTAATTTTCTTCAATATGCTATTTCTAACTTCTCATCAATAACTGTGCCATTTTACAAAGCATTTCAAAATTTTAAAAATTAATAGCTTGGCTGGGTGTCATGGCTCATGACTGTAATCCTAGCACATTGGGAAGGCGAGGTTAGGCAGATTGCTTGAGGCCAGGAATTCAAAACTAGCCTGGGCAACAGAGGGAGACCCAGTCTCTACCAAAAAATACTGCTGCTGCTGCTGCTGCTGCTGTGACTATTACTACTAGCCTGACACAGTGATATAAAGTTGCCTTTTGTTATCTGTGGATTCTGAATGTGCAGATTCAATCAACTATGGATTAAAAATATTCAAAAGAAGGCCAGGCGCGGTGGCTCAAACCTGTAATCCCAGCATTTTGGGAGGCCGAGGCAGGCGGATTTCTTGAGGTCAGGAGTTCAAGACCAGCCTGGCCAACATGGTGAAACCACGTCTCTACTAAAAACACAAAAAAATTTAGCTGGGCATGGTGGCAGGCACCTGTAATTCCAGCTATTTGGGAGGCCAAGGCAGGAGAATTGCCTGAACCCAGGAGGCAGAGGTTGCAGTGAGCCAGGATCGCGCCACTGCACTCCAGCCTGGGAGACAGAGTGAGACTCCTCTCAAAAAAAAAAAAAAAAACAGTGAAAAATAACCTAATACAACAGTGAAAAATTATACAAATAAAAAACAATAGTATAGCAACTATTTACAGAGAATTTACATTCTATTACATATTATAAGTAATCTAGAGATGACTTAAAAGTATAGAGGATGATACTCTCAGGTTATATGCAGATACTATGCCATTTAATATAAGGGACTCGACCACCATGGATTTTGGTATACAAGGCAGATCCCAGAATCCATCCCCCATAGATACTGAGGGACAATGGAATCAAATGACTGACTTCCACCATATATTCTAATCTACACATTTCTCTGCATCAAGTAAGAGTTATGGAATGGTTTGCTATGAAACTAGAACACCCCAACTTTAAATTTTATCAAGGGTAGAATGTCTGCATTTTTTTATATTTTATCAATGGGTAGAACGTCTGCATTTCTTCCCCAAGAATAAAGTTAATTTTGTTTATACATCTATCTTATACACCACGGATATAACAAACTTATATGTAACATAAACTTACATATAACACAAAGAGGAGAGTTTCTTTTGCCTAATGCACTGGAATGTGTTATCTGACAATAAAAGCTGAGTCATGAATTGCATTTGACTTCTGATTATTGTTCACAGCTTTTCAAAGCTAAATCCTGGGTTCAAATGTAATTGTTTCCTTCATTCTCGATTTTCAGATAGACCACTCTTCTCTCCTTTCTCTTTTCTCCTTGCCCCTGTCTTTTTACTCTCATCTAAAATTTTACTTCATCTGTGCCTTTTATTGTAATTCTTTGTAGAATTGGAAAGCCACAGATTGACTGGTAGGGAGGGGAAGAGAGAGAAAGACATATGGTCTAGTGGAGTGTGAGGAACAGGGTTATTTATCTCACAGTTGAGCAGGAGACCAAATACGACTTTCACTTCAAACAGAGACAAGAGGCTGGGCTGCTGGTAGGTTCCCCTTCCCCACAGTGTTTAGTTGAGGTCTGCAGCTGTTAATTGCTCCGAGGGGGCTATACTCACATGTAAACTGGGATGATAGGTCAGCACGCCATTGTCACACAGGGTGACATATTTCTTTTTCCACTCTTTATTCAACGATTTGCCACTTCGCTTCAACAGCATGCCCTACAAGGGAAAAAGAGCCAAATAGAAATTCTAATGTAAATAAAAAAAAGAAAAGGCAGGTACACAGGCAACATATACATTCAAGTTCTGTGTGTGTGCAGAACTTCACTCTGTGATACTGGCGAATGCTAAAAGATATGCCATTAGTTCAACAAATACGACACAAACACATTGAGACGTGCTACACTAGATCTTTTGGATAATTAACTGCTAAACACACAGGAAACACCTAAAGGTATAATGTTTTAAAGAAAGAAACCCCAGGCTGGGCACGGTGTAAGGATCGTTTGAGCCCAAGAGTTCGAGACCAGCCTGGGTAAGATGCTGACACCCCCATCTCTAAAAAAATAAATAAATAAATAAAATTAGCTGGGCACGGTGGTGTGCTTCTGTAATCCCAGTTACGTGGGGGGTTGAGGTGGGAGGATCTCTTGAGCCCAGGAGGTTGAGGTGGCAGTGAGCTATGATTGTACCACCGTACTCCAGCCTGGGTGACAAAGCGAGTGAAAGAAAGAGAGAGGAGAGACAAAGAGAAAAAGAAAGAACAAACTAAAAAAACTGCATTAACCAGGCCGGGCACGGTGGCTCACGCCTGTAATCCCAGAACTTTGGGAGGCCGAGGTGGGCAGATCACCTGAGGTCAGGAGTTTGAGGCCAGCCTGGCCAACCATGGCCAATATTGGTGAAACCCTGTCTCTACTAAAAATACAAAAATTAGCTGGACGCAGTGGTGGGCACCTATAATCCCAGCTACTCGGGGAGGCTGAGCAGGGGAATTGCTTGAACCCAGGAGGCAGAGTGTTGCAGTGAGCTAAGAGCCCGCCACGGATGGTACCGATTGTTTTAAGAAAATGGCAGACAAACCAGACGTGGGGGGAATCGCCAGCTTCAATAGGGCCAAGCTGAAGAAAACGGAGACGCAGGAGAAGAACACCCTGCCGACCAAAGAGACCACTGGGCAGAAGCGGAGTGAAATTTCCTAAGAGCCCGGAGGATTTCCTGCCCTCGTCATCCTTAAGACCCCAGTTGTGATGTGGAGGAAGAGCGACCTGCAAGATGGACACGAGCCACAAGCTGCATTGTGAACCTGGGCACTCTGCACCGATGCCACTGGCCTGTGGGTCTCTGAAGGACCACCCCCAATCAGATTGCCAAATTCTCTGGTTTGCCCCAGGACATTATAGAAAATTATTTCTATGAATAATGAAAATAAAACACACCTTGTAGCCAAAAAGAACAAAAACAAAAACAACCAAACACAAAAAAACCCACCAAAACAAAACAAAACAAAAACCACAAAAAAACCCCAGAAAAACCCAAACTGCATTAACTGTATTCTCACCTTATATTTGTAAAGCAGAATTTTTTTACAGTTTCCTTCATTTCAGATTTTTTATTAAAACCAAAATTCCACTGGCAAATTTCAGTAACAGTATTTAATAGATGAATCCCATGTAATTTACTCTAATTCATTTTTAATGAAATCATATTAAGCCTCCTTGAAAACCACTCAGAATTTGAAACCAACACATTTTTGAAGTCATGTTTAATCCAGTCTTCTTAAATGGTGGTTGAGAATTTCTTCTTGTTTTAACACCAATTCCCAGCAAACCTTGCTCTACCTTGACAGGTTTCCCTTTGTTAAGGAAGCTGACGGCCAACACTGAGCTTGGGCAGGCCCCACACCTTGAGCTGGGATTCTCTCCTGCTCAGCCTGGGCTCCATGCCTGTCCAGCTCAGTCCCTTTCAATGGCAGCGTTCACATCGGGAGTCTCTGTCTCTGTCTTCCTCCCTTCTCATCTAACTCTGGCCCATGTTAACCAAGAAAAATGGAACAATCTCTTTACTTCCTCTTCTCCTACCCTTTTATAAACTTATGTAACCTTAATATGACTGAGAGAGCGTAAGACTCAGGCTAGTTAATTCACCTGGACTGAGGCAGAAGGAAAGTTATGAGTTTTGAAATACAAGAAGACGCTTTGAGAAAGCCGAGATGCCCCACGAGTCACCTTCAGAACTTTTCCCAGCCTCCATCGACCTCCTAAATTCTGCTATCTTTCAAGAATTACAACATAAGAATGAATAATTATTATGGGATATAATTGAGTTCAAGTCCAATTAATTACCAATACTGTGACAATACTGTTTTTTATTTACTAGATCGTAACCAAGTTTCACAAACTTAATAAAGTATGAGCCAGCTTGGGGCTGCAATCACCATTAGACATTGTTGCTTAAGGGAAAATATTTGAGTTTGAAACGACTTTAGAAGATGATTTCTTTGCAAGTTCTTATTAACGGAAACGTGGCAAAATGTGGCATACCTTGATTTCTTGGAATCTAAATCGCTATACACCAAATATGGAACTGAGACCAATCAACCCAATGAAGCCCACAGGAAAATGCTACTAAGTTGCAAACCAAGACAATAAGGGCTTCCTTGCATGGCAGGAATTAGAGAAGGGCAGTCACCATCAGCGATGCGGTAATAAACAAGCAATTGCTTCAACTCATGAGAGACCCCTCTTCAGTGGGATTCCCGTGGATTTTAAAACTTAGCATAACAAAGCCTCACTCAAGTTCTTTTTTTGTTTTTTTTTTTTTTGAGACGGAGTCTCGCTCTGTCGCCCAGGCTGCAGTGCAGTGGCGCGATCTCAGCTCACTGCAAGCTCCGCCTCCCAGGTTCAAGTGATTCTCCTGCCTCAGCCTCCAGAGTAGCTGGGATTACAGGCAAATGCCACCATGCCTGGCTAATTTTTTTTTTTTTTGTATTTTTAGTAGAAATGGGGTTTCACCATGTTAGCCAGGCTGGTCTTGAACTGCTGACCTCAGGTGATCCACCCGCCTCGCCCTCACTCAAGTTCTCCAGTGGGCTCCCATTTTTCCGTCATTCATTTCAGATGGAATTTCAACAATGCCAGGGCCACGGTCTCTGGTGTCACCAGGAGATTACAGATGCTCCAGGCTTCATTCAGAAAGCTTCATCCCTTCCCACTCAGACAAATGCTGGCCACGGCGCACACCCTCGGGGCTCCACGCGGATGGATTTGCACCACTCTTCTGGCTGGCGTGTGGGAGGTACTTTCGTGAGGAAATCACATCCTCAAAATTGTCCTGCCCCCAGTGAAGGCTACGAGGACTTATTTGTTAAGGAAAAAGGGGGAAACAGTCTAATCGGGAGGCATGTGAAGACATCATTTTATAGCTTTCTGAGGAACTAAATTAGGCTGAATTAAAACTTTAAAAAAAAAAAAAAAAAAAGGCCAGAGTGCAGTGATGCTATCATAGCTCCTTGTGGCCTTGAACTCTTGGGCTCAAGTGATCCTCCCTCCTTCCTCCTGAGTAGCTTGGGACTACAGGCGTGTGCCATCCTGTTCGGCTAATTTTTTTATTTCTGTTTTTTGTAGAGATAAGGTCTCGCTCTGTTGCCCAGGTTGGAGTGCAGTGTACTGATGCAATTACAGCTCACTGCAACCTTGAACTTTCCAGCTCAAGCAATTCTCCTGCGCCAGCCTCCTCCGAGTAGCTAGGACTACACACACATGCCACCATGTCTGTCTAATTTTTTATTTTATTTTTTGTAGAGACAGGGTCTCATCATCTTGCCCAGGCTGGTCTCGAACTCCTGGGCTCAAGCAATCCTCCCACCATGGCTTCCCAGAAGTGCTGGGGTAACAGGGGAGTGAGCCACCATGCCTCGCTTAGGTCTTTAGAAAGTGCTGGATGACAGGGAGTGAGCCACTGTGCCAGGCCTACGCTGATTTTCTTTTGATCCTAGGAAAACTCTCAATAAACTTAAGATCTTATTAAATAAGTAAACTTAACTTAAACTCTACGTCTTGCCAGGGGGGATAATCTTGGATTATAGGCACTATTCAAATGCTGCGTAAGTGGCAGGACTACAGAATACCCTGGCCTCTTAGGAGTCATATTTCTGCCTTCCAGCCTTGGCCCCAGTTGGGTTTATTATCTGACCCCCCCAAGAATTGCTGTGGCGACCAAGAGCCACTTGGCTGCCCCGCTTGCCATGTCATGGCTGTGGTCTAGCTGGGCTGGGGCAGGTGCACTTTTCTTTCAGTGGCTGGAGCACTACCCCATGCTCAGCCCGGCTGTGCAGTCATGTCCCCTGCTCCCCAAAGGAACAAGTCAGGGGCAGCGAAGTTATGGAAGCCATGGCTCCCTGAAAGCCAGGACTGAGTTACACAGGGGAAGTGTCTTGTTAGCTAACGGAATGTGGCAGGGCCAGCTCTCCTGCCGTCTTCACTCCTGCCAGGACACTGGGCTGCTGGGCTGCCAAAGTCTCCTGTTCCTACTGATGGGCGGTGACCTGCTCCCCACGCAGAACCTCTGGGTGTCCCAGCCACTGCCCAGCCCAACACTTTTGGTCTTGAACTTCAGCTCCCCCTTCCAAAGCACAACCACCAAGGGGCGGCTGCTCAGGATCCCTCTGGCAGGCACCTCTGTCACCTGAGTCCCTTGCAGGGAGAGAAGTGAGACTTCATGACAACTCGCATTTTATCTTCCCGCTGCACCCCACAGTTTACAGAGGGTATCCCCAATTCCCAAGACATTCTGATTCAGTCAAGGAACATGAGCGGACAGGGGCTCCGCTTCACTCCCAAATTCCCACTGAAATATAATGTGAGCTTGGAGTGAGAGCAGATGAGCAAATATTTCCCTTAACTGAGAGTGCACATGGCTCCAGAGGAAGCGGTTTCTGTTTGCTAAATCCAGGAGCAGCCTGAGAAGGCCTCAACCCTGAGTGTCTTCAAGGAAAGGAGAACAGGACAAGAAATCTCAACCCGACTAGCAAATTCCAGGAACGGGGTGCCCAGGGCTGCTGGAAACTAGAGATCAGACCTGCTTGGCAGGGAGGAGTACTTTAGCCCAGAACGTGACTGGGCCAACATGCTGCCACCAACAAGCCCCTGGGGTTGTGCAACACAGCGACCCTGC
Source organism: Homo sapiens (assembly GCF_000001405.40). Taxonomy (NCBI): domain Eukaryota; kingdom Metazoa; phylum Chordata; class Mammalia; order Primates; family Hominidae; genus Homo; species Homo sapiens. The sequence goes on along the minus strand of NC_000002.12, from coordinate 235,878,388 downwards.
AGGGCTGGAGGGTCCCACGTGGCCAGATTTCCTGATTATCAAAGAGAAGGAGAAACACTGGACTTGTGTGTGATGGCTTCTTATGTTAAAATACTGGCCACAGGTATACATTTTTGCATTGAACGCTGGTTACACTGAACCTGCTGCAGGCCAGCTGCACGTGCACGCGGTGTTTGTGACTTCTGGCCAAGAGTCACTGGGGTTGGATGGAGTCCCCCTGCCCTCCTATGGATCTTAGGATCCAGCAGCCGCAGCACCCATACTCTCCATCTGACATGGGAATATGGCCCTGAGGGGCAGCAGTGTGCAGAGGCCACACTCTCGGGTTTCCACGGGCACCGTGGGCCCTTCTCTCAAATCAGCGGGCTGCCCTCAGCCCCACTTCCTGCCTGGCCCTGGAGGTGCCTGAATGTCTGGGCCCTGCCATAGGTGTGCAGGGTGGAGGGAGGAAGGGGTTATCTGATTTGCATTAGGAAAGATTCCCCTGGCGAGGACAAATTTTAAGTTGGCAAAAGACGGAAGCACTTTCCAGCTCAAAGTGTGGCCCACTTTAGACCAGTGGTTGGGTGTACCCAAGAGGGGGAGGGATCAATCCAAATGTAACAAGATCCCCAGACGGTCTGAGCAAATTTGAGATGCAAGGGAAACCTGTCATTTTCTCTGGAACCATAATTTCTCCAAGAGAATTTTTAAATTTTTGAGTGTATTTTAATCACTATCTAAAAAGTGATCCAAAACCACCACTGGATTCCACTGCCCGAGTTGGCATCTCCGACTTCCTAGGTCATGAGTGGTGCTAAGGGGGACAGCGCTGAGGGAGACGCAACATGTAAATCACTCACTCTGAGAACAAGTTAACCCCCGGGGAAGGCACCGCATGCTGTACACGAAACGATTTCTCAGTATGAAAGCAGGAAAGGAAGAGACTGGGGTCACCACGTGATACGGTCACGAGGCAGCTGACACCAAAGGAGCCTGCCCTGCAACCGTCATCCCTAACCCCTGGCACGGATGGCCGTCATTTTGTTTCAGCAAAACATCATCATCCTTAACATTAAATGCACAGTAAATTAATGGTATTAATTTAAATGTTTAATAAATATAACTTTTATATCTATTTAAAAGCTATAAAGACAAGGAGCTGAATCTTAGTTTTCTGCTTGTACCTAACTGCATAATTATTATCAAAACAGTTAAATCAATGTTGAAGGATTCATGAGATTTTTGTTCTTTTAAATGGCTCTGGCAGGGCGTGGTGGCTCATGCCTGTAATTCCAGCACTTTGGGAGGCCGAGGCGGGTGGATCATGAGGTCAGGAGTTTGAGACCAGCCTGACCAAATGGTGAAGCCCCAACTCTACTAAAAATACAAAAATTAGCCGAGCATGGTGGTGCATGCCTGTAATCCCAGCTACTTGGGAGGCTGAGGCAGAAGAATTGCTTGAACCCGGGAGGCAGAGGTTGCAGTGAGCCAAGATTGCGCCATTGCACTCCAGACTGGGCAACAAGAGTGAAACTCTGTCTCAAAAAAAAAAAAAAAAAAGGTTCCACACCACTCAAATGTGGGAAAGACTGGTCTAGAATGGCAGCAACGATCAGGGATGCGCCTGGGGGCAAGAGAGGAGAAGGAAGGCAGGCAAGGAGAACGCAGATGCAAGAAACACGCTGGAGGTAAAATCGGGACAAGGTGCTGGGTGAGGTGGGGCGGGGCCAGCACAAAGTCAGGCTTTAGTTGTCGTGGCCCAGTGGGGTCATTCACTGAGCCAGAGAGTACAGGAGCTGGTGACCAGGAGGGAAAAGAAGACTTTGGTATCAGCCACACAGCACTGGGGGGCTGGTGCCCCAGGCAGGCAAGGCGGCCAGGCCAGCCGTTGAGGTTCCACGTTCAAGGAGGAAGTCCGGGAGACGGAGGGTGGCTGGGGAGGAGCCATGAGAGAGGAAGAAGCCTAGGGGTGAATATGGTGACACTTAAGGTTTAGCACGCAAGGGCCGGGTTATAATCTGCTTGGCCAACACAGAATCAGAATCCCATTTTGAAGAATTATCATCTAAGGGTCAGCACAATTTTTCCTGAGAATCATTAAAATCATGACGTAATCATTTAATAGGTTGACTAGTTCATTCTCCTTTAAAAATAAATTATTTTAAATATTTCTAAAAGTACATAAATTGATAGTAAAAAGCATCATGTTCACCTTAGGAAAACAACAGATACAAGTATTTGCAATTTCAAATGAGGAAGCTAGAGAACAATGAAGTAAAGATACAGAAGGCAATGCACACCTCTATTGGAGATGAGAAAATTATCTGCAGGTGAGCCCCTTACCCTGGAAACAAGTCATCTAATTATAGCAAGGAGATCTTGGTCATGGGTCTGACATAGAACAACTACTTTTTGAGGAAATTAACATTTGTTCCATTATATGGTCAAACTTAACTCTCATTAAATGAATCCATGTTAAATATAAACAAACAATGCATTGAGTTTTTAAAATGAAATAAAAAGACATTTACCCATTGAATAAAAATTTAGAAGTCCCTAGTGCAATTATAATGTATTTTGGAAGATGTTTTTGTCTGATTAGTCCGGATAAACAGCCATCAAAATCACTGCACGTACTGTCGGGCAGTGGGAAGTGTAGGTATCTGTGCACAACTAACACACAAGTCTCCAAGTGGCTCCATGTGTTGGTGTCATGGCGCCCCATAAGCAAATGCAGATGGGAAACAGGAGACCACACACTCCCGGGAAAGCTGGGGAGAGAAGCTCTACTCCACCACAGGCCCGGGCTGCAGGCGGAACCTCAGGAAACGTGCTGGGAATCACGTGTCCAATCGCAGCCTTCAAAGCACAAGTGTTCCGACACACAGTAAGCACGTGACTCAAAACCGACCTGGCCCTGAGCCGCACAGCCTCGTGGGCATCACAGACCTGTGCTGGGTTCTCAGCCCTGACAATCATCGAGTGAGGAAGGCCGGTCCGCTGGGAATCAGATCTCTCAGCAGACAGCACGATGGTGAGACTCGCACCTCGGTGGGCTTTTATCCTAAGATCTCAGGAACCCAAAGTGCTTGTTCATCCCAACAATTTAAAATACCATCGATTTTATTACAATTGTTGTTAGTCCCAGGAATTCTAAAAGGTGAAAACAAACAACGGGAGTTGCTCTCTGGTTGGCAGATACAGAAACAGGACAGGGCCATGGACCAGTAAGGTTGAAAAGTGACCTCATTTATAAAACAAGGCTGACCTCCTCCTTGCAGCAAGGGCAGATGGGGGAGAGGGGGTGACAGGGCTCTCTCCATCCCAGGACCCCAGGAATACTGCCTTTGGCCTCCAGGGTTCTTCTCCCAAAACTCAGTCTTCAACCAGTTCTAGTTTCTTTTTTTGCCCACGTTTGGGAGAGCTGTTTCTAGTTTGCTTCCGCTTCACAAGAGGTTACTGCCTATCTAATGGAAATGTGGGGCCATGATATTGACAATTTCTCTGATAAGAGGGTATTTTAGTACCAGTTTTTAAACTCATCCTCTGCCTTGATCCATGAGCGTGTGCAAGAGCACACGCACACACACATGCACACACACACTCATGGTATCTTGGTTCTAGGAGTAATGCTATCTTTGTAATGAGTTCTATACATGAGTGCCTTCTCTTTCACATTCACATGTCCAGGTTCTCTTGAAATTTCCAGAATAGATGAAGGCAAAGCCAGAAACATGACGAAGTCCTGTCCTGACCCCTAAGGACAGGAGCAGCTGATCCAAGTGAGGCCTGCACAGAATCTTGAGCTCACTCCAGTCCCACCCAAACCCGTCTGCTGTTAGCAGCCGAGCCTCTTAGCTCCCTGCAAAGTGCACTTCGGTTGCTCTGCCTAGGTGAAAGCACCTAGAGTGATGGACAGCAACTATAACCACAGCCCTGGCCCCAAGGAGGCATGAGGGCAGCCATGTCTGAGAAGCTGCTGCAGCGCCCCCAGTTAAGCCAACTTCCTTCTACATCACCAGGTACCCTCGGGAGCTCAGCTCAAGAATGTGGTTCTGGGCCGGGCACAGTGGCTTACATCTGTAACCCCAGCACTTTGGGAGGCCGAGGCCGGCAGATCACAAGGTCAGGAGATCGAGACCATCCCGGTAAACATGGTGAAACCCCGTCTCTAGTAAAATGCAAAAAATTAGCTGGGCATGGTGGTGTGCGCCTGTAGACCTAGCTACTTGGGAGGCTGAGGTAGGGCAATTGGTTGGAGGGAGAGGTTGCAGTGAGCTGAGATCACGCCACTGCACTCCAGCCTGGCGACAGAGCAAGACCCTGTCTCAAAACAAAAACAAAAACAAAACAAAACAAAAAACAGAATGCGGTTCTGGGCTGGGCGTGATGGCTCACGCCTGTGACCCCAGCACTTTGGGAGATGGAGGCGAGGGGACTGTGTGAGTCCAGGAGTTTGAGACCAGCCTGGGCAACAAGTTGAAACCCCGTCTCTACAAAAAAATACACAAATTAGCCGGGTGTGGGGGTGTGCACCTGTAGTCCCAGCTACCCGGGAAGCTGAGGTGAGAGAACTGCCTGAGCTCAGGAGGTCGAGGCTGCAGTGAGTCGTGATTGTGCCACTGCACTCCAGTCTGGGTGACAAAGTAAGACCTCGTCTCAAAAACAAAACGAAAATGTGGTTCTGGACTGACATCAAGGTCCTTCCACATGGACTGGACAGCGGCACTGGCCTTCCCACAGTCGGGTAACTTAGGCCTCCAAATTATTACACAGGCTTGCTCTTCCTTGAAGGGCCCCAATCCTGGGAAAGCCCGGACTCCCCAGCTGTGGATTTAATGCCCACAGATCTTTGACGTCAGAGAGTCCATGTCTGCATTTATACATGTAAACCTTTAAAAAAAAAAAAGTTTGCCAAAACAATAGGAAAAACTACAAAACTCTCTATTGTCTCTCCTTAAATAATTTTAAAAGGCTGTTCCTCAAAAGTACGATGAGACAGAAGCTCTCTGATGAGTGAAGACGTTGGCTGGGGCTTCAGAAGCAGGAGGCCAGAGGAGCAGTCATAATCAGAGGTTCAATTGGACTACAAATGAGCAGACTCGGGAAATAGCTTTTGTGGATTAAAAACATGCTTTTTCTTTCTTGGCTTAAATTAATTCTGAACACTGATTTTTGAAGAGTGTTTGTACCAAGTGGGAATCAGAGAATTTCAGTCTAGAGCGACCCCAGAAGTTAAACCATTCAGCCCTGAATCTGCTACAAAAATGTTTTGCATGATCCCCACCTGGGGTCCCGCAGTCTCTGCATAAGCACCCTGGGGACAGGGGTCCATAGGTCTCAGCAGTGAGAGCTGCCTGGATGATCTCCCTTGGAAAGAGCCAGGGTCCTCTGCCCTCCTGGGGCACGGCTGGTTCCTAATTCCAGAGCTGCACTGAGCCAGTGGGGACTTTCAGGGACCGTGGAGCCACCACAAAAGCCCCATTGAGAGGTCTTCTCACATGTGGCAACACAAGCCAAGCCCCTTCTTAGTCCACACTCTTCCCAAAGCAAGTTCCAGTTCGACCATGGGACGCCCCTCTGAACACACTCAGCATCCCCCATGTGCAGCAGCTAAATGGAAACCAATCGGGGAAGACAGGGGGCCCGTCGCTTTCCTTAGGGAGGAAGTGGTACTAAGGTGGCCCCCACTGGTCTGGGCTGAGCGCGCAGACAGCCTCCTCTATGTTCAATCAGTCCGAACTTTCACACTTCCTACTCTAAGGACCAAGAAAATGGAAAACCCTAAAAATAGTTCATTTGAAACTTTTAGAGGACATGAAGCCGTGATCCTACTGGCCAGAAGATGACAGAGGCCGGAAGGCTCTGCCTGAGATGCTCAGGAAGAGAGTTCCTGTCAGTGAGTGCCAATGGCCCCTGTGATCCTAAGTCTTTTTGATTCTGCATAACCCAGGGCCAGCGGCATGGTGGCATGTCACCATGCATACTTTGTCCATCTTTCAGATGCCACTTTTGTACATGTGAAAACCATCTCTGCTTAAGATTCTTTCTTGCTGTCCAGCTGTCACAGTGAAGACATCAATTACAGTTAACGCTTTCTTTGACTCCTATGTGGCTTCGGCATTTATTTAGAACTTTTTTTTTTTATTTCTATGCAATATTGGGCTCACTCTGAACCAGATGCTGCTGCTCTAAGTGCCTTGCAACTGTTAACCCACTGAAAGTGCATGACAACCAGATGGTCATTGATTATCCTCATTTCATGGACAGGAATTGATATGACACCTTTAACTGGGTTCCAAAGAGTATGAATACCAATCTCTCAGTATTCACAACTGCATATTTCATCAACTGCAATCACAACTGATATCCACGACGATTCTCATTTCATGGATAAGGACACTGAAACAGACTGCTTATGTAACTTGCCCAACATGCACAGCCAGCGTGGTATCTGTTCTCCAAAGACGGCTCCCATTGAACCACACTTCGTGGCACTGGTGTCCCTGTATAAATAAATCCTCCCACACTGACCCTGGGCTGCCCGAGACTCACTTTAGCTAACAGCATCAGTGGGAATAACACTATCTCCATTGGGTTTAATTCTCGAGAAAGCCTAGCAGCACCTGGTGCCTTGGGAAGCTCTGACAGATAAGTCAGCCCTGCTGGGCTCTGTCCACAGGTCTCAGCCACAGTGTTATAAGAAACAGTCAAATGATCATTTTCTTAAACCCTGAAGTTTCAGGGTGGATCCTTATGCAGCAACAGGTAAGAAAAACAGAATTAGCATCCTGTACTGCTGTAACAAAAATCAAAAACACATGGCAGTGGCTTTGGAACTAGGCAGTTGGCTGAGGCTGGCAGAGATGTAAGAAGCATGAGTGGAAGTTGTGAGGACAGTGAGGAAAATGCTACCTTAGGATGGAAATGGGGCCGGCAGAACAGGTACCAGCAGGGCAATTAGCAACCTGCCCCCTCCCGGCCACCCCACGCAGGGGGATGGGTAGCATAGCAAGAGTGCCTCGTGAGCCTGCACACCTAGCTACCAGATTGCCATGCCAGATGCTGGAAGTGCTCCTGGCTCTGTTAAATACGGGAGGAGAGAGAGGAGGTCCAGGGAATTTTCCAGCACAATTAGAAAAAATATTTCAACTGTAAACCTTGCTGGACTGATCACAAAACAGTTTCTCATTCCCAGCTTCTCCTGACAGCAGAAAACCCTTGAGTAAGAACTGGCATCAGAACTAAGATCAAATCCTGGGGATGCCAGTAGCTGTGATCTCAGAATGAGGACCCCTTCAATGGTGTGGCAGTCAGACCCTTTCCTTGAGAACTCAAATATTTTAAGGCAATGCCTCACAGACCCTTCTGATTAGAGATCCATGGATTAGAGAGAGAAATCTGTGCATTAGCTTTTGTTTAATGGAACAGATTATGATTTGACACAAAGGATACCCACAAGATTTTTAAAGGAATTATACCATCTTGGATTAAAATGCACAGAGAAAGTTCAGAAAGAAAAGTGGTCTCTGGGCCCTCAACTTTAAGTACAGCAGGAAGCAGGCTGAGAAAGCTGCATAGTAGCAAACATGGGTCAGTTCTTATGGGAAAGGCAGAGGGCAGAGCCAAGGGCCAAGGAGGATGCCTCCTGGGGAGAATATACAGTTCTTATGCCCAGAGCAGGGTGAATCAGCATCATGTGCTGGCTGGATTTCAGAATTGTTATGGCCCAGTGACTATTCCATGTCTCTTGTCCCTCTCCATCATTTTTTTTTTTTTCCAGATGGAGTTTCACTCTTGTTGCCCAGGCTGGAGTGCAATGGTGCAACCTCAGCTCACCACAACCTCCACCTCTCAGGTTCAAGTGATTCTCCTGCCTCAGCCTCCGAAGTAGATGGGATTACACACATGTGCCACCATGCCTGGCTAATTTTGTATTTTTAGTAGAGACAGGGTTTCGCCATGTTGGCTAGGCTGGTCTTGAACTCCTGACCTGAGGTGATCCACCTGCCTCAGCCTCCCAAAGTGCTGGGATTACAGCCTCTCCACCTTTTTAGAATAAGGGTATCTGCTGCAGTTCTCCTGTTCCTGAGTCACCACTGCATGGTGTGTGAGATAACTTGTCCCCTGCGTATCGTGGTCTTCCGATGGGGAGGACCACATGCAAGGAACCTCATCCACGTGTACCTGGTGTAGACGACAAGGCCATGAACTTCAAGCCTGGGCTGGATGCCATAATGGCTTGAGACTTTGGGTAGCTGGGGACAGGCTGTGGGTACTTTGCAGGAAGGAGGGTAGAGTGAAGTAGCTAGTGTCCGAAGATGGCACACAAAAACCAGCCCCCTCATCCCCCGTGGTGCTCATATCCTGTGTGATCACTCTGTCCTCTGACTCAATTGAACCAACAGAATGTGGTGGAAATTATGCTGTGCCACTCCTGGCCAAAGCCTGAAGGAGGCCTGGAAACTCCTGCTTTACACCCCTGGGAAGCCTGCGCAGCCTTGTTAAGAGGTCAGACTATCCTACTGGGGAGACCAAGTAAAGAGGAGACACCCTGAGACTATTTGAGGAAGAACTGAGGTCTCAGATAGATGACTGCCAGTGACCTTTTCACGTCAGCCTCCAGCCAGCTGTGCCACTTTTGCTGAGGCATCAGATACATCAGTAAAGAAATGATCTTGGACGCTGTAGCCCTAAGAAAGTATCTTGTGGAGCATGGACAAACTGTCCCCAATATGCCCTGCCCAAACTCCTGACCCACAGAATCATGATAAACAATAAGGTGGCACTTTTATTTTTTATTTTTGAGACGGAGTCTCGCTCTGTCGCTCAGGCTGGAGTGCAGTGGCGCGATCTTGGCTCACTGCAACCTCCACCTCCTGGGTTCAAGTGATTCTCCTGCCTCAGCCTCCTGAGTAGCTGGGATTACAGGCACCTGCCGTCACGCCCGGCTAATTTTTTTTTTTTTTTTTTTTTTTTTTTTTTTAGTAGAGATGGAGTTTCACCATGTTGGTCAGGATGGTCTCAATCTCCTGACCTTGTGATCCACCTGCCTCGGCCTTCCAAAGTGCTGGGATTACAGGCGTGAGCCACCATACCTGGCCAAAATGGTACTGTTTTAAGCCACTATAATTTGGGCTCATTACCCAGCAATAGATAACCCAAACGGCAGTAAGGGGAAGAAACAGGCGCAAGATTCGAGGTACAAACCAAGGGTTTATACTTGTTACCCCGCTGCTATGCTGCCTCCCTGCAAACCATTTCACCCACCAGACAAATTTTAACTTGTTTGTAAAGCAAGAAATTTCAAATGTTTTGTGACACCTCAAATTATTCTTCTTATGTTACTTGGAAATGGCAAATGTTGATCTAATTCCTACCACCTAATTTACTGACATATCAGAAAGACTGATTTTAATGACCTATAACCAAAATATCAGGATTCCAGGCAGGCACATCTTGCTTTAAGCCCAAGGAACCTTTTCTACAGTGGAGCAAAGAGTAGAATTGTCTTTTGGCTGCAATCCCTTTATTCGTCATGTGTATTCTTTGTCTAGTCCCAAGAGGTCATTGAAAGCCAAAAGCAATGTTAAGTGTACAAGCTTTAAATAACTTACAAAGTTAATGTCATGAATGTAAGTGCTATCTGAAACCCATCACTCAGTGTTTGCTGCAGCCCCAAGCTGTGATAAAACACCACTCATAAATTTATATTAAAACTCTGCTCGATAGCAATTATTTACCAACAAAGATTTATTGACTGCATTAGAGACTGGGGGTCTTAACCAGGCAAATCAGTCTTTGTTTTGAGTCTCAGGGACCAAATGGTGCCGGCCTCTGCTCGCACAGGGATCATCGTTACACAGAGGGAACATTTCATGGCTAAGCTCCTACGGGGTGATGGAGCAACAGTCTCAACGCAGGCGGCGCCATGTCAAGATCAGATTATCAACAGGCACGTCCACAACCACTCGCCTTTGCTCTGCGGGCAGCATTCCTCATCGGCTTTAACAGACACCGGGGGCCGTGCATGCATCTGACTGAATGTAAAGGACGGTGCACGTGTGATTTCGCAATGAGATCAAATGAATCCTCTTGCTGCTGCAGGAGCACTAATAGTTTCCTAATTACCAAGTTTTTTAAAAAAAGTTTTTTCTGGCTTAAAAACATCCATGCAAGTTCAAAAATGTTTCTACTTCTAAAAAAAAAAAAAGTGATGTTTGAGTACTTCGGTGGTTTTACAGTGAATATTGTTAATAGCTCATTTAGTGTCTTATGATTTGCATTCATTACACTTTGGAACAGGTTCTTGTTAAAGGTTTCTATGAAGTTCTAAAATAGGTCAAAGAAAAGCTGGCACCTTTAACTGAGATCCAAAGAGTGTGAGTACCAATCACACATTTGCATTTAATAATTTTATTCTAATTATTCTAATTAAGATTTTTCCCCCTATAAACATGTATTAAAACTGTGGCTGACAGGAACCAAACTGACCTCAATAAAACTAGAGAAGCGCATCTGGGTGGGTGGTGGGTGGATGGAATGTCATCATTGGAAACTGGAGAAGCACACGGGTCATACAAGCTGTGACCTATTCTTCCCCCACGGCACCAGCTCCATGCGGAAAATGGTACATCCAGGTGATGCCCCTGCTGAGGCTCCCCTGACATCCCACTTTTCCGTAACGAACACTTAGTCATCTTGCTTTTGCCCTCTCATTATGCTAAGCTATACCCTGCAGATAACACTTAGCTAGAAATAGGCCTGGACCCAAGACAGTGAAAATCCATGGCCCTGTGTGCTTGGTGTGGGGGTCACCCTCCCTCACTTGCACACACACACACACACACACACACACACACACACACACTGCAGCACCAGCATAAGGTGTATGATCCCGAGGGGCCAGAGCCTTCCCGCCTAACAGGAACTCTCACAGCCTGTGCACCCTCATCCAGACTATTAGCGTTGGGGATCCTACGGGACTGGGGCCGGCAAGCTCCCACATGTCGGCCAAATCTGATCCTCTGCCTCTTTCTGTAAATAAAGTTTTATCGGAACACAGTCAAGTTCATTGGTTGGAATGGCTGCATTTGCCCTGAACTGGGAGAGGTAGGTAGTTCAGGAGAAACCACACGACCCATGAAGCCTAACATACCTCCTCTCCAGCCTTTTATAGAAGACTGCTACAGGACAGGAAACCATGCAGACCCAATCAGAGGCCAGAAACTTTAATGTAAATTGGCAAATTCAATTCTTTTCCCCTGAAATGTCCTTCTTGCATCCTGCCCCTTCCTCTGGCCATCCTGGTGAGCGCCCCTTTAGCCTCCCATGCTGAGCTGCAGGGTCACAGGCTCCGCATAAGCAAGCACCCCCCGACGCCCATCCCTTAGACGATGACTATTATGGGCTGCATTGTGCTCCACTCCCTAATTCAGATATTGAGATCCTAACGCCCAGCACTCACGATGTGACTCTATTTGGAGTCAGGGCCTTTACAGAGCAAATTATGTTAAAATAAGGCTGTTAGGATGGGCCCTAATCCAATATGACTGTTGTCCTTATTAGAAAAGATCAGGACACAGACACTCACGGAGAAAGACCACGTGAAGACACAGGGAGAAGATGGCTGTCTGCAAGCCAAGGAGAGAGGCTTCAGGAGAAGCCAATCCCACTGAGGCCTTGATCCAAGACTTCCAGCCTCCAGAATTGGGAGACAATAAATGTTTGCTGTTTAAGACAAAGTCTGTGGTCTTCTGTTATGGCAGTTTGAGCTGACTCACACACACAGGTGCATGAACAGGCTGTGCACTGCTCTAGGACAGAGAAATGCTGTCTCCCCCTTCCCCCTCCAGCACACTGATGGCACCCAGCATGGGAGGTGGTCCAATGCTGACCTCACCAGTCTCACCAAATACGCCCCACAGGCCCTGGTGTCACACTGGGGACTTCCGCTGTCTCTTCCCCACTTGCTGGAGTCTCAATTCCCATTCCGTACTGGACACACTCCCCCGAGTATCTACCAGGTACCTCAAGTCCAGAACACCCCGATCACACACACGGATTGTCTCCCTCGGTGGGAATTCTGGGGAGTCAGGACTGTCTGAGTCGGCTCGGGCTCCCAGATTCCCACATCAGTAGCTAGCACCCGGCTCAACCTGCAAGAATAACCACACCAAGTTATAGATACTCCTAGTCTCAGAAAATAAAACATCAAAGCAGTCCACCAAAAATCTAAAACCAAAAATAAAGATGCGCACAGGGCATCGCATGCTGCTGCCTAACTAAAACAGCATCAAGTAAATCTGGATGAGTGACCCATATACTGCAAGACGTAGGGTTTAGCAGAAAAAAATCAAGTGTGGCAAAAATGACCAGACCGCAGATACACAGACATACATGGATCGAGACAGCTTTCATTCAAGCTGCAGAAAATGCCGTTAAGTGAAAGAAGTAAATCGATAACATAGAAATCATTCGTTGTGTGCAAAAACACATCCCAATTAACTGGCTTTCCCCAGTCCTCCACAAACGGAAAACTTCTGGCAAATTCACATCCACGATGCTGGGAGGTAAATTTTGGTAAAAGGAGATGACTAGAAAATGTGACCAGCAGACACAAGCTCTGCCGCTACTAAATCTTTTTAACTTTCTCTCTAGTTTAAAGTGTTTCCATAGGAACAGCAGGAATCCCCCCTTAACTGAGCTTTTTAAAATAGTAATATTTCCCGCCCTGCCCCTCCTCCAGAGCACCTATTATTTTACAAATGGAGGCTTTTCTGCAGCTCCTTCTGTACAGTGGAGGGAGTTGGGGGAGGGGCAAAGGGGCGAGGGGCCGATTCTGGATCTTTAACCAGCTCCCCAAAGACCCCCTCCCCTTTCCGGCGAGTAATATTTCTGTCGTTGTGCCAGGTTGCAGGGCACAAAGGGTTACACTTTAATTGAGCTGTCAGCATCTCCAGCAATCGTATAAAGCCCCGATTGCGCACGGCGGGGTCGGCGCCACACGTGTTACTGTGGGTGCCCTATTTGCGGAACCCAAGGCTGCGCCACACACAGGTCAGCTCACCCGCGCGACCTTCCTGTCATTAGCCGCGTCTATTCCTACCTCACTGCTGAGAAAATCGCACAGCACAGGCTTCAAAGCGCCGGCCGGGACTGGATTCGGCCAGGAGCTAATCACCCACAAATCCAGCTCAAATGGCAATAATTGGCTAAACTGCTCCCCTCTCCAGAGCTCAGCAGTAATTTGGGATAATAAAGAAAAGAATTATTCAGCTAACTGCCCCGAAATGTATGCTTTGTGACCGACACACTTCACATTTTAATAATGATGGACACAGAATCCAATTTAATACAGCGTCCACTGAATAACAAGACCAAGAACAATGACAGGGAAAGAAATAAAAAGTTTGTTGTGTTTCTCTCCTTCCCTTTTAAAAACCCATGTTGACGATGAGTAATGCCGACGAGATGTATGGTTCACATTAGGTCTGGCTAGCATTATTAAGTCCCAACCAGAACCAAATGCTAATCAAAGGAATTTTGAATATGGGCAGAAAAAAAGCCAATGAAGCTACTGTATGCTGGGGTACTAAGACCAAACCAAACCTCCTCCATCCAAAGGAAAGAAAAGAAAAGGAAAAGGAAACTAAGAAAAACAAAATGTTTTTTTTTCCCACCAGGACTGACAGATCCCCTCTTGATTTTTCTAGTTAATATTATCTCTTGATCGCCTCGTTTTTCTTTCCTTTCACTCTGTCTCTCCCTGTCACAAGATTTTCAGGGACGACACCAGGGACGACAGTATCTGCACTTAATGGCTGCTGGTGACACCTCTGCAGGCTGCCCCTCCATGCTGACCTGCGTTTGGGGGCTCCGGGGCCGCGCAGTGGAGCGGAAACGCTCAACCACCTTCCGGCCGCCCACCTCCTCCTCCCACCCAGACCGCCCTGGAGGCCAGAACCGCAAACAAAACCAACGGGCACTTACCATGGTCTGGAAATGGACTCCATTTCTCCCATAGCTAAAGAAAATTAAACAGAATCCAACTGCCTGCCTAGGAAGCACACCCAGGCCTCCAGGCCGGCCACAGAGTGAGCCGAACCCCTTCACATGATGGGGGCATTCTGCGAAAATGCAGAGTTCACGGGACTACACAGTGGCACATGGATATGGCAGGGAGGAATTCCTGAAAAAGGAACAATCAGAACCTGCTGCTCCTGCTTTATTCTAGCGAATGATCCCTAAATTGTTGTCACTGCAAAGATTACACATGCTACAGCAACTGTTTATTAAATCACGTGGGAACGGCCCGCTTGCGCATTCAAGTCAGATCTATAGAGTCAAAACCGAGCACACCAGGCAAGCTATGAAGTCGACTTTTATATCTATGGAAAATATTTACAAGTCCTCCGCATAAAAGATTTGTCCTTTCTCTCCAACACACACTTTTAAATACAGAAAGTTCCTGAATGACACACTTCCCTTGTTCCCTCTAGTTTCTCTTTTCCATTCCTGGCAACTTTTCATCCACCTGACTCTTCAATGCTCAGAGTTCCTTTCTTTCCGAGTTAACTCTTCCCCTAGAAGGTCTCATCCACAGCTGCAGACATCACTACCTGGTGTCCCACAGGTGGCACATCCTCAGCCTGCAAACCAGGTGTCCCGCCTCACACCAGGGCTTTCTCCCATGCTGCTGCCTTGCATTGGCCAGCGACCCGTAGTTAGCCATGTGCTCTCCCCACCGGGGCCTTCGATGACCTCGGGCCCAGGAGGCCCACCTCACACTGCCTCCCTAACCCCAGCCAGCGTCTGTCCCCTGGTCAGCTGAAATCATCCCTAGCTCAAAGAGGAGGCTGTACCTGTACCATCCCACAGGGCCACCCTCAGCCACATGTGCCAACTGAGGACTCGACGGGAGGCCAGTCCCAGCCGAGAGGTGCTATATAGGTGAACTACACACCAGATTTTGAAGGTTCTGTAGGGCGCAAGGTAACTTCTTGTATTGATTATATGCTAAAATGATCAAACACTGGATATACTAGGTTAAATAAAGCATATTAAAATAAACTTCAGATTCACTTATTTCTTCTTACTTTTTCTCATGTACCTGCCCCTGCAAAATGGAAATCACATTGTGGTTGGCACTGTGTTTCCATTTGACAGGGCTTCCCAGACCACGTGGGATGCCCCTGCCATCTGGCTCCTTAGTTGCTACATCATGAGCTTATGGACAGTAGGGACCACTCCCGTCTTGCCCATAACCTGGCAAATATCAAATGTTCAAAAAGTATTTGATGAATGAATTACTGAATGATTCTAACAAATCTCATGAATGGTAAAAAGTTTCATGGAGGTTAAGTAATTGGGCAAGGTAATATAACCAGTGAGCAGTAAAGGGGAAGCCACATTGTCTGTGGGCTCCAAATCCCATTATGATAACTACATACATATGCCCTGCCCTACACAGAGCAGAGGAGATTAGAAAAAGCATGCACACAGAGATCTCACCAGAGAGCAAAGCAACCCAAACAGTCTCAATGCACGCACGGTGAGTGGACAGCACCACCCTGGATGTGAAGAGGCATAAAGAACAACCCAGGGCTGCCCTCAGGATCCTGACATCTATTACGGAAGTTCAAAGGTGCATATGGTCTGTGAAGGCAATTCAGACATGGACTAGAGGTTCTACTGGAGAAATGAAAAGGATTACTCACTTTCCTCCTGATTAAAGAAAGAAAAAGGTTTATGCAGACAAACAGCCATGTGTCAATTTTAGTCTTAAAGACTTAAACCAAGAATGGCTAAAAGGTACCTGGGACAGTTTGCAGTTTGCACTGCCCTACCCCATGGTGATGGCAGATGGCATCTGCAACACCTGAGCCTCCGAAGCCTTCTCAACACAGCACTCCACGCAGTCTCTGCTACGGATGAGAACGGGCATGGAAAATGCACCCTACATCTGGCCCTGATCTCCAGAAACATTCCATGTGCACGTTTCATTACGAGCAGCACAAATATTTCCTTATACTGCTATTACTACCACCGCCACTTTGATGACGATGACAAGGACCGCTACCACTGCTACTGGCAATAACTCCTTACTACAAATAATTTAATTTCTTGGAAATTTGAATACCATCCCGAACTGATTAGAAGTTAGAAGACAAACTGTGCTTCTGGAAAACAAAGTGCATCGAATCAGAGTCATGGTCCCGGGCTGCACGTGCACGGAGCCATGGATGAATGGAGCCATGGATGAACACCCAGGACAGCAGGGCCCCTGAGTGGTCTAATGCACTCCTGCAGTTTCCTTTCTGAGACACTCACTCGCCAGGTGCTAAGCCATCCGGTAGTACAAGCTGAAGGAGGCACTCCTGGTTTTGATCTCTGACGAAAAGAATGAGCTCAAGCAAAGGTGCCCAGGACACTCAGGAACCCCACGGGGCAGGGTCCCCAATGGTTCTCTTCCTCCCAAATGGGACTTTTTAACTCATGTTACATCTAACATGTCAGAGAGATCTTTTCTACAGATGTTAATGTTTCATTTAAGGAAATGCCAAGTTACTGGAACTAGTGACCAGATGGAGGTAAGATACAGATATGCACAGAGAAGGTGAAGGGTCATGCCCAGAATCAATCCCCTGATAAGCAGGAATCAGGGTACCTACCAGTCCCCCAGGGACACAGTGGGTCTTTCTACAGACAAGCAGTCAGTTCAACTGCCTGGACCTTCCTGGAACTAAGGAGAGGGAAGAGAGCTGTCAGCATGCGCTCCCTGCAAATCACAGGCAGAGGCTGCCCTGCTAAACATAGGTAGTGCATGTGGGTGACAGAGGTGACAGTTAACGTGGGACAGCTTGGATGTGTTTCATTTCCACCAAATGTCCTCTACGAAAGCCTTCTCTGTTCCAACTTAGAGGCTGTAACAGAGATTGCATGCTGTTGCTATCAACAAGAGTGTGTTCCCTGATGAGGGAGTAGATTTCAATGGTGCCTGTGACACCTTTACCAGTTGCAAAAATCTGGATGAAAGGCACAGCAGTGGTCAAAACGGCACTTCTGGAAATGACCACATAGAACAGACCACACCTTATTTCACTCCCAAGTTCCCAAGTGCCAATTACCATTTAAAGAAGAGGATGAAGTGATGTTGAACAAATCCTCTGATTCATCACATTTAAAAAAACTACTCAAATGGTCCCCTATAGAAGTTGATTGTTAATCAGGACAATCGAATGATGAACCACTGCAAATATTGTATCAGCAAGCTAAAAATGGCCTTGTTTCAATGGAAGACTCACACAGTACATACTATATATAAAGTATTGCATTTCATGCCCCATTTCCTGTAACATATTAGTGGGCTCAGTCATCAAGTAACAATTGTCTCCTTGCCTGGTTCAGATATTGTGGTGGTAAGAGGAGGGGTGTCTGCAGTGGGAGAACAGCCCTTGGAGGCTGACGGCCGTACACAGGGAGAGATTTGGTACTATTTGTTTTATGGGCCCCATCAACAATATTAAATAATTGCACATCTCCGTTTTGGCAAATAATGCAGTCTTGGTAAATATTTATTTTTATACATGCTAATTGAACCATCATTTGGCATGTTGTTCTTCCTTTAATTATTTAAGATTACTCAAAAAAGAACGGCTGAATAGCAGAATCTTCCTGCAATTATTTGATTAATTTACTTCACTATTAAAATGTCAGAAACATTTATTACAAAAAAACAGAATCTGTACTACTGCCACTTCTCTGTAAAGCAAAACATTGTACTGTCTTTAATTGTGAGCTGTTTGGAATCTCAGTCAGTTGCTGTATTTTTGAGAAATTCCACAAATGAGAATAAGATTCACAAGGACAATACTGGATTTGTTAGACTCCTGTTAACACTATCCTAGATACCATTAATAAAATACGTATCTGTGATGTGAGACTGGAAGGTATGGGGAGACAGTGGTGACTAGAAAGCTGCGCAGTTAGAAAAAGGTAATCCTCATATTCAATCCATAAGCCATCTCCTTGAGGCAAAAAAAAAAGGTAATTATAATTATGGTTTCAAGTTAGAACAGTTAAAGGAAATACCGAACGCACTTACGTAATGACTTCCAGCAGAGCTCAGCATTATTATCTTCCTTTTTGCCTTGAGTGCTAGGATGCTCAGAGATAAAGTTATATTTTTTATTTCTCAGTGTATGTTTTCTGGTATGCCCTTTCCTTTGTTGCTTGACAACTATCTTTTCACTGTTTTAATGAGTATTTGTGTTTCTTTCAGTGTAAGATACAAGTTAAAAGGAGGAGGAGGAGGAGAAGAAGAAAACAAACTGAGATGAAGGTTTAGCCCCTAAACTTAGCATTACTGAGGACAGAAGAAAGCAATTATGAGACTGGGCTGGGAGGGGAAGGTAACCCATGGGGATGGTGATCCCAGCCTAGTTCCTTTACAAGAGACATTCGCAGTGGCCATACAACCTCTGCTTGCTGGTGGAAGGCGCTGCGCACAGCCAAGAACTGAGTTGTCCTAGAATCAGAGCTGTTTGTTGCCTCTTGCTGGCGAAAGAGGAGCAGCTCCAGGGCGGAGGCATTTCAGAGCCTTTTGAACTGTACACAGTGCTGTGAAGGGCAGGCAACGGCTTTTCAGACAATAGTTCAGAACTTATTCAGCAAAGCTCGATTTTTTCCTTCAAAGGTTGAAATTTGTTCTACAGATAAAAGTAATGCCTTCGGGAAAATAACTCTAAGGCCTTCCGGACAAATGCGAGTCTCTCTGAGCATTGAGTTACTATTGTGTTAAGGTATAGTCAGCTATGGAAATACAGTTAGAAAAGGGAAGCAGGAACTTTAAAAAAAAAAAAAACTGCTCAGAAAAAATAAGAAACTAGAAGGCCTCATACCAATTAGTCGTTCCTATCTGAAAGCTGCAGATCCAAAATAGTGTGTCGTTTTTAGAGGTAATATGCTCCCATTTTGAAAGGGGATGGAACAAAAGGCGGGGGGGGGGGGGGAGGTTGTGGGGGGAGAGTTGCAGATTTCAGGATGGGGGTTCTCACCGGGCCAGTAATGGCCATTTCCCCACAACAACAGTGAATGGTTCTCTGGCCTTAGCAAACAATTCCTTCCATTTAACTTCTCTGACAACTTCTTATGGGTGGAGAGGGAGTTAACAAAAGAAACAATATGTATTAAAAAAAAAATGCAAGGTGCCCAGAGTACGGCTAATGGAATTTGATGCTGGCTTTAATTTTAATGAAGAAAGTTGCCAGTAGCAACAAAACTGTCAGCAGCCGCCGAGCACCATTAATAAAGATCGAGACAACATTAGTGCCCGGCACCAGTACAAAGGGTTCCCCTTGCTTCATGCTGTGCTAAATTGGCTGCCCAATTTTTCTTAAGTGTCCATTCTATTTAGAAGACAATTTATTAATTTTTGCCATTCATTGTCAGTTGACAGGCCATCATTTTGTAGCCAGAATTTTAGATGAAAACTAATTGAAAAGACTGGCAGTATTTATGAGGGGTATTATTTGTCAATTACAGTGGCAAATACTCCTTGCTACCACCAACTTTGATGCCCCTGATCTCTGGGTGTGAGCACTGTTACTGCTGGCATTAAAATATGAGTAAGCCTCTCCCTGCTCATCAATTTCACAGGCATGTAGAGAAACCACCTTTCATGTTCTAGGGACCTTTCATGGTAGACGGATACATTATAACTTTTGACAAAGAGGAAGTACACATCAATTAATAATCACAGACAATCATGCATACAAAATATAATTCATTGTGAACTAGTTCATATTTTTTTTTATCATCTCTCAGTAACAGTTATTAGTTAAAAGGTCTGTTTCCTAAATTCTGTATGGTTTTAAAACATTTTCCCCCTAACCTACTGCATCTTAAACTCAAACATGTACAAACAGGATATATACGTTCTGCCCATCAATTTGCCAACTTGAAAGCTCAATGTCTTATCTTAAATAAAACAGGCTGACATTTTTATAAGTAAAAATGTTTTTAATCAGTAAGCAGCCCTTAGAAACTGTGCAACTAAAAAGTTTGATAAATATACTTCTCTAAAAATGTTATGTTCATGTTCTATAGCATTATTCTTACATTTTTTAACTAACGCTACCAAAACCGTTGATAAAATGCATCTTAGCAATGAATACTAATCTGCTTACTAACTAAAGAAAAATTTACTGAATTACGATTTTATACGCCCAACTTAACTTCCTTTATGTGGTAATGTTGATGATGGAATTCATTAAAGATTGCTATATAGTCTGGATTATGTTCAATTTGAATTTATACAAAGTTAGAGATTTTAGCAATTAAGATACACATTCTCCCGAAGTGGTGATACTAAATTAAATGCTGTACCGTCATGGTGTATCTCATAAACTCTCCAGTCCTGTACCAGAAAAATGAAAATCCCCCAAGATCACCCAGGAAGCAGCCCTGGGTATAAGCCTCACACTCCCAACATGGGCAGACAGTGTGGCAAAAAACATGGCACAGGGCGATAGGCCTGCTTCTGCAGGCTCTGGTTCTTCCAGCGCTTTTACTGGAAAACTCTTTATACCCAGTCAATTCCCAAATGACGACTGTACTACATTCTTGCAAATCAGTTACATAAGAATGCTTATTATTAGCTGCTTCCAGTCTTTCCTCATCACTAGTTGACTTTGAATTTGCTGCTATACAAAAGCTAGTTGGCAAACCGAGGAGGTGCTCTTCTGTGTCATTTCTGTTATGGTGTATATGTGGAGAAACAGACAATGTATACATGTGACATGCAATGCATCCATGTTCTTGGTGTATCCACTTCTGCAGGTTCTGTTTAAAAAGGAACAGCTGCAATCAGGGTGGGAAGCTGCTCAACGGACATGCACACACACTGTGAGCAACGGGAGGGTCGGGGTCAGGACCCTGCAAGGCAGGAACCTGTGTCTGAGGTCTCCTTGGGGACGCTCGTCAAAGGATCTACGACAGCGGCCCCCAACCTTTTTGGCACCAGGGACCAGTTTCCTGGAAGACAATTTTTCCACGGATAGGGAGGAGGGATGGTTTTCAGGGTGAAACTGTTCCACCTTAGATCATCGGGCACTAGATTCTCATAAGGAGTGTGCGTCCTAGATCCCTTGCATGTGCCGTTCTCAATAGGGTTCGCACTTCTGTGAGAATCTAATGCCTCCGCTGATCTGACGGGAGGCAGCGCTCAGGCAGTAATGCTCACTCACTCGCCGCTCACCTCTTGCTGTGTGGCCCGGTTCCTAACAGGCCACAGACTGGTACCAGGCTGCCATCTGGGAGTGGATGACTCCTGCTCTAAAGTGTAGCATCTCAGGCTCACCACCTGCGTCTCCATGGAGATCACTTACACAAATCCCGGCCCATTAAATACAGTGTGGCTGAGTGTGTGTGTCTTCATGTTTCCCTACAGCGGCATTCTTTCAGGCACTGGTCTCACATCTACCACGTCCAACCGGACCGCAGCGTGGGAACCAAGCGTGCTCTCAGACACCTGAGCTCACGACAGTGGCTGGCACTTGCAGGAGGCCTTCAGGTCTGAGTGTCAAGCAGGGAACACTGGCTGAAGTTTTGAAATTTCATGACAACTTGGGCAAGGGACATTTATGGTGGTTGTCCTACATCCAACTCCTGTGCTCATGGCCAGGACCTGTGACTCTGCATGGGCAGGTGACCCTTTCCCATCCTGGCCTGTGTACTCTGGGTCAACATGTGGCCTAGGCCAAGGCAATGAGCCCCAGTCACAGGAACTGGTTCAGTACTGGACAGGCAGATGGTCCACACAGAGCTGCTCACGACTGATGAGGACATTAACGGACCTTCGGTTTGAGTCTACTGCTGGCTTAGATGTGGAAAGGACAGGAACCTCAAGGGCCCAAGTTTAAGCACACAGGTCATGAGAATGTACAGATCCTGATGGCAGCCCCAACCCAGAGGGATCGGACTCAGGCTATCCTCCTCATGGTGCTGTTTGGGGTGACACCCCTGCTTCTATGAGTCAGAGAATCCCTTCCTTACTGACACCAAGCGAATCACATTTTCTTATATGGAAAACCCAAACAATTCTGGGTGAATCACTGGGTACAAGAACAAACTAAAGAGAGGAAGCTATAGCTTCAGTGATGCTAACTTGAGATGAACATTTAAAAATATTCTCGGCCGGGTGCGGTGGCTCACGCCTGTAATCCCAGCAATTTGGGAGGCCGAGGCGAGTGGCTCACAAGGTCAGGAGTTCAGGACCAGCCTGGCCAATATGATGAAACCCCGCCTCTACTAAAAATACAAAAATTAGCCAGGTGTGGTGGTAGATGCTTGCAGTTCCAGCTACTCGAGAGGCCGAGGTAGGAGAATCACTTGAACCCAGGAGGCAGAAGTTGCAGTGAGCCGAGATCATGCCATTGCACTCCAGCCTGGGTGACAGAGCGAGACTCCATCTCAAAAGAAAATAATAATAATAATGATAATAATAATATTCTCAGTACTTCTGAGACAAGGCTGACCCCCTGGGAATGCAGTAGCCTCCGTGCATCTAGAGACCTCATAGGGTAAACAAGGCATTTCCTCTAAGGCATGAGCCTCAAGGACGTGTCCCCAATCACCCACTTGTCACTGTCACCCATTTACCAACACCCAGTCTCCAATTCAAACAAATATCCTCTGACTTGAATTCAGTGGAGCTGCTGCTCAGCCTCTCGGTCTTCCCAGCACAGTGGAGATAAGAGAATGAGATGAGTAGCTGTGTATTTATAATATCAAAATCAAAAGTTCAGGGCAACGAATCTAAAGGAAAGAATGATACCCTATATTTAAAGCAGAAATTGCTCGATTTTAAATTTACTATAACTCAACTTTTATGACTTCAAAAACATACTGAACGTAACACAGTTTAGAATTTGGTTTGAAAAATGATAAATCTGTAACTGAATGAATAAGGACATCTAAAGAAACTTTAGCAATTATCTTTAAATGTAGTATAGCAAAGAGAGCTTAGAATTTCAGTTGACTTTTAGCTTTGAATAAATCTACTGATGATTAATTTTGACATGCCTGTCACACTACTCACTCCCTGGAAAATCAAAGTAACCATTTTCCAGGTAGACTTTTGTTACTGATCACAGGGATGACCTCACGCTTCCATTTCCGTGCGCCACCCCAAGGGATGGCAGCACATGCGTCACCACGCCGATTTTCCACCTGGGGCCTGATGAGGCTGGTTTGTTGAACATCACAGACAAATACCTTCAGCTTTTTTTGCCTTTAAACCTTTTCTACTTTTCTGTTCCTTCACGAAATAAGGGTCCATTAGTCACCCTAGTTTAAAATAACTGGCATTAAGATTTCAGAAGTAACAAATACAAGGAGGCAGACCTCATGGCGGGCCCTCCTCTGAAGCACCCTCCCTCTCACAAAGTCTACGTGACGAAGTCAGAGCTGACCAAACGTCCTGGGCTCCTGCAGCAGAAACGATCTACACTTCTGAGGACACTGTACAGGATGCAGACTCCAAAACTAAGAATGAATAAAGAATTGTTTCTCATTTGCTCCATTAACTCCTCTATGAAAATAATACTAATAATAAACAAGCGAAACCAGGGGAAACAGCCACTTTTGAGCTCGTGCCATGACAGTACCTATCACTCCACAATTCACTGCCATCAGCAACTGCCACTTAACAGATAAAGCAAGTCAAGCTCGGAGAGTAAGAAACATCCCCAAGTCCACCACTGGTAAGCGGACGCGGCAGCCCCAGGCTCCAAGCTGGTCTGGGTTTAAAGCCTCTGGTTTCCTATAATGCGCTGAAATGGGCCTGCTGTAGAGCTGGCTTTGCCTTTGTAGCCACAATAGCAGCTGAGGCTGGAATGAGGCAGCCATCCTCCCCCACCTCTGTGATGAAGGGCAAATAGCCAGCAGGGAGGTGAGCTGGCAGGAGTGGCCCATCTCATGCCAAGCTGAGCTAGAGACAGGCCTCACAGGTCCCATCTATCGGGGAGAAAAAGAGGGAAGGAGAGCAGGCCCATAGGGAGCCAACAGGACCACAGCCCACGTTCAGTTGGATGCGGGGGAGGAGCGGGGTCTACTCCATGCAATATTCTTTCTCCATGTGACCTTGAACAAGGCCTAAGTTTCTCAGCTGTGACAGGAGTTGTCAACACTTGATCACCGGTTTTCAAATTGGGTTTGCTGGAGGTGACCCCACGAGCCCGGGAAGACAAGGGGAGGCTGAGGGGGAGTGCCTGTCTCAACACAGCGGCTCCACTCTCTCTAGCTGAGTATTTGGATTTTATCCAGTCATATAAGGCGGGGTCATCCCATGAGCCTACGCATCAACTTCCTTTTTCTACACTCAAAGAAAGCCTGGAACGGACATATTTACCATATTTGCTTCATTAAAAACTTGGAATTGTTAGGTATGGCTCAATTATGGCATCTAGTATCTCCACATGGGAGGCTGACAACAAGTCTGCAATGAATGACTAGGGACTGTCGCTAGTAACAGTACTTCCCAAGTTAATTCAAGGTATAGCCTACACTTAAAACCAAAACAAGCTAGCGACCATCCTTTCCCCCATCCACACACACCAGTCTGTTCTCAGCCTACTTCACAAAAATGACCTCATTTGTTCTACAAATTTCAGCACTTGTAGATGCACTTATCATACTTTACTCCCTAAATGAGGCTGAATAATATATTCATCTGATTAAATTTTCATTAACATCCAAAATCACTGTTCAGTCATATTGTCTGATAAAACATTCTGGCCTTAAGTCCCCAAATAATTACCATAGGGTGGTCTGGAAAAGTGGTATCTAGTCTTGCTAACAAAGAAGAAACAAAACTTCCATTTAATCTATCTATTATAAAACACTGACTGTAGAAGAGGAAAAGAAAGGCTCACATCTTCCTATCTGCCGCATCCCTAGGGTATTGAGAGATTTATCTGTACCTGCCTGGGGGTTAATTAGAAAGGAACAACTAAAATCACAAGGAAGTTGACATTATTTCCAACTCAGTACTAAGAAAGTCACAACATTCCCTGTTCCTAAAACAATTCCTCACTCAACCTGCCTGAGTCAGATATTTCAAATCTTGAAGCAGAGTAGGGGGAGCCATTTTACCCCGTTTTTCTCTCATCCAGTCTATAAAACGCAGTCAAGACAGATCCGCTCAATCTTGGATTTTAATGTTTTATGTTTCTACCACTGCTTGTACCCAAAACATGCAAAGCGCCAGTAAATGTTTTTTTCTTTAAAAAAAGGTTCCTCAAAGAAAGAGCGTAAACGCTCATTGATTTCCTTCCTTTGTGGACTGAATTGCCCGCTATAGAAATTAAGGGGTCTTTTGTGAGTTGCCGAACTTTCTGGAGGAGCGCTCCATTTCTCCAGCTCTCCCTCCTGTAACCTCTTTGTTGGAAGGTGTCAAAGGTCTATCAGAGATGCGCTGAAGTCAGGACAAACAGCAGCGGCCTGCAAGCTATCGGCCGATCTGGAGTTCACCTCTATGTTAACTCCCACCGCTAATTCATCATGGCCCCGGACAGCTGGGCTGATTGTGGGCCTTCAGCACAATGCGGGCTGGTCTGACCACCCCTCGGCCCTGGCCAGGGGGAGGACTGACGGGCACGGGCTCCAGCAGGCCTGAGATAAGTGCTGGCTGTCAGTGCAAGGACAAAGAAGGGCAGGCCCTGGGGAGAGAAAGGAGATAAAAAAAATTCTTCACAACTGCTTTATCTGATGAGGGTTATGGCTAATTAATTATAAACTCAATTACCTAACCCTTACTTCAGCAGTCTCTATTCATTAAGAGATAAAACTTGACTGACGGCTAACTTTCTCTCGCACACATACACACACAGCATGCTTGCTTCAATTTGTACTCGCAAACACCCAATTTCCTAAAAAGATCTCCAAAGGCACCCATACCTGTCAGGCGCCTGTCAAAAGGCGGCCTGTTTCGGGGTTCCCCCCCCTTTCCACCCCAAGCCCCCTCCGCGCACGCTAGGAGGGCCCTGCTCCCTCGCTGGGCGCTGGCATTAAAAAGCAAACGCAGACGCAGACAATAGGCATTATGCACGCCCGGGCCCTTCTCCGCTGCCTCGCTTGTCTCTGCTGCATTTTAAGTGAATCTTTTAATTTGGGTGCTCAAATTGGGTAATCGGCTACAGAACCGTTTTTCCTCTTCCCGAGTAAATCTTCCCAATCAGAAACGGGGGAAAAATGAGCACTCAGGCATATATTAGTTTTAAATATACATTTCCATTTCCCCCCTAAATTCTGGACAGGCCTGACCTTCTTTTCAGTTCCTGGCACCTTGTTTCAGAGTCGGCAGCAGCTCACAGGCCTGTTTCATCAATGGGCTCTATTCAGCGGAGGTTGTTAATCTCTTTCACCCTCTCTCCGCTTTGCCCACTTTAATGTATTTTCATGTCTATAAGTTCTTTTAATAAGCTGGGAGGGTCTGGGAGAGAAATACTTCAGGTTTCCTTACTGCTTGTCGCCAAAATTACCTCTGGCGTACTGCAGATGAGACGTGCGAGGTGTGCATCAAAACACTGGGTTTTATTTCTTTTCCTAACAGGAGGCTACCAAAGCCCCCAGATTTAATTTCAGCTCAATTATTTTTATGGCGAGCAGTCAAGAGGCGCTTCCCCGTCCCCTTCTTCTTCTTTCTGTTCATGGGCTCCTTGCACTTGCACTTGTATTTCCGGGTGTTCTGGGTTCAGGGCCACACACACGGAGATAAGCCTAGAGTATGCTGCCGCGGGCATCCTGGCGCTCGCCGGCTGCAAACACTCCAAGGGGGGAGATACCCAAGGGACATTGGTAGCAAGTAACTGCAAGAACACACAATACACTTTGCTTTAAAAAAAAAATTCTCTGAAACGAGGGCCATTTTCCCATCACTCGCCTGCGGCACATGGTGCGTTGGTGGACGGGTGAAGTTTAGGGAAAGGGGGTGACATGCGGACACCTGGGGCCAAGCTGCTTCTGCCCTTCCCAGGAGATGGCCTTGCTTAGCATCTTCACCATTCCATGGCCTCCCAGCCCAAACCCCATGTCTGTAGTGGAGCCACGTTTCCCTCCCAGCTCCGACCGAGCAGCAGGAGCGCCAGGTGGGCACCGATGGTCTATATTCAGCACTGACAGCCTGGACAGGGCCCTCTCAGGTCCACTGGCTCCTTGCACTCTAGGCCAGGCTGTGAGCTCAGAGGTCCTGGTAACACTGGCTGCTGTGTCCAAGGCTAACACTGGGCTGTGCCTAGAAACCAGGTCTCCTGGATCCTTTGCAGCTCAGCGCCCTTCCTGTGGGAGAGTCCTGTGAACACCAACCCCATGAACAGCCTGCCTGGGAGCCCCCTCTGTAGGTTGTGCAGGGAGGCTGTGTACAGTGGGAGGATGCTGGGCCAGGTCCCGGAACAGCCATTCCCTTGCTAAACCCCTTGGGCAGGTTAGTCAGCCCCTGCCCACCACAGACCACAATCCCCCAGATGGACTTGGACCTGGAAACCCATTGCTCCCTGGAATGCACTTGACATGAGTGGGTTGTGGGGTGGGCCATGGAATTCCCCAACTTTGAAGTACAGTCATCATGCTTTCAAATCTCAAATGTGTGTGAAGTCACCACCCCCAATGATGGGATGGCATAAAGACGAAGGGTGACTAGAAACAGGAAAACTTTTTGCAAAAGCAGCTATTTTTGTGAGAATACACAACAGCTCATTCCAAAATGTCCTAAAGTACTTCTTTGTAAAGCCCTACCTGCCAGCAGCCTTAGGAAACCAAGAAGCAACACCGCACCCTCATTTCCCAAGTGAGGCCTCTGAAATCAGAGCTGCTCAGAGCGACTTCTCCACCAAGGTGCATGGACACTAATGCGGGGTGGCAGAGCCAGCCGGCTGATGTCCTGCCAGGGTGCATAATGCAGAGGTGCTAGGACCAAGGGGACCAAGGAGACCACATCAGGCACTGCCCCAGGGGAGATGGCTCCTTTCAGAACTACAGAAAGGCCACGCATTAGTAGAGCAAGATTGGAAGAGAGGTAGAGGCCAGTCACTTGTGGCTATGGAGATTTCCATTGCATTTAGATATAACAGACCACCTCCCACTGCTTCAGCTGCTTTTCTGCAGAGTTGGAACACGCACATCTTCCTTCCAGAATCTCCATTCCTTTGGCTCAACTGCAGCCTCTGTGTTTGCTAACGTCGTCCGGTTACTAACCCACGGTTTGCCGGAATTTGTCCACAGCACTGTTAAGAGGTGCTGTGGGCTGCAGAGCCCTGGGGCCAGGACACCGTGGGGTGGGTGGGAAAGGCAGGTGCCAGGCCAGACCTGCTCAGGAGGCATCAATGCTCCTCCCTACCTTTCCTCTGCCCTGTCCTCCATGGAAGAGGAAGAGGCTATGAAGAAGGCTGAGAGGGAAAAGTGAGAAAGGCAGGACCAAGAAAGAGTCGTGGTGAGAGGGAGAGGGGAGCATGTCAGGGTGTGAGTGGCTTGTTCCACACATGTGTGAGATGGGGACAGGAGCACTGGGCGCCCAGACCATGCTCGTCTTCCTCCCCTCCAGGGGCGGGAAGCAGAGTGGACGGTGGAGCAGGGAAAGGCCATCTGTCCTGGAGAAGTGAGGGCTTGCCCTAGCGGCCATGAGGAAGGGAGAAGGGCCAGGCGAGGGGCTGGGTGAGGCTGGACACTCCATGCCCAGCAGGTGGCAACCCTTATCCAGGCCTAGCATCCCCGCAGCATGGAGAAGTCGTGGCTGCAGAGGCTGAGCTCTGAGCGTACAGGCATAAGGGGGCCCGGGCTTCTGCTCACTCCAGAAACCCTCCAGAGTCACACATGAAAACCTGCTCTCAAACTGTGATGTTTTGCAAACCTGTCCTCCACTGCAGGAGAGGTCACTGCCTGAAAACTTAACATTAGCTTGTTTCTATCATCTACACCACTCCGATAGAGAAATCACTTTTACATTTGATTTCGAACAATGAATACTTGGAGAGACATTCACAAAAAAACCAGTTAATTATAGTAATATGTGTACTCATAATTGGCCCTCGTTGGCCAATAGAAGGAAGACACTTGCAACTTTTCCCAGGAAATTATATTCTAAATCCTTCACGAGTTGGACCTCGTCCTTTTCTGAGAAAACTTGATGGCGGTCTTTAGTATTCACTGGCATAATTAGGACTGCAGTTAATTTCATTAAATTCTCTTGCTGCTAAATGAAGCAGATTATGAGACATCTTTTATTGCAAGGCGTGAAATTACAGCCTGTCAGCTGCCAATGGTGGGGTGAAACTAATGAATTACAGGGTAAATAACACCAGAATTAACCAGCCAATTTAACATAGTGCCAAGGAACAAAGTCATTTCTACTTAGAGCTTTAAGGAACAACATGGCCAGGATACCTCCAAAGCACACGGACGGACAGGGAAATCAGTCTTGGGATACTGACAACCCTTAACACTGAGATGGGCAGGAAGGAGCAACAACAAAGCAGCCCCGAATACAATTCCTAAAACCTTCCCCACTATCAGAAAAGCATTCAGAGCCCAAATGAGAGAAACTCCTCAAATACTTACTAGCTGGGGGGAAAAGTTAAAGCACTAAATGATCAAGGTGCAACTGTGTGTTCTCACCTGATCTTTCTGTTAAAAGGACGAGGAAAATCATCTGGTTATCTGGGTGCTGTGTGATTTACATTTCAACACACACAGCAGGGTTTGGAAAATGTAAAAGTACTCTGAAAATAGTACCTTCCGAGCAAACTAAATTACCAGTATTATTCTCGAGAGTAATGATCTCACCATGGACATCACAATCAATGGATTATTAGTTTCACTGTGAATTATTTCCAGTTTTTGCTAAACCCAAATCTTTGTTGAGACAATAATTATTTCCCTCTTTTTCTTAAGCATGTTCTGATATGGTACAGGCAGCTGAATAGCTCCCAGTGTTAGAAAGAAGAGATTTGCCTCTGAGTAGGACCTTGTTCCTTATTCATTTACCTTGCATGGACTCTATCCCAGGTACTGTGCTGGGTGTGGGTGGAGTGATGAGGGCACAGGCCAATCCCTAAAGAGGCTCAACACTGGCAGGTGGCTCTAATAGGTGGACGGACAGATGCAGTTTAGTGAAAGCTAGGCCAAGATAGGACCATGCCCAGGGCACTGTGAGGAGCCAGGCAAGGGACCTTAACCTGGAGTGGGGACGGCTGTATGAGCCATGGCTTATGGAAACAGCATCCTCAGGATGATGGCGAGTGACAGAGAGTGTAACCGGTGGGATACTCCCTGTCTAGGGCACCCAGAAACCAAGCAGTGCCTAGAAAAAGGTATCACTCAGGAGGCTGTGAATGGCATTTGCTTATAGAACTGACCAAAAGCTTTGTTATGCCAAAGGTTTTAATTCTTCCTCATTGTATTAACCAGACTGTGAAAACATAGGACTTTATAACCCTGGTGTGAGAAGTGGCTTCCAAGGCCGCCTGGTAAGATCCATCATGTAAAACACAAGCCAGGAACAGGAGCACTTCCTGGGGATTCTGCCATCCTTGGTCAAGAAACGGAAAACGGAGCCCCAGGGAGCTTGGCTTGGGCTGCACCTTCACATGAGATACACGTTAGGCGTCGTGTACGAGAGCCACTGTCGTGGCAAACAAGCACAGAAAGGCGCCCGTTTCAGGATCTACAGACGGTACTGAAATAGAAATGATCTCTTCAGTAACACCAGCTGTACTGCTTGAGTGATGAATAGTCAAAATATTAAAAATGTTTCTTATTTGATAAAATGACTCAGATTAATTTACTATGGCTAGAACAGTTTTACGATAAACTTGATTCATTTTAACCCTGTCATATCTTTTCAAAGATGTAATTTTCTATACAAAATGAACTTCAACCTAAATAATTTATGAAGTGGTTCACATTACTTATGAATTTAATATTGAGTATGTACACTGTGTAACAACATCATTTTCATTGTGAATCATTTTTCTTTTAGACAAAATTGAAAGCAAGAGTCAGTGAGTAGAAAGAGCATTCTGTATTTTGGGATAGAGTCAAAAGCCAGAATGGCCATACATGAAAAAGATGGCCGTTTTTCAGTCCCAGTTTCCTTTCTAAAGCAGTATTTTTTCTGAACCAAACCATCTTTTCTTCCTTAGTTTGCTATTCTGTTAATGAAACCACCATTCTTACAGGCACCCATTCTCGAAACCTAAAGTCTCATGAGATGTTCTACCTTTAAGCCTCTATATTCAAAAAGTCGCTGAGTCTTGGAGTGCTTGCTGGTCTACCTGTGTGACTGCCACGGTGGCCTCTGCACCACCCTCCTAGCATTTTGCTCAACATGTCGAACCTGGGACATGTCAAGCAATCCACAGCTCTTAACCTCTTAGGATGGGGAAGAGGGGGAGGCCACAGGCCCTCTTCAAAACTGTGGAACCAGACCAGGCGCAGTGGCTCATGCCTGTCATCCCAGCACTTTGGGAGGCCAAGGCAGGAGGACTGCTTGAGACCAGGAGTTCCAGACCAGCCTGGGACACATAGTGAGACCCTGTTCTCTACAAAAAAAGCCAGGCATGGTGGAGTATGCTTGTAGTCCTAGCTACTGGGGAGGCTGGGGTTAGAGGATCACTTGAGCCCAGGAGTTAGAGGCTGCAGTGAGCTGTGATTATGCCACTGCACTCCAGCCTGGGCTTTGTCTCTAAAAACAACAACAAAAAATTATTTAATAAATAAATAGGTTGGGCACAGTGGGTCACGCCTGTAATACTAGTACTTTTACAGGCTGAGGTGGGATGATCACTTGAGGTCAGGAGTTTGAGACCAGCCTGGCCAAAATGGTAAAACCCCGTCTCTACTAAAAAAAAAACCAAAAATTAGCCAGGCATCACGGTGCCTGCTTGTAATCCCAGCTACTCAGGAGGCTGAGGCAGAATAATCGCTTGAACTGGGGAGGTGGAGGTCGCAGTCAGCTGAGATCATCGCACCACTGCACTCCAGCCTGGGTGACAGAGTGAGATTCTGTCAATAAATAAATAATAAATAAATAACCCATAGAACCTCTTCTGAGAAGATGTACATGCAAACTCTTACATTCCATTTTGCATTTCACAAGGGTCTATAAACCTCAGGGTAAGAATTTACAAATGACTTTCTTTAAAATCTTCTGTAACTTCTGAGTCCTAGATCGAAATTTCCAACAGTCCAGTAAATGATTTACAAGGATGTCTCTTTCAAACTCAATGACTTATGGAGAAAAAGACATCTAAATATACAATCTCAGTAAAATATGGTAACTGCAATGGTGAGAAGTTTGAGAATATAGTGAAATTAAAATTTTTTTTTAATTTAGTATTTTTAAAATTTAAGCCTCATCCAGGAGGTCTGGAGGGCCTGGGAAAGATTTCAACCCTGTGGCTGCAGCTGAAGGGTGAGTGGAGGGGCCACTCTGGGGGTGCAGGAAGGAGGGCATATCTGAGGGCTACAGACTGAAGGTTGGAAACCAGTGAGGAGGCCCAAACACACATCCAGGCCCCAAACCACATGCATGACTCCTTCGGAGGGCACGACGGGACAGATGCTCAGGAAGAAAGGGAAGAAGGACTTGGTGACCATCTCGGAGCAGCTGGAGAAGGTTAATAGATGACATCAGGAATAGTCCCGGCTGGTGACTTGGGTGACTCCGTGGATGTCACCGAGAGGCAAAGACAAGCAGATTATACCAGAAAACATACACTGAGAAATTAAAAAGCAGATCGGGGGGGGGGTCAGGAAAGGAATAACTGGAAGGAAAGGAATAACTGGAAGGAAAGGTCTGCTGTCGACCGGCTGGGCTGTCGGTGGATAGTGGTGACCCCACAGCTAAGAATGGGGTGTCCTCAGGAAGCCCAGGGTTCGCCCAGCTGGCTGAACAATGCTCATTCCCCCATTCCGTTTGCTGACTCAGGAACTCAGGGTATCATATGATTTTCTGCTTCCATGTCTGCAAAATCTGCACTCCCAGAAGCCAGCATGGTGTTGGATTTTGCTCTGGGGGTCCCCTGAGCACACCATACATGTGGTCTGAGCTGGATTAGTTACAGACTCAGCCTCTAGACTCCTGTGCAGGGGTCTGGCTGTCTCCCCTGTACTTGCTGCTGGGCCTTTGTGAGATCCTGGGATGGCTGGGCTGCTGCTCCCAGATTTCCTTGACATGTGTGGCTCTTGGGACTAAGCTTCAGCCCCATCTACAGTTCTCTGTTTGAGCGAACGGCTAAACAGGATGACACAGGACTTGTTAGGAGGCTGCCTTGTTGACTGTTCAATTCAGCCATGTGGAGCCCCACTGCTGGGCCGGGACCCCACTAGGTCCTGGGGACAAGGAACAGCAAACTATAATTGCTGCTCATACAAAAATCAGAGTCTAGTGGGGGAGGCGGCAAAGGTAATAAATTATCATTACCCAGTGTGATGGGTGCTACAATGTTTGTCTTACAGAAGGCCATCTTGGGAATGAAGGGATGAGGCACAGAAAAGAGGCACCCCCTCGGGCCAGGGAGAGGAAAGCCAGGAAGACTTCTGAGGGGGCGACAGCACCAACGCTATGTCTTGGACCAGCAGGACCAGCCAGGTGGATGAGTGATGGATGGAAGAACACTGTGTGCCCAGGTTCGGAGAGGAGGCCACTCAGATGCCTAGGGACTTGGGTGTTGGGAGTGGATGAGACAGAAGCTGGGACAGGGAGGCAGACATCGGTCAGGGGGAGCCTTAAATGCCGTGCCAAGCTGCAGGAGCTTCGTGGGAAGGTCAGGGGGTGGGTTTAATGCAGAGATGCCATCTTGGTGACTTGGGGACTATTTCTAGTCTGCAGAAGCATTTTCATCAGCCCCCAAAAGTGCATAATAGATTTTTGGAATCAGTTGCCAACATTTAAAAATGATAAAATTTTATATGCAAATCCAAATTCCTGGCTTTCCTTCAACACCAGGACCATCCGGGAACACGAGGCCACTGAGGCTGAGGAGGGCGCAAGTGAGGGACGGCTGCCCCTGTGGGTGGGAGCTGCCCTCCCTGTTCACCCAGACCCTTGCCCCCTCCAAACCCACTCATGACAAGTACCTGCCTGGCTCCTGCATTCAAGTTAAACATTTTAATTCGTTGTTTAGAACATTCAAGATGGACAGGGAGTGGAGATGAGAGCCACTAGCTGAGCTCCAGACCGGCAGGGGAGGCCTGTGGGGGCAAGCCGAGGACTCTCACAGGCAGACAATGGATGGCCCAGAAGGCTTTCAGCAGGAAAGACTTCATTAGCAGTGGGGAGGACAGACTCAATGGGGCCAAGACTGAGCCTGGGTGGTCCTTTGGGGACTCCTGCCAGATTCCAAGAGGGAGAGGTTCAAGCTCTGAGCTGGGGCAGCGGGCAAGGTCCTGAGTGACACTGATGACAATGTGAGGCCATGCTGGGAAGCAGGCTCCTTTCTCGGCCAGCTCCACACCACTGGCGGCCCAGGAGGCTGCCTGGAAGAAGATTCTGTGCCAAGTGTGGACACAAAAGGAAAAGAAAATGTGGCAGTGACTCCCGATGGTGGCCACTGGCACCCCAGCTCTATGCTGTCCACTGACATCTTGGAAAAGTCCAGTGGGGAGGTCCTGCCGGGAGCTAGGCTGATGAGATGAAAAAGATCCCAGTGGCTACACATCTAGGGAGAGCTGGCCTTAAAACAGAGATCTCAGATGCAGGGCGGAGGGGAGCCCAGGTGCAGAAAGACCACAGATGATGGGGAAGAGAAGGCAAGTGCTGCTGGCCAAGACAGGGCACCTAGAGGCTGCAAATGGGGAACGAAGGGAGGCGGAGGCATCCCACAGCAGAAAGAGTGCTGTGCAGGAGGAGCTGGACTGCTTTTCTGGAAATGGTAACATTGCTCCCTGGCCCCAGAAAATACCTTTCCA
Source organism: Homo sapiens (assembly GCF_000001405.40). Taxonomy (NCBI): domain Eukaryota; kingdom Metazoa; phylum Chordata; class Mammalia; order Primates; family Hominidae; genus Homo; species Homo sapiens. The sequence goes on along the minus strand of NC_000002.12, from coordinate 235,843,441 downwards.
GGAAGAAAGTGGGGCCCAACCAGACCGTGCCATGCAATAAGCAGACACCGAGGAGGAATTCTGAAATGAACTCAAAGAAAGGAAGAGAAAGGGACACAGCGTGGGACAGAGGGAGGGAAGGAAAGAATTGTGTGGGTGAGAAAGGGGAGGCAGCAAGCAGTGAGACCCAGGGGGCTGGAAGGCCGCAGCCGAAGCTCAGGTCCTCCCGAAGACCACTCTCTAAGAAGGAGGGCTGGTGATGGGTTCTGGGAGCTGGGGGTACAGGGAGCCTGCAGGGATGAACAGCGACTTCACAGGCAGATTTGGTCTCAAAGGGCTGCAGGGTGAAAAACCGACAAGGGTGGCAACAGGACAATGAGCACTTCTGTTTCATTATGAAGACCCGTGTCCTCAACTTCACATCAAATCTCACACGGGCCGGGCACGGCAGCTAACGCCTGTAACTCCAGCACTTTGGGAGGCCGAGGCGGGCCGATCACCTGAGGTCAGGAGTTCAAGACCATCCTGCCTAACATGGTGAAACCCCATCTCTACCAAAAATACAAAATTAGCTGGGCATGGTGGCACATGCCTATAATCCCAGCTAGTCGGGAGGCTGAGGCAGAAGAATCACTTGAACCTGGGAGGCAGAGGTTGCAGTGAACCAAGACCGTGCCACTGCACTCGGGCCTGGGTGACAGAGTGAGACTCCATCTCAAAAAAACAAAACAAAACAAAAAAAACAAACCTGACACATGGGATGAAAACTTCAGTTTATAGAATTCATAGGGTAAGAAACTCAAATCCACATGGAGGCTTGCTACAGGTGGGTCTTTTTTGGCACGTCCCAAAGGATCCCTTCTCAAAGTATTAGGTTTAAATTCATAGGATTACAAAAGAACCAATCATATCAAAATACAGTCACCAAAATATAAGCAACGCCTGTGGCTGGGTAATAAGCACACTGCTTTATTAATGCACTGAGACCCAGTGGCAGACCTAGTACCTTCCATTGCCAAACGGTGACCAGAGAAAACAACCTATTCAATTATCTGGGACAACGGCAATGCGCTGTGAACATGTCTGTGATTTTGAGGGTGGCAAAGTCACAGGTTCTGCTAACAAAACACCACTGTGGATCGTTGCCTACATTCATATCTGAAGGAAACGTTAACTTTCAGTCGAAGTCAGTGGAAATACGAATGAATTTCCCCCCAGCCACATTCGCGGACCCCTGAATTCTATCTACAGAACCACAGTGAAGAACTCTTGCTCCAGAGCACGGAGTCTGTGCTCCAGAACTAAGAAACCAGGAGCGGAGGAAGCCCAACGCCAGCAGGCTGGGGAGAGGGGCAGCCATGGAGTGAGCCTGGGCTTCCAACGAGAGGCCCTCCTCCACATGAGCGACATCCCGCAGGAAGCAGCAGGTGAAAACCTTAGTATCCCAGCGTCTGCATGGAGTGGTGACGGCAAGATTTCTTCTAAACACGGAGACACATCAAAGTTCCTTAACTCACTAATGAGCGTGTAGGGAAGACTTCCCAGAGCTTCAGGGGAAGAGAGAGAGCAGCAGGATACGGGTGAGGAAACAGGAAATCAGGAGGAAATGCGGCCTGGATGAGCCTATAGGCAGGAATATAACTTATGCTCTCAGCAACAACCAAGGAAAACAGAAACTCAGAGCTGTCTGGAAGGAATCGTCCCTTGGTGAAAATTAAATGCATTCATAACATAAAGCCAAATTACAATGCCTAACATGTACGAAGTGTTTGACAAATACAGGTAATTATTTATGAATTGCTAAATGATAAGCTACAATTTTTCTTTTTTCAGACATGGTCTTGCTCTCTCACAGCTCACACTGGAGTGCAGTGGCGAGATCACAGTTCACTGCAGCCTCAACCTCCCTAGGCTCAGGTGATCCTTCTACCTCAGCCTCCAGAGTAGCTGGGACCACAGGTGCACACCACCATGCCTGGCTAATCTGTTTATTTGTTGTACAGATGGGGCCTCACTATGTTGCCCAGGCTGGTATAGAACTCCTGGGGTCAAGGGATCCACTCGCCTTGGCCTCCTACAGTGCGGGGATTAGTCGTGAGCCACCGCATCAGGCCCGTAAGCTACTAACTTAAATCAAATGTACGTCTACTCTAGGGTTTCCTAGTGAGCGGCGACTGTTGGTAACTTCTTTCTGGAACAGTTCGCCACTGTATCATTTATTATTCCAAGCGAATCGATAACTTCTAGACCTGTTCCTCCCTTTAGCATCACAGTTGGGCCTCTCCTAGGCGGTGTCTACACTTGCTGTGCTGTGGCTCCCTCCTGCTCATCGTTCATAGCCCTGCCGCCGCTTCTGCTCCATCATTTCCCTGATGTCATCAAAGACCCCTCCATCCCACAAGCCAATGGACATGCTGTAGTCCTTTTCCTACTTTATCTCCCTCTTTCAAAAGGCAAGTTCTTTTTTGTTCTCCTAGGAGAACAGTCTCTCAAGTTTCTTTCCCGCTTCTCTGGTCCTGTTTGCTTTCTGGGGATTCTGCCTTTGTCCCTCCTAAGACCACCAGTGGTCCTTAGCTCTCATTGCACCAAATTCCTGGATCTCACACTCTCTCATGTCTTCAATGGCTATTTCTGTATGATTCCCAAATACATACCTTCAGCACAAGTGTCCCTCATTTATAAAAAAAAAAAAAACTCTTCTTTCTCCTTCATCCTCCACATCGAATCAACCTGTCCATCGGTCCTATCTATTCTACTTTCCGAAAGCCTCCAGATATGTCTTCTCCTTTCCATTCCTGCAGCCCCCAACTCTGAGAGCCCACCAGGCTCTCTCTGGGAATGCTGCTCTACCGACCACCTCCTGCCTGGGCTCCTGCCCTCCAACAGCCTCCATTCTGCAGCCAGCATGGCCCTTCTGAAGTACAACATGGTACCGCTAGGACAACACGGACCCACGAGTATTGAGATCTGACCCACCACAGTGCATGGCTTCTAAAGGGAGAAGTATAGAAAAGGAGGCTAAGGAAGAGGCTGTTTCTAACACTTTCTGGGCAAAGGTGAGAACAAGGAGAGGAACAGCCTTGTCTTCTCTGCCCCTACATAAATGTCGCCGTGTTATGTCTCTAAGCCACTTTACTTTAATGGTCACTGCAATGTCCACTGAAGCCATCAGAATGGACAGCGGCTGAAGCCATCAGAATGGACAGCGGCTGAAGCCATCAGAATGCACAGAGGCTGAAGCCATCAGAATGGACAGCAGCTTGCTGTCATGAAAGACTGGTTGTCAACAGGTGTCACCTCTGGAGGGAACCTGCCCTAACTCCCCTAACTGTAAGGCCAGGAGGGGAAAAACAGAAACCACAGGCTGTGGGAAGATCACAATATGACCTGATTACAAACATTCCCATCAAGGGTTTTGAATAAACAGCTAATACACTCTTAGATGGAAAATTATTTTCCTCATAAATTATTTCAGATTTTAATTTTCCCCTTTTCTGGGTATGCTGCCTCCCTTCATTGACTTTCTCATTTTAACAGAAGTTCGTAATTCTTTATAAGAGTCTCTCATCCTGTGTTGGTGACATCTATTTCTGAGTGGAAATCAGGCTACCAAAATGTCTTTCAAATGATAATCTGCAAATAAAAAACCATTTCATGTATGAAAAGGCAAGTACTCCTCCTGTTCCCACATCTCCTGGAAAGGAGGTACACGTAGGAGCCCCTTTCCTCTGCCTAATGTTCTTCTAAAGTGGTTGTTCTTAAGGGGGTGGAAACGAACTCGCTGGGAAAATGGATTCTCAACAAATCTGCCCTCCCCAGGAAAGCCCCTTCCCAAAGCCTAGAGTCTGGCTCCTCCAACATCACGTTTTGTTTTTAAGATGGGGTCTTGCTCTGTCGCCCAGGCTGGAGTGCAGCAGTGCGATCATAGCTCACTGCAGCCTTGAGCTCCTGGCCTCCCGAAGTGCTGAGATTAGAGGCATGAGCTACTGTGCCCGGCTTGCTTTTTGCTTTTTTAAGCTCTCCAGGTGATTCTGATGAACACCTTTAAATGGGAAACACTAGAGAATAGATGCCCGGGCCCCACCCAGGCCCAATGAGTGTGACTCTGACCCTCCGTGGACGGAGTGTGTGCGTGTGTATGTGTGCCTGCACGCCCACACCCGTGGGCATATCCAGGGTTGAAAATCACTGGTCCAACAGCTTTGGGATCTCCTTGTGCCATATTTAAATGGAAAAGCACAGGTTTGTGTTCTCAGACTTTCTATTTCAAACTCATTCTATTTTTTGCAAGTTTTTTCCATAAAAGATTGCTTCACAGTAAATGCAGACTCAGGCCCCTGGGGAGAGCAGTGGCATGGGCATGGATTCTGATGCTCAGACCTCGGTCACATGAAATATCCGACAGAGTTGATGTTCTAAACACCAACACACCAGCAATTTATCTCTTGAATAAACCTCACGTACACCCGCGTTAGCTTAATGAATGGCTTTATGTTTCCAACTGAAATTCCCGAGCGGCAACATTTCACCAGAAAGTCTTAGGCACTGGATTTTTCACTTGTAAGTCCAAAAAGTTGTGTTCACTTCTAATTTATGCTTCTTAAAAAAAAAAAGTCTTTAATCAATTAGGGTCAGAGAGAGAGGCTTTCTGTTCACTAAATGTCATCTGTAGAAAATACTAGAAGGTTGGGGATGGATGTAACACATGGAAAGCGAAGCAAATGATCCCTTCGGGGTTCCCCTGGCACATTCTAGTGCATACCTAGTACAGTCAGATCTGCACAGCAGTTACTGAGACAAGCCTGACTTTCTTGCTAGGTTGTGAGTTTTTAAAAGTGTAGACTGTATCTCACTAAATCAATTTCCTTTTTATAACTACTGATGGTGGCTAATACATACATATGGTCAGTAAATGCTGGCTGGTACAATACGTAGTTAATCACATCATAATATTTTGGAGCAAATTATTTTGAATTCTTCAGATTTTCTGAACACTTACCCCTGGGAAAAATTCTAAGGAGGAATAAATGCTTCAGAAAGCACAGTGCCTCTTCTTCCTCCTACCATATGAAATGTTACAGAAACTGTATATACACATACTTTTAGCAAAATCACTTTGGAGGCAAAATATTCACCAATGGCAAGCCTGTTATTTATCAATAGTGCCATTTACTTACATTTGTGAGATGGCTTGATTGTCAATTAAATGTGTTAAACAAACTACAGCTTTGTAAAGTAACCCTGGCATTCCCTCTTTTCTTTTTTTGGGGGGGTGGGGGGACACAGTCTCACTCTGCCACCCAGGCTGGAGTGCAGTGGCACAATCTCTGCTCGCTGCAACCTCCGCCTCTTGGGTTCACGTGATTCTCTTGCTTCAGTGTCCCAAGTAGCTGGGACTACATGTGCACACCACGACGCCCAGCTAAGTTTTTTTGTGTTTTTAGTAAAGATGGGGTTTCACCATGGTGGCCAGGCTGGTCTCATACTCCTGACCTCAGGTGATCTACCCACCTCAGCCTCCCAAAGTGCTGGGACTACAGGTGTGAGCCACCACCCCCGGCTCTGACATTCCCTCTTAGCCTTTATTAAGGGAGCCTGTACTCCCTTATCTATTCTATTTTTAAGCTTAATTTTTTTCTAACATTTATCTGGAATTAACAGTAATAAATTTATTGATGAGAAAAGAGACTCTCCTCCCATATGGAGTTACTATGACCTAATAAGGTTTAATGTCTAGTGTTTACATGTGGTTACTTTCACAGGAATACAGAGATCATGACAATAGTAACTTATTTAGTGAGCTGTTGTTATATGCCACCTCCTTTACTGGTAGACTCCATCATCTTATTAATCCACCAACAACCCTGGGGAAGAGGGTTGTTCTATCATCCTCATTCTGCACCTGAGTTAACTGAGGTTCAAGAGGTCTAGGGGTTTGCCTGAGGCTCACAGCTGGCAAGTAGGGTCTCCTTCCATGGCTTAGGGCCCTGGACCTAGCAGCCCTCCCCACCTTCCCAGCTGTTCTGACCCTGAACATCAGTGTCAGGGCTCAGGCCAACAACTGTGTATCTGGATCCTTTAGAGTAAACGTTCCCTCTCAGGAAAGTACTCAGTATTACTTTAATGTAACCGCTGTTAATCATATTTAGCCTAAACCTTTCAAAAAAAAACCCTTGAAGGCTGGGTGCAGTGGCTCATGCCTATAATCCCAGCACTTTGGGAGGCCGAGGTGGGCGGATCACCTGAGGTCAGGAGTTCAAGACCAGCCTGACCAACATAGAGAAAGCCTGTCTCTACTAAAAATACAAAATTAGCCAGGCGTGGTGTTGCATGCCTGTAATCCCAGCTACTTGGGAGGCTGAGGCAGGAGAATCTCTTGAACCCCGGAGGCGGAGGTTGCGGTAAGCTGAGATTGCGCCACTGCACTCCAGACCGGGCAACAAGAGCAAAACTCCGTCTCAACCCCCTCCCACAACCCCCCCAACCCAACAAAAAACCCTTGAACTCTCCATCCAGCTGCCTGAGTTGTGATCTCCAGTTTTACACCTGCATTGTGAATCACCTAGAAAGTTAACTGTGAATGTAAATGGCACCAGTGTAACCCGTTCCTCCTGTTCTGTCTGTGCCCCTGTGGCTCTGGCCTGGGTCATAGTTCTCTATCTCGAGGAGGGAGCTTTAGAAAACATACCAGGAACTTGATTCTTCAGGGCTGTCTCCATCTTCTCCCGCTCCTTGAGAAGAGTGGATGAAGGAGCCCTGGACTTTTGGAATCACCCACTTAAACTGGTTAACTTTAAATGCCTGCCCCCTGAAGCATGACACAGATCAACACGGTTTGAAATCTGAGAACCCAAGAGGAGAAAAAGTGTGACAGACACCAGATTTCCACTTCCCGGCTAAGCGCCTTGCAGCAGGCTGGCTGAGACACTGACTTCGATATCACAGTGTGAACCTGTACTTAAGTGACTGGGTTCTGAAGCAACCCCAGTCACGAGTGCAGCTTTCAAAAGTCAGCAGCATTCCCACAAGGGAGTGGATGCATTTCCTACAGGACCACTTGTTGGTGTTTCTCCTCTATCGGCCCCCAAAGGATTCTGCAGGGCCATCACCAGCACTCCCGGCCACCTGCTGCAGTGCTCTAATTTGAGTATTACTCACTCAATATTGCTTTTGATCGCTGTACCTTTACCAAAGAATTAAGGTAATGGAAAATTTATGGCAATATTTATAGCCATCAAAAGTTTGCTTCATTCAAAAGCCGGCTAAAGGGCTTTAGACCTGTGCTGTTCAGTTTACTCTTTTGATTGCTTTTCCACTATGTAAATCAATTTGTTAATGTTCCTTACAAAATGCATGAGCCAGTTATACTGACAAACACACAAAGCTCATTTGTAATTAGCAGTTAATTAGTAAGAAGGAACAGATGCTGTTAGAGTTTCAGCAGGCGAACAGGTTCTGTAAACAATGCTTATAAATCTAAATGAATTTATTAACCACAATACAACTGTCAACATTTTGCTGGCAACCATACAAAATATGGCGGAATCCCCAAAATGTCATTACAATGTATTAATAATCACGGTGACAGCCGGAGCCTCTCCAGTCAGTGGTTGGCTCTTGTTAGCCGCCTTCTTTGTCTAAGAAGCAGTATCAAAATCATTACTTTCTACCTTAATCTTTGATACACACTTATTAGTAAACTACACGAGCAAAGCTTAACATGATACAAACTTTTTGCAATGGAGACACGATTTTGTTGTAAAGTGCCCAGCACAGGGCTAAGCACCAAAGTCCCAGCCATCTCCAGGAACTCAGTGTCCATGGAGAGCCAGATATGAACCCCTTGTCCTCCTCGGAAAAGCTTACACAACGTGCCAGCTACTTTAACAAAGTAATGGACAAAGTGCTAAGAGGCCCACAGGGTGGGGCAGTGGGCAACTTACACCTCAGATGAATAAGAATGGTTACACAAGAGAGGGGCTACATGAGCAACATCTGAAAAGATGACAAGTTTACAAAACACAGACGTAGATGAAGGAAGAAAAACGCTCCAAGCTGAGGAGCCTCTCTGCCAGGTGTGGCAGCACAAGATACACTGTGTATTTGAAAACCAAGAAAGTTGATGGCTGGGAGCTCTGGGGAGACTATCTGAGACCAGACCAGGGTTGGGGTGTACAGGCTCTGACACCTTCCAAGGGTTATAAACATTTTGGTGCAGGCCATGGGGAGCCACTGAAGATTGCAACTGAAGGAGTGACAAAATCCAGCTGGCACTTACTGAAAGCTACCTCTGAGCTCAGCGTGGGAAACGCATGCCCGGGGAACACACTGAGGGCACCTGTCCATCCAGTGAGGCTACTGTGCAATCGGGGAGAGCAAAAGTAGAGAATCGGGAACGGGGGAGGTGTGAGGCCGAGGGGCGAGGATGCCAAGACTTTAAGCGAGACTCCCTGCTCTGGTTTCTGAAGTCATTCCTGTCCACTCCAACTAACGAATCACATGTTCTCGTGATGTTAGCAAAATGCTTCCGCAAGTTTTCTGCATAGAGTCTGTTCCACCTGCGTGGCGTGATTAAGACAGGCTCTCCCTATGGCAGAGGGGCCTCATCCTCCACCACTAGACCCGAGCCTCTAAGGGCCTGGATATTCCACACATGCGCCCAGAAGTCAACCTCACTTTCCACATCCACCTTTCTCCGGATGCCTGTCTAACTTCGGAGACTCTCGCTCTTGCTGACCTTTTATTTAAATGGCATTTTCCTATCCTCTCACGGGGACCTCGCAGGGACCTCCTTTCTAATGGTCTGCTAAGTGAACAACTGGTGAAAATGAATGTGAACTCCAGTGGATGGTACCCAAAAAACTGACATTCCAGGTAAAATATTTTCTCAAGGCAGGCATGGAATATGTAAATTAAGAGCCATAATTATGGGTTATGCTGCAGAGGAGGACAGGGCTCTGCCCTCCTGCTGCTCACAGACCGGGCTCTGTGGCCTGGGTGGGTGCACGAGGACAGGACGCAGCGGGGGAAGCAGTTATTCCAGCAGGCAGGGACAGAGGATGAACCAGGATACACCCTTTGAAAGGACAGAAGGCATATCTGAATCTGCAGTGTGATCTTGTCCCCATGTTCTGTCTGACACTGGTGTGTCCCTATGAAATAAAAGCCTGCACCTCATACTATGCGGAAGAACATGCAGAGACACAAACCCCATGGCCAGCACACCTCTGTGTACCTGTGGAAGTAGCTAAAGAAAACCTGGAACTTTTCTCCCACAAGGCACCACATGGGGCGCCCATCTGACCACGGTGATCACGCTGAGAACTAACCATCAGCTGTTCCAACCGGGCAAATGAGAACTCAGTGTGCCCGTGGACTGCATAGAGACACAGCACTGGATTTCGCCAGACTGGCCTACATGGAGGGGGCTGGCTCAACTAGGATGACAGTTAACATGTCAATACTGGACAAAGAGCCAGTGCTGCTACTGGCTTTTTTTTTTTTTACAAAAAAAATGTGAGTTTTACAAAATATGTGAGATAATTAGTGGGTCATGAAATTACTTTAGTGAGCTGCAACCAGAGCTTTAAAAAAAAAAAAAAAAAAACCAGATTGGAGGATTGGAGTGAGATGCACTTAGGATCATTTCATAGAACATTTGTTTCAGTTATACACATGTATTCATAAACATGCACACATGTAAGTGTGTGATCCCATTTTATAACCATATTTGTAGTGGGATCCCATTTGATAAATATCTTTAAAGGTTTACCAGTTATTGTTCCATTCATTCATTCGGGATATATTTCTTGAGCACCTTTTATGACATTCACTGTAACGAAAAGTCAAGATTTCTACCCACATGGAAGCCAGGATAGGTGGGATCCAGAGTGACATTAGCAAGCACTCTGAGGAGGGGGCGGGGTGATGAGGAGAGTCAAGGTGAGCATGAGGGCCTTGGAGAGTGGGGGTGGGTGGTTTAGGTGTTTCAGAGAGAGTGAACTTGAACAGGGGTGCAAACTATGGGGATAACCACTTTCATCCTGGAGTACTGGCATTAAGGGGTGACTTCTACGTTTTTGTCCATGTACATCTTCTAATTTTGCTACAGCAAGCAGGTATGATTTTTCTAAGTTTCTAAAATAATCCTGCCCTGTCCCTTCCTTCCTGCTCATTTGGCCACGTGTGGTCCCGCTCCCGTGCCTACGCCAGCCTCTGTCGTGGCCCTGGCATCACTCAGCACGGCGGCAGGCCGACGGTGCTTCCACAGCACTGCTCCAATGGAGAGCGCCTGCAGCACCCAACAGCCTGCTTGCTGCCTGCACCCTCGGGTCCTGCCAGTGCCCCTCCAGAGCCAGCTGCTCTCCGGCTTGTCTCTTCTACCATGCTCCCTGGCTCACCGGCCCCCTCCAGGTCTTGTTTCCTTGTGATGATGTACATGCCCTGGCCATCAGATGTCACACAGTCTCAGAGCCAAAGGCCCTGGTCCTCGGTCAGGGCAGTGGCAGAGGATACTAGCTGCTTTGGGGCTGCCAGTCTCCTGTTGTACACTCATGAAGCAGGGGAGAGACCAGCCTCCTTCTGGCAGCTAGGCTCTCCCACCCTCTCTCTCACACACATGGTATTGATCCATGGGATCTGGGTGCCAGCTGCCCACCTGCCTTCTAGTCTGTGGGTTTGAACATCCCTTCACTCCCAAGGCTCAGCCAGGCTTGGTTTGCACGTGGTCACTTCAGCCAATAAGCACAGCTGCCAACAGGCAACGACTTCCCTAGCTGTTAATTACAGATGTTATTAGCACTGACACAGGATGGGGAGAATTATCATTCATAAGAACTTCACAGATTCCTGGATGCTTATTAGCTGCAATGAAGTCTAGAATGTCTACAATATATAACTTATAAAATGTCACCCATTCTACATTTCATACAATGTATAAAAGTGCTTTTAAGAACTGTATATGCTCCTAAGCAATTATCTCATCGGAAGAGTTGATGATTTTGAGGATGTGCTCACTCAGAAGGTTTCACAGTGTAGAAATTGTTGAAATTAATTTTATCAAACTGTAAGGAAAATGCTAATGATATGTTACAGGCAAAATGAAGCCCAAGACCTACCTAAACAACATATCAATAAGCTGGAGAACCTTGAAGGAGAACAATTATTAGGAGGGAAAAGAAGAAAGATCAAGAAAACGAGAAGACAAGCTACAGACTGGGAGAAAATATCTATAAAAAACACATCTGAAAAGGAATATTATCCAAAACATACAAAGAACCCTTAAAATCAACAATAAGAAAGTGAACAACTCAATTAAAAAATGAGCAGAAGATCTGAACAGAAACCTCACCAAAGACGACCTACAGATGGCAAATAAACACATGAAAAGATGCTCCACATTATATGTCATTAGGTAACTGCAAATGAAAATGACCAGGGGATACCACTATACACACATTAGAATGGCCAAAGTCTAACACTGACAACACCAAGTGCTGACAGGATGTGGAGAAACAGAAACTCTCATCCATTGCTGGTGGAAATAAAAAGTGGTACAGCTACTCTGGAAGACTGTTTGGCAGTTTCCTGCAAAACTGAAAACATTCTTACCATACAATCTAGCAATCATGTTCTTTGGTATTTACACAAATGAGCTGAAAACTTAGGTCCACACAAAAACCTGCACCCAAATGTGTATTAGCAGCATTAATCATAATTGCAAAAAGTTGGAAGCACCCAAGATGTCTTTCAATAGGTGAATGGATAAACACACCATGGTACATCCAGGCAATGGAATATTACTCAGCACTGGAAAGAAATGAGCTACTGAGCCATGGAAAGACATGGAGAAAGCTTAAATGCATATTAGTGATATAAGCCAATCTGAAAAGGTTACACCTCTATCATTCCAACTCTATGGCATCCTGGCAAAGGAAAAACTATAGAGGCAGTAAAAAGATCTGTGATTTCAGGCGGTGGGGGAAATGAAGAGGTGGACCACAGGATTTTTAGGGCAGTGAAACTGTTTCTTATGATCCTATACACCGCAGTGGTGGATACAGCTCATTATACATTTGTCCAGATTCACAGAACACACTCCAACAGTGAACCCTAAAGTACAGATGGACTGAGGGTGACAGTGCTGTCAGTGCAGGCTCATCGGCTGCAACAGACTGTGGGGGACAATGGCGGAGGCTGTGGGTGTCCTTCTGCTCAACTTTGCCGTGACCTAAAACTGCTCTAAAAAAGAACGTTTACTGTTTTTTTTTTTTTTTTTTAAAGAAGAAGAGTGAAGCACTCTGGACCAATCTAGTTAAAGTCTCGAATGTGATTCCCTAACAGCTGTCATCAGTGCAGAGAGCAGCCAGCAGGTGCTGGTACCACTGTGACTCTCATGGGGTGTGCTCCTGGGTCATGCTTGTGACATCTTATAAAAGTAGCAAATGCCAGCCCCGTACAACGGCTTCCCAGGTATCGCCTACACCTGCGACACACAGGTGAGGAGGCGGCACCCATCAGCATTCTCACAGGAGTCCCCACCATCCAGTCCCATTCCTGCTTAGCTGCAGACAACTAACCAGCTAATAACTACTCTATTAGTTAGGAGTTGACTACTGGGCCTACCGACAGGTGGACCTGAGAAGAATGAGGCTATCAACAGCATCCAATAGAAGTAAAATCACTTAAAAATTCCGAGGAAGAAATATCTTATAAATGCATTTTCCACCTGCTGTGAGGAACACTAGGAGTGCTGTGTTAGTGGCTTGGGGCCGCACACCGTCCTGGGCTGGCCTAGAAACCTCAAGGTGCAACCCCCACCCCCTACCAACATTGCTTCCCCCAACAAATAAACTCCAAGCCCCCTGAGCCCCCAAAGTATCTCACAAAGAGTGCTCAGCATGCAACACTTCTGAACTGTAAACTTCCTGGTGCACACGGACCTGATGAGAGGGCACCCTCTATCAGAGGCTTTCTGATGGGATGTTTAATGAAATGAATACTTTGAAAAACAATGAATGGAACTGACGGCTTTGAAGTGCCTGCAATCAGAAAATTCACTGGCCTTGATTTGAAGAAAGACAGTGGACACTGCTAAGTGACAGCACACATCTATCTCCTCACTGACATGAGCAAAATATGAAGACAAATTCCATCTGACTTTTAAAATACAACGAATTTACTAAGTAAACCAATCCTCCACGGGCACTCAAACGGTGACTGTAGCCTGGCCCACTGGTGTCATGGGGAAGTCACACAGAGCCGACTCCTACCTTGTCTGCATCTTTTCTGGGCCTCCCAGTCTCGGATCACGGTGGCCTTGCCTTGGCAAGTACTGCCTTAGCCCTGGACAGTGTCTTCACAAATGAGAACGACTCCATCAGCCAGCCGCCAAAGCTCTGCATCATGCTGTCCCACCCCGACCCCCAGTCTTCCTTCTGACTGTGTATGTCCAGGTGTCCTGGTCCCCATGTGCCCCCAGTCTTCCTTTGACTGTCCATGTCCAGATGTGCCGGTCCCCAGAGACTACTTGTCACTTCCTGAAGCTCTGCCTGTCCCGGCCCACTGACACCCACTCTCTATTGCCAGTTCTTCACACCACCTTCTCTGGTCCTTGACCACCCCCTGCACGGCAAACTCCCCAGGGCCAAGCAGCCTCCTGTCTATCTGCGCCTTCCACAGAGCCCAGCACAGAGGGGCCACCCACTGCTGCAAGGATGGACGATACCATCAGGCTGGGTCACCAAGCCCCCATGGAGTTTGAAGAATTTCCCACAAAGAAGATGTAGAAATACAGAGAGTCCAAAAAATTAAAAATCATCTATCACCAACTTATAAAAAATCTCTTCGCAATATATAACAAGCTAACATCATGATTAATTTTTCACAAGTGAAGGAAAACTACCCAACTGGCTTCATCAGGAGTGGTGGTGAATTCTCTAGTGGCAATTCAGTATACATTTGGCCAGGATTGACTCAGATGTCAAATGCTGTGCCCTTTCTTGCTCACAAGGTCTCAGGGTTCTTAGGAAAGTTAGAACCTGGTTATTAACATGGCCACAGTCTCTACATCCTGAAAATACTTCTCCCTTTGGAAACACAGGTGACCGACTGCTAATGCTGCCCCATCACATTACGGACATAAAGAAAATGAATCCTTGATGACGAAAGTGGAATTCTGACAACGGCCACAGTGGTCCAGCTCTCTCTCTCTCTCCAGAAAACGAAATGCACCATCTAACAACAAGGCCAGGGGCCAGGGGATGCACAGAGGCTGCCTGCAAGTCCAAGGTCAGCCAGGCGCTGCCTCATGCCCCATGGCAGAACAAACAGGGAAACGCAGGTTGTAGACAAAGTCCTGGTGCCAATCTGCCCAGTCACTGGTGCCCATCTACCCAGTAGCCCAAATGTTGAAAGACAACAGGAATAAAAGAGAGACATCTGCCTTAGACTGAACTCTGTACCAGTCCACAAAACTGCATCTTAAGACAATGACACCTGACCCCCAAAACTGAGGCTCAGAACTCTGGACAGGCTGCGTCTGAGAGCTGTGTCTTACAAACGAGGACTCAAGGTCTGTTCTTTCTCGGAGCATCCATTGCACGTTCAAATGGTAAGGGCTGTGAGTCATGCAAAATGACACCCATTATCTTCGTGTGGTTTAGCGTGTCCTCAACGTGTCAACCAGGGACATCTCATGACATCCGAGCAACATGTGGACCCAACAGTCTTGGGATGGACTTTGAAAAGGCTGGGTGAGCGAAAGCTTCTGGAATTTGCTCCATGACATTCCACTCTTAGGGCAACATGCTCTCAAAGTAAGCTTGAGCCTAAATTCTACCCTGGACTACCCTCTACGTTTCCAATTCCAGAGGTTTATCAATTAAGACATACACACCCCTGGGCAAGACCTCCCCAGGTATTTTCTGCCTTCTCATAGAACAAACGTGACTCGTGGGCAGTTCCATACAATGCATAAGTGTTAGTTTACCACTCCCAGGCTGAGTGACATTGAGTAAGTGGCTCAACTTCTCTGAGCATTCATTCTGTCTGTGAAATGGGGATTATGCTATTATCCCTCCTAAGGTGGTTGTGAGAATTGAGATTTTTCATTACATAAATATTTACTGAGAGCTACTCTAGGGGTCTGGGATACACTGGTGACCAAAAAAAGAAATTCCCAACATGGGGTGCTTATGTTCCAGTGGGCTGCCACAGAAAGGGGTCGGCCTAGTGCAGAGGAATGCTCATTTCACTGAGTTCAAAATACTTCCTCTTCCATCAATTCCTGTAGCCAAGAAAGATACTCGAATTTAATCCCATTATTTCCCAGAAACATGAGAACAAGCCAGAAAACATTTGTCCCCAGGAAACCAAAATTCAGGATCCCCATCTGCTCTCATCTTTCTCTGGGATACTTGTTGTAAGTCTGTCAAAATGCAGCCCCTACTGCACCGTCAGGACCCACAGTGGCTGGGCAAGCCTCAGTCCTGGAGTCCCGCAGGCTGGCCTGCTCCAGAAACCAGCGCTTCCCAGAAGCCAGTGCAGCCTCCCTCGCAGCCCAGCCCTCCGGGCCTCTCCCCACAGGCATGCTAGCAACATCCCAGCAGGCGCAAAGCATTCCAGAGTGAAGGCAGCCACCCCTGAAAACACCCCTCTATCTTCAAGGCCTACATTTCTCCAGTATTCTGACAGCTTTTAGTACGGGCAAGCTATGTTAAAGGAAAGCCTCCCTGACTAACCTTGGAAGTGTAGTTCAATGCCGGTGACGATTCAGCCGTGGATGTTACTCTTAGGCGTGCCACCTGTGACTCATGCTCAGAGGGTAGAATGGGGGCCACAGCCACACCCTCTCCCCTTCCTTCCAAGGGCTGCAGCAAAGTATCCTGGCACACTAAGGAACTTTTAAAAGTCATTGATAAGGCTCATTAATGTATCAAAATGTCACCTACTCAATGTGAACCATTAAAAATTATTAGTACAAGTATTAGTAGAAATAGTCATTAAAGTGCAGAAATACCAGGAGAAATATCAAGTAGAAATATTCATCACCTTGGAGCTACGCCGGCAGCCCCCTTACCTCCTGCTCCAAGCCCTTCAGCCACGTGGGTCAGGAGCTGTGCCCTGTGGTCTCAGCCCTCAGGTCAAAGCCCTGAAACCTCAGGGTGAGCAAGGAGAGTCTGCGTGGAGAATCAATTTCACTCAAACACTTGGAGAAAAACAGCAATGTTAACTCACAAATAATAGAAAGTATATTCAAACACGTGATGCATGTATGAAGCAGAAAGTAAAAGTCACACATATTTTTAAAATAAGACGTTGCAGCTGTGTCCTCTCATCTTGAAGGGGATGTATTTCCTCTCCTCTGCAATCTGGGGAGACGCACAAGCCGCACTACAAACCCGCCCAGGGGTGAAGAGCTCCCCTCCTCCTTGCCCTGCTTAGGATGAGCCATGGATCTGGTACTGAATTCTCCAACACGCGGAGCCACCGTATCTGAAAAGTGCAGGTACTTTTCTCTAACTTAATCAAAGTTAGTGAACAATAGGAGGAAGGAGATATGAAATCATTGCTTTGGAGGCTGTTTGGCCAAATTTGTGTGTTTTAGAAACATTCTGTGGAGAAAAGTGACGAAGACAGCCAGCCACCTCCACAGGAACTTCGTGAAGAAACTCTCAGGGTGGCTAATGTTGCAAAAAAACATTTTTAAAAAGATATGGGGAAGCAAGCCGTGTGCAGTGGCTCACACCTGTAATTCCAGCACTTTGGGAGGCTGAGGCGGGTGGTAGGAGTTCGAGCCCACCCTGGCCAACATGGTAAAACCCCGTCTCTACTAAAAATACAAAAATTAGCTGGGTGTGGTGGCGGGCGCCTGTAATCCCAGCTACTTGGGAGGCTGAGGCAGGAGAATCACTTGAACCTGGGAGGTGGAGGTTGCAGTGAGCCGAGATCGTGCCACTGCACTCCAGCCTGGGTGACAGAGCAGCAAGACTCTTGTCTCAAAAAAAGGAGTGGGGGTGGGGGAAGAAAAAAAAAGATATGTGAAACGGAGCAACGGAGACGAAAGTAGAAAGAATGAACCTGCAAATGCATGGTTATGCAGCTGATGGTTACCTTTCCTTATCCCTGCTCAGGCCCTGTATCTGCCCAAGCAGCATCTCTGAGTTGGCAGAGGTTAGACTTTTGGGGCCCTTAATAAGCCATGCTCATGAGGAAAACTAGGTCACCCTATTTGGGGGTAACCTGAAAGGAATCTATGAGGGATAAAGAGCATGCCAACGCTCTGCCATCCAGTAAGCAAACGGTGTGTTCCTTCTCCTTCTACTGGAGCCAACAACTAAGCAGGTGGCTCTTTCATCACAGGGCATGGCGCCACGTTAGCATGGTTTCGCACACCTCCTCTTCCACGCTGGGTGCAGCAACAATTGAGAGGGTTTCTATTTTTTTTTTTCTGTTTTTAATTTTTTGAGTACATAGTAGGTGTATATATTTATGAGGCACATGAGATGTTTTGATACAGGCATGCAATGTGAAAGCAGCACACTGTGGAGAATAAGGTCTCCATCCTCTCATTTATCCATTGGGTTACAAACAATCCAATGACACTCTTTTAAGTTATTTTTAAATGTATAGTTATTACTGACTAAAGTCACCCTGCTGTGCTATCAAATAGTAGGTCTCATCCATTCTATTTTTTGGACCTAGAGAGGGTTTTAACATTTCAAATTAAACACTATTTTTTATTGTATATACTGACCAACATGCAAACATATTTGATAAATTAGTAATTGTGTTCAATGTATATTTAGTTCTAGCCATCTTAAGCTTTTTAATGAAGACTTTGCTGGATACATTTTTCTGCTTCACCTAACTGAAAATAAAATACTACCATCTACTTTTAAAAGCAGACACTGAAATAATGCACATGATTTTTGCCCCAGTTAAGCAAAAGCATAATGATATTTATATGCATAAGTGATCACGGGAAGGGCAATAGAAAAAAATAACGGACTGGCCTAAAATGAATAATAATAGTTTTCAAAAACTCGTTAATGCTGCTTTTCAGGCCATAAGCACGGCCAACAAGATATTAAAAATGTTTTCCTCAAAATGAAGCCACAGCCACCATGGTGGCAGCTGTTCAAAGGGTCGTTGGATCTTCCACTGGAAATTCAAAAGGATAACGGTTTCTGCATCTTTCACATTAGCAGCACCAATATGTGCATCATTTCAGTGTCCTCTCCCCTCGGTCAAGAAGGAAGGGGTCTGGAGACGGGAGCCTGCATCCAGGAAGCCTGGGAGGCTCCCTCTGACCCACGATGGCTGTCTCTCCTTCTATCCACACTCAATTTCAACAAGGAGAAACAGGTCTCATTTTCTTTCAATATCATTTTCAGTAGCAATTTGCACTTTTCTACAAATGGTCTTTCATATGGTTATTCTTGCTGAATTGCAAATAAGAAAAAGCTTCCATAAATCAAGTCTCCTGAATCTCCTCCACTGTTGATAAAAAAAGGAAGGTTTCCATTAGGGGGAAAGAAAAATCAGAAAAGCGCCTGTAAACGTGAGACATAAAAACATGCTTTCCTTTTCCTGAAATTATCCAAACCCGTGAATGCACCGGTTACCTTGATGGGTATACATAAAACAACAATATGCCTGAGAAAAACACAGTTGTGTTTTAGGTTGAGCATTTCTTGGTACCGCGAAAGAATGCAGGCCGTCTCATATAAGGGCACATCTCATCTACATGTGGAATATATTTTTATTGCTCTGGGAATAGTCACTGTTAACTGAATGCAACAACAAAAAGGGGGAAAAGGAGCATGCAGACCCGAGGGAATCACCAAATCAATTAACAAGTAATTCGGGAACTAATTTCTACATTGCCTCTTAGCACAAAATTGTATCTTTAATTTCTCCTGCAATAAGCATCTCAATGATGGTCCTAACACACACTGACGCTGTAAATGAGTTTACAAGTATCTCTTTTTGATTGGCTGTACAACATTATTTCTTCACAGTTCAATGCTACTGTAGCCAAGTGCTCTGAAATATTTAATTACACTGGTAGCTACCAGTTACCAATTTGCAAGACCCACAGTGAGTACAGTACATTTTAAAGAACTAGTAATCAACTAATTAAAGCCACTGTCAATCCCAGATACTCCAATTACAAACAACTGCTTTCGAATACACTTAGAGGATTTCTGTATTAAGGGGAAAGGGATCTCACAGAAGGCCTAGCTGTACCGTGGAACACGGGTGCCACCAATCGAAGACCCCTCAGCGTTGGCGCTATTTAGAAAACGTTTCTGCAGTAGTCCCTGGGTGTAGTCCTGTGCCTGAATTTTTAACATAAACAGAATGTTAAGTTATATATAAGTTAAGTTACATACTGGGAGCTCGGTGCTACATAAGGCCCTTCAATGTGAAGACCACTGGTTTTAGGATAGGCAGACCTGGGTTTGAATCTTATCTTTGCCTCTTCCAGGCTCTAGGAAATCATGCAAGGCGAGCCTCAGCTTTCTCATCTATAAAATGTGCAGAGGAATGAATGCCACCTAGCCTCACAGGACTGCTGGGAATCAATGAGCCTGCTAGATACATAAACACACAAAGGATGGTCATGTTGTCTCTTAGTAACCACATGCTTTCAAAGGTAATGCTTTTTATCTATTCCCTTGCATATTTAAAAAAACAGATAAAACAGCATGAAGCTTAAAGATTCAACTTAGAAAAAGCTGACCAGTCGCAATACAATAAAAATATCTGGGTCAAAACAGTAAACAACCACTACTTGTTATTTCTATTTTTTTGAGAAGTGCACAAGGAATAAGAAAATGCTGGTGTCAGTGGTGGAAATGGTACTGGAAGAGCATCTGGAAGGACCTTGAGCAAGCTCTTTACCCTTCCTGGGACTCAGTTTCCCTAGGTATAAGATGAGGGTCCCTTCTAGCTTTAAAAACAGCATGTTTGTTGGGCAGTTCACTGTAATTCTGGTGCGAGCACAGGGAAAAGCACTCTAGAGCTGGGCGTGGTGGCTCGCACCCATAGTCCCAGCTACTCGGAGAGGATAAGGCAGGAGGTTTGCTTGAGGCCAGGAGCTCGAGACCAGCCTGGGTGATACGGGGAGGTGGGGAAAGACAGCACTCAGTTATTTGGGCAACAATGGGAAGATGGTAGGGAAAAATAAATCTTAGGGTTAATCTATAGAATTATAGATTATAATTGTTAACATAATACATAATGATATGTTACATATCATAATAACATGTTAATATGTTACATAAATTTACATATGTACACACATACTATACATAGTTTTTGTTCTCTGAGAGAAACTACTTGGAAAAAATAGGTAAGATTCTGAGTAACAGAATTCCCAACCTTCATGAATGAAATTACGAGATGAAACCCAAAGAACACATGTTGGTTTGTGGCAGCGCCTTTGTGAAGCTTCTTTACCTAAACAGCGAGCCACACCTGGATCACAGTAGCACTTGAATTGCATCTGTTGCTTGACAAACATATTGGCATGGCCTGAAGGGAAATCAATAGCCATCCATCCTTCCCTCGGATGTGCTGGGTATCTACCGCATGCCCACCCGTCGGGGTCCACGACCAGGAAGCCCCTCTTGTTCAGTTCTAGAACTGCCACCCCATTCTCACCAGATCTATCTGGGAAGGTCCACTCACACTCACCACTCCCAGCTCGGGCTCACTCAGGGCTTCTCCAGCTCCTCTTCACCACTGAGCTTCTTCAGCTTCTTCCCATTCCCAAGCTTCTCCAGCTCCTCCTCACCCTTGGGCTTCTCCAGCTCCTCTTCACCACTGAGCTTCTTCAGCTTCTCCCCATTCCCAAGCTTCTCCAGCTTCTCTTCACCCTTGGGCTTCTCCAGCTCCTCCTCACCCTTGAGCTTCTTCAGCTTCTCTTCATTCTTGAGCTGCTCCAGCTTCTCTTCATTCTTGAGCTTCTCCAGCTCTTCCTCACCCTTGAGCTTCTCCAGCTCTTCCTCACCCTTGAGTTTCTCCATCTCCCCCTCACCCCTGGGCTTCTCCAGCTCCTCCTCGCTCCTGGGCTTCTCCAGTTCCTCCTCACCTCTAGGTTTCCCCAGGTCTTCTTTAAGTAACCAACAAGTTTCAAAATCATCCTCATTTACTCCTTCCCTCCAATACAGGAAGAGTTAAAAAAGCACTTTAAATTTTATTTAAGACTGTACACATTTATCAGAAGAAAATAGTTTTCATTTTATAAAACCTACTTATTATTGAGTACAACGTCTATCACTAAAAATGATCAGCACAGCCTCAAAGTATCTCCCCGAAGACATTCATCCCTAACTTTATCAAATGGAAAAATAAGAACTCAAGGGAGAAATCCAATAGGTCTCGCCTTGTCCAAGTGACCAAGGTCAGTGTTCCCAGGAATAAGACAGGTGGCTGTCAGGTGCCTCTGGTACAGAGCACCAGGAAGGGTGCAAGGCTTCTGTGGTTTTCCTGCCAGAAATGTAGATCTTCTATCTATTCAGGAGATGACATCAGGCAATCCAAATTAAAGAGCTTTCTACAAAGTAACTGATCAATATTCCTAAAATAGTGTCAAGGTCATGGACATAAGACTTGAGGAATTTTCTCAGGGTGGAAGTGGCAAAATAAATAAAGCAATTAAGTGAAAGGAGGGATCCTGGATTGGATCCTGAGATTAAAAAGAACATTTCAGGAAAAACTGGTAAAATGTGAAGAAGGCCTATAGATAAGTTACTAGTACCTTACCAATACTAATTTCCTGGTTTTTATAGCTGTACTAGTTATATAAAAATGTCCACAGTGAAGGAAGCTGGGTGAAGGGTATATGGAGTCTTTGTATTATTTTTTGCAAATTTCTTTCAAATCTAAAATTATTTCAAAACATGAAGTTAAAATTTTTAAAGTTCCCTGTAGTCCCGGCTACTCGGGAGGCTGAGGCAGGAGAATGGTGTGAACCCGGGAGGCAGAGCTTGCAGTGAGCCAAGATCGCACCACTGCACTCCAGCCTGGGTGACAGAGCGAGACCCCGTCTCAAAAAAAAAAAAAAAAAAATTGAAGTTCTGCTTTAAACCTACCCCAGTTCACTTGTTACTGCGTTCCTATTCATCCAATTTAAAGCCACATGTATACATATTTTCATGCTCCAATTATTATACACAGTTTTATGTTTTATGCTTTCACTTATCTCTAAAGGGTATTCAAATTGGCCATTTTAATGGCTGTACATCCTGGTACTATTCAGTTAGCAATTACTAATTTAACTTCTTGCTTGTTGAAAATTTGTAGCTCCCAGAATTTTAATATTATAAATAACTGCTATACACACTGTTTTACACTAAAGGTCTTTTTCCCTTTCTCCTAGTGAATTATTCCCTTGAGGATAAACTTCTAGAAGACAGATCACTGGGACAAAGTGAATCAAATTTCTTATGTCCATCATGTATGACTGTTAGATTGCCCTTCAAGAAGACTGGGTCAAGTTTCAGGACTATAGCAGTGCATTTCCACAACTCTGCTCTTCCTTATTTTTCTTAGAGTAGGATTTTATCATTCTTTGTTAATGATACATTTTAGTATACAATGATTTCATATTGTCTTAAATCTCCAATACTTTAGATATGAGCAAAGGAAGGCCAACACACCCAACCAGAGCTATCTGCTTCTCGTGGTTCCTCATTGCCTAATCATTACTTGGCACATTACTCGTCTCTCCACTAGTATTTCTGTGTAGCTGTTTTATATATTTGTATAAAATTAATTTTTATGTACACTAAAAATATAAACATTCTTGTTTTTAGCATGAATGAAATCACAGAGGCTGTGGCTGATAGAGACTGAACAATATGGTAAAAACTTGGCAATTACAAAAACAGTCCGGTGTTACTAAAATTTGTGGGTTTAATCTTGAAGAATTCCTTATAAACAAAATTTTGTATGTGAAGACATTTATTTAAACAAATCTTCTTCTGGATAAATACTCAAAAGTAGAAAAGTTGTACAAGAAACCAGTTTTCTGAAATTATTTTGGGTCACTGGCAAAAGCTTTCTTCTTTGCAGATTAAAAAAATGTGACCACTTCTGTGTAACCTAAACATACTATCTTAGATACATAAAAGTTAAAGAATGTTGACTTAAAAATTATAATGTTCCTGAAAATACAATTTAATGAATACTGTAACTTCTCCAATATAACATATTCTTTTAAACAAACAAAATCTGTTTTGGTGAAGAAAAGACATTTTAGCCACGCATGGTGGCTGTACTCCCAGTACTTTGGGAGGCCGAGGCAGGCAGATCACCTGAGGTTGGGACTTGAAGACCGGCCTGAACATGGAGAAACCCCATCTCTATGAAAAATAGAAAATTAGCTGGGCATGGTGGTGAATGCCTGTAATCTCAGCTAGCCGGGAGGCTGAGGCAAAAGAATCACTTGAACCTGGGAGGCGGAGGTTGCGGTGAGCTGAGATCGCACCATTGCACTCCAGCCTGGGCAACAAGAGCAAAACTCCGTCTCAAAAAAAAAAAAAAAAGAAAGAAAGAAGAAAAAAAAAAGCCATTTTACACAATTAACCTATGCTACCTAGTGCTACTACCACCAGCAACCTGCCTACCAAATACCCTCCCTGCTGTGTACACAACGCAGGAGAAAGAACATGTCTCGGAGTGTGCACCATCCGGAAACACGTGGGAAAGGAGGCGTGAATGATGCACATAGCTATAAACAGGGAAGATAGAGAGCAAGATCCCAAGATCGGACGGGCATCGGAGGAAAGAAAAGGAAAGAGCACACATCTCATTGGTTTACCTGGAACAGAAGGCATCTGACACGGGCCTCACGGCTAGGAAAATTTTCACGAGCACAGATTAAAGGGGCTGGTACGAATCAAAGAGTCATCTATTTGTGAGGCGGGAAAGGAAAGAAGCCCTAAGTGACTCCATGTGCCTAGAAAGGGGATCTCAAAGTGTGGCTCCTGGATTAGCAGCATCAGCATCACTTGAGAACACAGAAATACAATCTCCTGCCAGGCGCAGTGGCTCACGCCTGTAATCCCAGCACTCTGGGAGGTGGAGGTGGGTGGATTGCCTGAGCTCAGGAGTTTGAGACCAGCCTGGGCAACATGGCAAAACCCTATCTCTATTAAAAATACAAAAAATTAGCCAGGTATCGTGGTGTGTGCTTGTAGTCCCAACTACTTGGGAGGCTGTTATGAGGATCAATTCAACACGGGAGGCAGAGGTTACAGTGAGCCAAGATATTGCACCATTTTATTTCAGCCTGGGTGTCAGAGTAGACTCTGTCTCCAAAAAAAAAAAAAAGAAAAGAAAAGAAAAGAAATACAATTTCCCGATACTCGATTCTGACCTACTCAGGCAACCTCTGGGCCCACAGGGACTCCGATGAACACTGGAGCTCAAGGACCTCATCTGATCTTGATCCAGGTGCCAGACAGCACAGACTTTCCAGGACAGCCCTGCGTAAAACAGCCTGCCTTGCTGGTGCCCCACCAGGAAAGTACACTGTGTACTTGATGCTTGATCTTGCACAGAAAAGATGGCCATGGGCCGGGCATGGTGGCTCACGCCTGTAATCCCAGCACTTTGGGAGGCCGAGGCAGGTGGATCACCTAAGGTCAGGAGTTCGAGAACAGCCTAACATGGTGAAACCCCATCTCTACTAAAAATACAAACCTTAGTCGGGCATGGTGGCATGTGCCTGTAATCCCAGCTACTTAGGAGGATGAGGCAGGAGAATTGCTTGAGGTCAGGAGTTCGAGACCAGCCTGACTAACATGGTGAAACCCTGCCACTACTAAAAATACAAAACGTAGCTGGGCATGGTGGCCCATGCCTGTAATCCCAGCTACTCGGGAGGCTGAGGCAGAAGAATAGCTTGAATCTGGGTGACAGAGGTTGCAGTGAGCTGAGATCATGCCATTGCACTCTAGCCTGGGTGACAGAGCAAGACTGTCTCAAAACAAACAAACAAACAAAAAAAAGACGGTCATGGTGAGCACAGATGGCATGGGGCGGGAAGGGGATGCAACAGCATAGGCTTTTCTAGAATGTTTCAGAGAGGACTCCTGGATTTGAATCCCAGCTCTTCCACTCACGTGGAGCTATATAACATCGGTCTCATACCTTAACATCCCTGAACCTCAAACTCTTCGTCTAGAACAGAGTAGCAAGTTGTATCTTAGGTTGGTGGAGAATTAAATGAGGTCCTGTGATGAAGCAACCAACGTAATGTACAATATGTACTCGGCATGTAACTGCCAGCATTCTTATTACAAGTCTCACACGATAATAATGTGGTTGATTCTGATGAGTTTTTAAGCAGAAGGAAAGGTTAGGGAGTAAATATTGCAGGGAGCAGATCGGATTGAACCAGGAGGACTAGACTTGGGACGGCCCTAAGATGTTAATAGTATTTTGAAATGTTTCTGTTTTCACCAGTCTGCAAACATTAACTATAGTATTAGGTAATTTATGGACAATGTCTAACTAGGAACATATTTCCCAAACTAACAAACTCTTCTTTTTTTTGAGACAGAGTCTCACTCTGTTGCCCAGGCTGGAGTGCAGTGGTGCGATCGCAGCCCACTGCAACCTCCCCGTCCCGGGTTCAAGCGATTCTCCTGCCTCAGGCTCCCGAGTAGTTGGAATTACAGGCATGCGCCACCGTGCCCGGCTACTTTTTGTCTTTTTGGTAGAGATGGGGTTTCGCCATGTTGGCCAGGCTGGTTTTGAACTCCTGGCCACAACTGATCTGCCTGCCTCGGCCTCCCAAAGTGCTGGGATTACAGGCATGACGCACCGCACCCAACCTAAAACTAACAAACTCTTCTATGCCTACTTTATAATATTTACATTCCTATATATTTACTTATAGCTGTCAGCTTTGGTACCAAGGAAAGAGTGTTTTGGTTTCAAAACATGGCCTTCAGTGAGTCAGTTAAAAGTAAATTCTTTTACTTTTAGATGTAGGAGAGGAAAAAGTGTTTTTGCTACTCAAAACTATCTGATAAAAATGTCATTGTCTGATGACTTTCCTGAAAAGCCTCAAAAGGGGACTGTGAAGACTTATTAAGCCGCCACCTTCTTTAGAACTTGTGGAGCCAAAGGCTCTGGAGTAGGCAACAAGCAGAACCATGTCATAGGGGTGTGTGAGGGAGAACCACAGCGACAGTCTTGGGACAGAGTGCACAGTCTGGGCCTTCCTGACCATTTCTGGGAAAATGTGTCTGGTCTAAGAGCCATGCCAAGTGCCATAAGTTCCACGGTTGCTGTTTCTAAACAAAACATGAAATTCTGGCAGCCAGTGATTTCTCTCTGCCAGGAGAGGTGCTTGTTTGGTTGTCAAAGCCTCTATTCACAAAGGACAAAACTCAGCTTGGGAGAAGTCCTATTCCACAGTCCAAGTTCCTACACGAGGAGAAACTGAGTCTGCTGTCAGGAACTGTTAAATAAATACTGCAGAACTGAAATAAGACTTTAATGATACAATTTCCTTAGGAGTCTTGGTCTTGGTAGATATCTTTTTTTTTTTCTTCTTTTTGAGACAGAGATCAAAAAAGGAGTCCAGTAGCATGATCTCGGCTCACTGCAACCTCCGTCTCCTGGGTTCAAGCGATTCTCATGCCTCGGCTTCCCAGGTAGGTGGGATTACAGGTGCACACCACCATGTGTAGCTAATTTTTGTATTTTTAGTAGAGATGGGTTTTTGCTATGTTGGCCAGGCTGGTCTTGAACTCCTGGCCTCAGGTGATCCACTCACCTCGGTCTCCCAAAGTGCTGACATGACAGGCGTGAGCCACCACACCCAGCTGGTAGACATCTGTTTCTATGTAGTGTTTGCAAATGGCCAAAGACTGTGGGAAGTAGTCAGAGCTACTTGTCACGTGTGGGGATTTTAACCTTTAAGGTGAAAGGCCTCCTAAGTCTGACCTGGAGTCTCTGCACTCCTGCTCTTTCTTTCCTTTTTTTTTTTTTTTTTTTTGAGACGGAGTCTCGCTCTGCCACCCAGGCTGGAGTGCAGTGGTGCGATCTTGGCTCGCTGCAACCTCCGCCTCCCGGGTTCATGCGATTCTCCTGCCTCAGGCTCCCAAGTAGCTGGGACTACAGGCACCCGCCACCACGCCTGGCTAATTTTTTGTATTTTTAGTAGAGACGGGGGTTTTACCATGTTAGTCAGGATGGTCTCGATCTCCTGACCTCGCGATCCACCCACCTCGGCCTCCCAAAGTGCTGGGATTACCGGCGTGAGCCACTATGCCCAGCTGTATCTTTCTTTCAGTAATGAAGTGAGTATATAGCTATCTTTTATACCTGGGAGAAATTAACCAAAACACAAAACACCACAGCCACTGTCAAAGCAACCAGTGACACAACTGACGGACAGTGAGCACCTGCCCAATCCACAGGCTCTTCCTGAACATCCCCAGCTACAGGCCCAACATTTACCCGCGGCCCTGAGGAGCTGCCTCCGCAAGGGAAGGGAGCTTTGGTTTTCAAAACCAGCCTGAAGGAGGTCTCCCATGGACGGGACTGAAAGGCCTCAACAGCTGTAAAACGCACTGCACAGAGTGAGAGCTACGCACCTGGTATAAGGATTCGTTCCAGCAACAGTCTTATTTCAAATGACAACAGTTTACCACAACTTAGGAAAGTTTCAATGGAAACCCCCAAGTCGGAGTACTTTGAGTCTCGTATGCTTCCTATCTAACGCATGCGGCCTCTTCAAGTAAGTTTTTCTTTTTTATTCTCAAATATGTTGGTTAGAAATCAAGTGGCCTTACCTTATATGACCAGGAAGGCCTAAGCTAGGACATTCCAGATGGAAAGAACATGGCAGATGGCTCTCGGTCACACAGAGCTCAGCTCCCGTCCCAGCTCTGCTACTACCCAGCTGTGTGTTACAGGATGAAATACGTCCCCCCAAAATTTGCATGTTGAAGCCCTCACCCGCAGTGGGACTGTATTTGGAGACAAGGTTAAATGACGTACAGATGGGACCCTGATTCAATGGGACTGGCATCATTATAAGAAAAAGAGACACCAGGCGTGTGCACATGGAGTCCAGGCCACGGGAGGACACAGCAAGAAGGCAACAGGCTCAAGCCAAGGAGAGGGCTCTCCAGAAACAGGCTCTGCTGGGCCTTGTCTTGGACCTCCAGCCTCTAGAACCGAGAGATCAACTTGTGCTGTTTAAGCCGCCCAGGCTGCAGGATTTCATTAGGGCAGCCCTGGGGACTCATGCGCTGTGTGGGGCTGCTGGGCACGCCCCACTGTCTCCCCAAGCCTTAATGTTCTCATATGGGAAAGGGGAGCGTGGCACTTCCTAGGTAAGGGGGACAGCAGTGGAAAGCTCTAGGACAGGGCACTCGGAAAAGTGGTCAATAAACGCTGGTTACCGCCAAGACTCTGGTACATCAGAACCCCCATCATCTCAAACCCTATGGGGACAGAGTAAGAAGGGGAGGGAGATCCACTCCGTGCGGCCATGAGTCTCTAAACCCCCAACACCACTGCTCCTACAAATAATATGGGGAAATCAACCCTTCTCTGCAGAGCAGCCAGAGTCCTTGGCAAGCAGATACCCTGGGCCTTTAGGACCCTCCTCCCCACTTCCTCCTGAACCCCTCCATCCGCAGCTCTGCTGTCTGCCTCCCTCCTGTTCTGCCACCACCTACTTGTATGTCCCAGTCCAGTGGGATTGTCCCCACCTCCATTTCCCTGTCCTTCCCTCACCCTCTCCTGTCTAACTCAGTAGAATTCACCACTCCTTGGCGTGACACCCGTCCACTTGCATTGGGGGTCATGGGATGGGATCGTCAGTACACACCTGAGCTGAGCCTGGGGGCTGCAGACACTTTCTGCCTCCTCCAGCCGTAGCAGAGGACCCAGGGCATGTCACACAAGGACCAGTGAACAATTGTTACTAGTTGATCAAATCTGATAAGAAATAATTCCAGAAATAAGTATCTTTTTGATTCATCAAGACAAAAACAAGTTCTGGCAACATTAACTTTGAGAATCTTTCCTCTACTTGTAGGAGAGCTTGTATTTCTGAGCTCAAGGGGAATTGGATTTCACCACCACTGTTCAACTTTTAAAGAAAATAAGCACTATTTTGCTGAAACAAATCACTTAGATATTATCCCGGTGAAATGGGAGGCAGGCAGGGAAGTGCTGGGTAGAGAAGGGCAGGCTCCCTGGCAAGAGCTCCGCCCTTGGGCCTGTGCCCACAGACATAGGCGAGGACAGGCATTCCAGTTCTTGCGCCCAAACACTGCATTTTCCAAGACCACCCTGGCCTGCCACTCCCCCCATCCTGTGCCTATAAAAACCCCGAGACCCTAGTGGGCACACACACAGGCGGCTGGG
This sequence comes from Homo sapiens, assembly GCF_000001405.40. Taxonomy (NCBI): domain Eukaryota; kingdom Metazoa; phylum Chordata; class Mammalia; order Primates; family Hominidae; genus Homo; species Homo sapiens. The sequence goes on along the minus strand of NC_000002.12, from coordinate 235,814,050 downwards.
CGTCGAGAGAAGCACACCGGCAGAAGAACACACCAACAGACTCTGGCAGGCCACCAATGGCAGAACGATGTGGGTGACGTGGAATTCACCCGGGGGCGGTAGGAGGAGAGTCCGGCCACTGAGTGGCCCGACTCCAGGGTAAGACCACCTTCCCACTCCATCGCCCTTCTGGCTACCATCCATCTGCTGAGAACTACTGGCACCACTCATTAAACGTTGCACTCATTCTCCAAGCTGACGTGTGATCCAATTCTTCCAGTACACTAAGGCAAGAACCCTGGGATACAGAAACCCTCTGTCCTTGCAATAAGGCAGAGGGACTAACTGAGCTGATGGTCACAGGCTGCCTGTGGACAGCCAAACCGAAAAGCACACTGTAACACACGCCCACTGGGGCTTCAGGAGCTGTCAACGCCCAGCCCTAGACCATGCTGTGGGATCGGAGCCCATGCTCCCCACAACCCGCCTGACTGCCTGCCCGCCCCCCTAGGGGTCTGAGCTGCGGGACACCGAAGAAGTGAGCCACAGCCCATCACATGCCCTGCGAGGGAGATAAAGGAACTTTTCCTGTTTCACCAGCTCTGGACAATGGATACACAGAGGACACACTGAGTCTTAAAACGAACTTCCGTTCTTGGAAACGCCATTCTGTTAGCATGGCAGTTGGTCGTGTATGATGCACCTAGGGCTACACTACTTCCTGTCACCCTCATGCAACCCTCACGGCCAAGGGAAGTATTCTTTTCGATTGCTTTGCAGATTTGCATATAAATGATGGATTTTGTGCTTTGGGTAAAGTAATTCCAAATAAACATTCTGCACATCTTGTGAGGAACATATTGTCACCCACCAACATTGCCAAAAGGGCGGGGATGTAGGGGAGGGTGTGCCCGATATACTCAAAGACGGATGACTGTCATTTCACGTGTAGGCCTCCAGATATTCTGGACTGTTCTGGCAATGACAGTATGAGATTTGAGGAGTCAAAGTAAAAGCACTGATACACCTGCCTGGCTATTACATTAATCATCGTAACTGGGCTGGGTCTGTTGTGAACCGGGCTGAATATAAGACTCTCAGGGAGTTGTTCACCCAAGTGAGGTCAATTAGCTTGCAGGGCACGGCAGTTCACTCTGTAAATTATCTGCTTCTGGGGAGCAAAACGGGCCCCTACGCCCAGGCAGAGCTGATTTGCCACGTGGGTGGACATCGTACGCTCGGCGGGCCTCTCGCTCACCTTGGTTCCTCAATGGTGGGGCTTAATAAACGTGAGCCGTCCTCCTGTAAACCTCTGCCTACGCAGAGAGGCCGCAGGCCTGTGGAGCTCCTCTCTCCATGCCCCTGAAGGAAGGGCACTGCCATTCCTCTCCATCTCCTCCGATCTCTATCAAGTTTCAGCGTGGTCTTCACATTTGTTTCCTCCATGAAAGCAGCACACGCCGGTGAAGCAGTCAACCAACTCGCTGTGAGCAGTGTCAAAGTTTCAGGAGCTGTTAACGCTGGCGTCATTAGGCTGCTTTCATTCTGCCCATGCCACACAATACACCCCTCGTGTTGATCCCAGGTACCAGACAACACAGGTCGGTGGCCTGCGGCAGGCTGGACGAGGGGATTAACTCCAGAGGTTCCTTTCACTTAATTGACAATTGCCTCTTTCTACTCAACTGAGAATCAAAACACGCACAGCTTCAAAACAGTTCACAGGCCCGATGGCGGGTGCGGCGGGCTTGCCCCGGGCAGGCCGGCTCTTCCTCTGACAGCTTGGGAAGGCTTTTCCCACGGCTTCAGATGGCTGCTGGGAAATGACTGCTCTCACAGCTGACTCCCTGGAGGTGGCCATGACATCAGGGTTCAAGGTCAAAATGAAGACTTAAAAAAAAAAAGTTTTTTTGAGGGATGTTGCTCCTTTGGTGCATCCACCGAGCATCACAAAAGGGAGCGTGCCTGATGGAGGGTCCCCCGCAGCGCCCTGCAGCCCAAAGAACTGAGAAACAGCACCTTGGCGGGCATCGCAGAGGACGGACCAGAGTGGGTGGCCTGCAAGAAAAGGATCCCCAGCATGTGACCACCGCAGCTGTCAACAGGGCTGTTGCCTCCTGATGCACACGTCTTTGCCTACCTTTCTTCAAGGCAAGCAGAGACCTGGTTCTCTCAAAACATCAGCCAGGTGATCAAATAAACACAAAACTTCTGAAAGTCGTAGGCAATGTTTTTCCCATGAATCTCTAAGAGCTCTCTGTGAGTCCTGCTAGCACTTAAATCCTTAAACACAAAACCAAGAGCGTGAGACACCCTGGCCAGAGCTGGGCCGGGCCGGGGGCGGCCCCTCTGAGGGGTCTGCATGACAGGGAGCGGTCGTCCCCATGGCCTGAGGTACAGAGCATGCCCCGCACACTTTCTGTATTTCTCATTCCTGACTAACCCTAGGAATGCCAATCCCCTGATGGTCCAACCACGAACCAGGGACGGGGAATAATCAGTAAATACAGTTGGCCTGTCTGAAAAAGGAAGAAAAGACTCCCAAATGGAAGCATGATAAGGCAAAGATGGTATCTTCTATTCTTTTTTATTCTCTGAAACCTCAGGAGACAACACAACGTCTCAAAAGATGTAGTGAGGAGGTTCTGTGTGTCCCCACCAAGTAAAAATGATACGCTTTCAATTGCGTAAGCACGATGAGATAAACTGAGCATGATTTTCAAAAAATTCAAATCCTTCTAGCGTACGCTACCAAGTACAAGGCAAGTCTTGAACGGTTTATGCAGCCTGGACATCAGAGGCAGGAGGGGATGGACAGGTTCTCTGGCCGGGGCTCTGCGAAGGGCACGGAGGAGGCCAAGGCGTATGACTGTGTATCTGTACTCAAATATAGAGATTAAAAAATGCTAAAGAGAAAGAAAGAAAGGAGAGCACACAGCTGCTGTCCCCCAAACAGACCTCCCATCTGCCACCCACGATTTGCATGTCACCTTCTCCGGGCTCATTTGTACTTCATTAACTGCCATTGACTTAACAAGATTTATGCAAATGGCACCATAGGAGCTCCCTAACTCCCACTGCAATCAAGTGATTATGTATGTACAACTCTCCACAGCAATGAAAAATTAATACGTGACAAACCCACTTGCCGCTGAGCCGGGCCTCTGGCTTTTTCTTGCTTTGCTTCTTAATTTTTACTCGAATAGACCTTATTAGTAAAAAAAAAAAAAAAAAAAAAGAAACCGAATTCTCTGAACCAACCTCCTCCAAGACCCCAGAAAGGACACCAAAGGAGAAGTAGACCCAGGTCCACAAGAAATGAAGTTATAGTCCAGAAAATAAGTCATATTCTTGATGGGGAATCTTTAATCGGGAGAAAGAAGAAAGAGACAACGTCATTGACCATCATGATTTGGCAAGCTCCCACACTGAGGTGGGGGGAGCCTGGATGCTTACAGCGAACGAGGTATCAGATGGAAGTGAAAGGGGGTTAACATAAGCCACTGCGACACGTACTATCTGTAAACTCTGGGGTTAGATTGCAGAGAGTGTTGAAGGCTGCCTTGCCTGGATCCTAAACCATCCATTACAAGACTCCTGCTGGGGGAAAGAAGAGTCTGCATTAGCAACTCCACGCAGGTTGCTGGGGTTCTAAAACGACTCCTCTGCCATTAGGCAAAGGTCCATTAGCTGGTGTGTGAGGCTTCGATCATGCAGACCCGAGTCTTTCACATGGGCTGAGCATTAAGACACAGTTCTCTGCAGCAAGTGACAAGAGCAGAGAACATGTTTGCGGCAAACACGGTAAGGATGGGAATGGAATGACGCCTCCCACCCGGAGAATGGCTGAGCAGGGCTGTGTTATCCCTGGAGAAATATGTTGCTGCAGGCAGTCTCAGAAGTTTCTTTATACAGTCGTAAGATATTTTTGTCTCAGGTCGTGGTTCACTTACTTAATTTAAAACATGTAACTTTGCTTCCTAAGCTTTCTGAAGGCTTTTCATCAATGGGCAGTGGAGAGAGCGCAGACATAGGGGCAGAGAGGCCTGGTCCGAATCCTTGGACCTACTTCCTAGCTGCCTGGTATAGGGCCCTCCCTATCTCTGTGTTTAAAATAAGGAGAACACAGCTACCATAACTGTGGCAATGTCGAGGATTAAGTGGGATCTTGTATGAACAGCACTTACATAATAAGCACTCATTTAATTGTTCATTTATTCAACAAATAATTTGGTTGAGTTTCTAGAATATGGCCATCAGGCTCCATCCCCTGCAATCCTCTCATTTCATTTCCACACTGAAGTCATCACACCAGGAAGGTCAGGAATTCAGGCTACCTGAAGTGATCTATGTTCCTTTAGAAACAAGGGTACACACAGGGATGTGAGATAGATCGATACAACCGTCTGCAAACCCACATCAATCCGTCCGATGCACAGAGAGGCTTTGACAAGGGTGCCCCGATTTAAAAATCCAGTTTTGCTAACATTTAAAAATTCTCTGTGGAACCTCCACATCTAACTGCTTCAAGGGCTTCAGACATCATCCAGTTCCCCATTTTACAGACGAGGCACCCGAGGCCTGGAGAGCTGGCCACGGGGGCACTTTGCTGGGACAGGTGTGGATGTGAGGAGGGAGCTGTCTGTGGCTGCAAGAGGGGGACAATTAGGAGGGACAAGGAGCTCCCTGTGCCCAGGAGTCACCGGGAAATCAGACCATGATTTAGATTTCAACGAGATTCCTTTGAACATTCACAATCGAAAGGCATCCAAGGACTGGATAATACTCATTTTACGCTTGATGGTCAGTTCCAATCTGCACACATATTGAAAAGCTAGCCTGCAAAGCTAGCCCCCTCCACAGATGAGCAGGTACAAATTGAATGAAGGTTCCAATTATACCGGGGGCCCACCTGGCTCGCACAGAGGGACTCCCGCCAGGCTGGTGAGCGCTCCCACCCAAATCACCCAAATCAACCACAGACAGGCATTAAGAAAACAGTCTATTATTAAGTTTTAATATTCCCCAAAGGAAATGTCCTGGTACCAGTTTATGAAAAAGAATTATTTTTATAACTGATTTTTATAATTCCAGTTGAAAAAGGTATCAGTGGCATAAAAATTACACAGTAACATTAGCTTATGCAGAGTTAGGTTATAAATAAAGGCACCAAGAAAGAATAAGCAACTATGTGCACGGACCTCTGAAGTGTTTTATAGTGAAAACACCACCCATCATCAAAGTGGAAAGTTCTGTTGTTGTTGTCTTTGAATATATGGAGGGAAGAGAATTTCTCCTAAAGGTGCCCCGGGCCAATCCATATATTTGCGGCCCAGTAGATGATCATGTATCTTACATAGATGCCTGAGGGCCTTGGTGATGACCTGCAGGCCTCCTTCTTCTCTGCCTGGCAAAGGCGTGCCCTGTGAGCACGGAAGGAGAAAGCTTGCTCCCGGGCAGGGTCGGTTACGCTGTGGGCAGAGGTGTGGTTTTTGCAGTAGTTCCTGGGCTCCTTGGGAAACTCTGTGGACTCCCTCCTCTGGTCTCACCCAAGATGCTGTGGCCCTATTTAACCCCTTCCTCTCCCACATCTTCACGCTGACACTGGCTGGCCCCTCTCTAAGGCTGCGTTCCTATTTGCTTCAAATGGACGAAACCTGCACCACCAGAATAATCCAACTCCATGTGTGGAAAGACTCTCCCCTTTTTAAGGGCAGCCAGTGCCTACACAGTTCCTAAGGGATTACCGATGCTGTGTAGGTGCCCGCAGGAGAGAGGAGAGCAAAGCAGTGAGCTGGACCGGAGGTGCACACCGGTCACAAGCCCTGTGCCTGAGAGGCGGAGCCATTCTCCTGCCCACAGAGGCTTCTGCTCAAGAAGGATGCACTCTAAATCAATTGGCTTTCTTTAACAAACCAAAAGATGACATTTCAGAAGCCACTGTGTGGGGTTGAACTCTATTTTTATTCTCCTTGGAAATCAAACCACAATCTACGTCACACGTGGACTCCAGGGTTTTTTTTTTTTCTTATTGGAGATATAAAGTGATTTAGAATCTGGTTTCTGGGCTAATGAAACCCTGTTCCAGGCTAGCAACATAGGCCAAAACAAATGGTTGAATTCAAGTCCTGTTGTGTAATGAGAAAGTTTAATTAAGGCCCCACATTACAGCTGTAAATGTTCCTTTATATAATAAGGTCTAAATGAAACCGAACCTAATCAAAGTTACAATTCCTTCATTAGCAAATTACAAACAAGAGCGCACAGCTGACACACCGGCTATGATTATCACAACTAATTGCCTCGTTGTTACAAACCAGCCTGAAACAGTGTTCAGATGTCCGTCTGTGAGAGCAAATTAGGGCCACGTCGGGCTGTTCCTGTGATCACAAGGGGCTCTTGTAGGCGATCTGAGTTACCCCTGTTGCCCGGCGGCCCGCGGCCCAATCAAAGCCGTGCTACAAAGGCAGCCTTTGAAAGCTCTCAGCCTGGAAACGCACTCCATATGCAGGCGGGCAGCCCGCACTTCATTAGGTCTGTTGTCTCCGTTCCCTCTTCTCATTCTAATGATCCCATTTGAATACACACAGGAACTCTGCTAATTGATGTCAAGTGAGAGACTTCTACATTCATCAACAGAGCACATCAGACAGACCTTGGTGCGAGAGCCAGCATCATCTCCAGGAAGACCTGAGGTGTATCTCCGGCGACAGGGAGGGAAGGATGGGGAGGCTGCTCACCTGTTTAATTGGGATGGCTCGGCCGCTCCCAATGCTGTCCGCACGACTCTCCAGGCCTTTCTTCTCTTTGTCTGGGTCGCTCCCTTTCCGAGACTGCAAAGCAAAAGGAAAGTTGGCATCTGGGTAAGGGCTGTGGTTCACAGACGGGGCTCTGCCCCTGTTTGCAGAATTCCTGCCAATACACATTTAGAAAACATGCGCGATCTATGTGTGCGCACAGACACGTCCGACGAGCAGACAGCTCAGTAGTTCATCTCCACTGACTCATCATTTTTAAAGAGAATCATCTAAACTTTCCCCCTGACTTTTCCACCACAGAATTATCTTTTAATTCTTTTTTAAAAAGTTCAAAATTCAACTACTAGAAACCAATGGGCCATATGGGAAAGTAACGCCCAACAGAAAAACACTTGAAAGCTGCAGTTCACACAGCCGAGGAAAAAAGGGGCTGCTCAATGTTTATTTGGAAAATCTACTACATCAACATATGTATTTAATTAATGTTTGAATGATTTTAAAATTCTGTTGACTAGTCAGCTGTGCGATTTAACGGCACACTCTTGATTAGTATCAAGGTGCTGTTAACATTTTCCGTTTTTGCTTCTGGATGGTTGGAAAATGGCAAATTCGAAGTTAAGCTAGTGGACAATACCACAAAAAATAATGAAGGGGAAAAAAAACCCCTGATAATCGCCTTTGGACGAAAGGTCAGTATTTGGGAAATAATGAACAGCTTTATTTGACAAGGTCCTGAGTCAATTATCTCCGATGCACTGCTGACGTGCTGCGGACGACGAGTGGCTGCCACCGGGCAGGAAGGGTGGTGACCTTTAACCCAGGGAAGCCCCAACCAAAAGCGCACCTTGACTTGGGTAAAACTGAAGGAGCTCCATCGTCTCAGTCTCCTCTCTCGATGGCATGAGAAAGTGTGAGCACAATGATTTTCTGACAGATTTATTTTATTATGAGAGAAAGATTGGAGACTCGTCCTCCTTAATAACTGTGCTGACAAGTGACAACTTCACTCCATTACTTTTCAATGGGAACATTACTCACACAATATTGAAAATGGAGAAACATTTTCACGTGCTTTTCAAATCTGAGATGATATATGAAATGAACAGACTTTGTGGTGTCCACTGCTACAATGAAAAGCTAATGGAATCCAGGTTCAAAGGGATGTGAGCTGGAACAGCTGATTTAAAAAACATACATATTAAAGGGGCAATGTCATGGGTCATAATACAAACAAGGGCTGATGGGACGCATTTAGGATTCCAGAAGAGGCTGCTACCAAATTAAGGAGGAGGACAAGGAGAACAGTTCCCATGATGGAAACTCAGATCTAGCACTTCAAAGGGTGCTACTCTCCTGGGCAGCTGTGCTCATTAGGAAACATGCTTCTCAGATGGTGATAAGAGCTGATGCTTATTGAACACCTACTACGTGCCAAGCACTGTGCACTTGTTTCCCCCTTAGGTTGGTGGATGCCTAGAATGAGATGACAGGGAATAAATCAAGCAACAAATATGAAGTTGCAGAAGAATATAAAACGTAAGGTTAACCCTTTGGGCTAGAAGGAAAATAGAGATATTTATCAATTCTTTGTCAAGGGCTCATTTTTCTTTTTAATTAATTCTTAATACTGTATAGTAAGAGCTACACAATAGCCTTAAATTCTTTTCTCCACATCACAGTTGATGAGAAAAGCTGGCTCCTGAGGTTCCTAGTTTTAAAATGAATTTCAAAGCACACAGTGATAACATTAAAAAAATTTTTTTTTAATTAACAAAAAATATTTAAGAGTACTTTGGGAATTTTACAAATTCTAAATTTCTAAATTTGGAAATCCATCTTCATTATTCTGGTTAATTAAACCAGAATAATTAACAAAACAAACTTTAAAAAAATTAACATCTTCCTGTAACAAGGCAGCTCATCTGTCCCCCCAGCCAATCCATTCTCAGAGCAGAATTTCAGATTCCACTTGAAATGGGAAGAAATAGCTCATTGCCCTGCTGTAAACACCTTAGAACATGAACTGTGAACCACCAAACTCAATATCTGATCACACACTCTGAGATAAAAGAGACTGAAACTTCGGTAAGACTTCATTGCAAAAATAAAACAAAAATTTCCTGACAACTTTAACAATTTGCCGGAGACAGTCAAAAAACTAAAATTTCGGGAAAGAACAGTGGCAAGATGTTAGGCAAAAGAGTTTGCTGTACCTCAGCCCCACAATTAGTTTGTCTACATCAGGCTGTATCCATAAAATTTAAATCCAACAACCAGACTAAATCAAATCCAATGGACATAGACACCCCAGCATATACAAATTCCCAGTAAGGTTTCCTTTCTCTGCTAACTTGGGAGACCTCATCACTAATGGCACATCCTTCCGTGATGCTGGAATGGATCCGAGGAATCATCAGACACAAGGCAGCCCTCAGCACCCACGGCGTCTGCCAGGAGTGACCCTGCCCTGCATACAGCCTGCTGCACACTGCCAGAAATGGAACAGCAGCAGATCACACCCAGAAGGGCTGCAGATTTTAAGTCAACGCACAGCAAGCCACCATAGTAACTGCTTAGCCTCCAACAAACACTCGATGCAGAGGAAAGAAAGGTTAAGGTAATCCAATTATCACCTGCTTCTTTACAAAAATGTTTAACTTCCCCTGCCGTGGTGAGAGAAGCCATGGAGGACACTCCCATCAACTAACTACCTGCCTACAGGAACAAGCGCATCATTGCCAAGAGCCCTCTGTATCAAAGAGAAGCCCGTTTACCCCCTTTCAACCAGTGGCTAAGTCAACGGCTGCTGGAACACACTAGGGGAGGTACCCAGGAGCTCCTCTGCAAAAACAAATAAATGCCATTGAAACAGTTCTCTTCGCACTATGAATTTTGCTGCCTTATTTTTTTATGGCAAGTTTCTGAGCTGGGCAATGTATATTCACAATCTTTGGTTCCTGGGTGCACTTGGCTCTGTTTAATGGTATCAACATTATATGGTAAGCTTTTTAAAAATATCACATAAATAACATCGTTATTATAAAGCTTGAAAATGGACAAGGCCATGTAATGTATAATTTCAAGACTCACACTAGAACAAGTTTACAGCATGGACACAGATAATATAGACCAAATTCAGGTTAATGCTGATCCCTAGGCAGACAGGCAGGAGAAACGTGTTCTGGAGGCACATGGAAGGAGCTGCAACTTTTACTTAGGATTTGCTTATTTCTTGCAGTAGCAGCGTAGCAGAAAAGGGCTTGTATTTGATGAAGCGTGTGGTGAGTACACACGTGTTTATTTCTGTATGTTTGAAAAATTTTTCTAATAAAACACTTTAACCACGTGTAAACTAGGGCCGCTAAACTAAATTAATTGCTCTAAGAACCCATATTACCAAACTAGGGATTAAATGGATACAGTCTTTTAATGTTTGTTTTTTTTCCAAAGAAATAAGTGAAATAAAATATAACTCAGTGTTTGATTAGTAAAGTAGAATTCCTACTGCAAATGTAACATATAATTTGGACTAATACAGAGATTTTATTTGTACTATTTTATAAAAAAGTCATTTATTTTTGTTTAAAAATTGTATATGAATATATGCAAACAAACATCTGGGAGCACAAAATGTTAGCCCAGAGCAGTGCATTACAGTGTACTTTATAAAATGTGTAAAATGGTATTGGAAAAAATGATACATGCATTACTTAATTAACTATGGCCTCTTTATGATGTTCTAATAAATAAGGTGGATAGTGCCCCTCCAGCTGGGTGTTACAATCCCAGTCTGCACGAATTTTTATTCACTAAGATTGTCTGCATATCATGCATCTGTCCTCTGACTAGACACTTCCAAATAAATACACATTTTGACAGTTTATGCCTATAATCACCAACAACTGCCAGGGATGAAGAGTCTATTCAATTTTACATATTTAAAAATAGAAGAAAACTGGTCATGATAAAAATTTAATATCTTAATTGCTATGATTTCACAATTAATTTGCCTTCTTTTTGTTCCTTGGATGACACTGACATCTAGTGGAGTTACTATTTCCAGGAACTTCAACTTAAGACTACACCGCATGCATCATCACCACCACCACCACTACCACCACAACCATCATCACCATCACCACAACCACAACCATCATCACCATCATGACCATCACCATCACCACAACCATCATCATCACCATCACAACCATCATCACCATCACCACAACCATCATCACCATCACAACTATCACCACCATCACCACAACCATCATCACCATCACAACCATCACCACCATCACAACCACAACCATCACCACCATCACAACCATCACAACCACAACCATCATCACAACCATCATCACCACCATTACAACCATCATAACCACAACCACAACCATCACACCATCACAACCATCATCACCATCACAACCACAAGCAGCATCATCACCATCACAACCATCATCACAACCATAACCATCATCACAACCACAACATCACCACCACCACCACAACCATCATCACCATCACAACCACAACCATCATCACAACCACAACCATCACCACCACCATCACAACCATCACCATCACAACCACAACCATCATTATCACAACCATCATCACCACCACAACCATCATCACCACAACCACAACCATCATCATCACCACAACCATCATCACCACCATCATTTTGTTCAGTGTCAAACCCACTGAGGACCAACATATGGATCCCTGCCCAGAACTTTCACTGTCTTTTCCTTAAATGCCACAATGCAAACCTATTGCAGTGGTAGCTTCTTTTATGACTCCAAATTTCTATTCCCACTAATGCCATGGGACAGCTGGATTCAATTTCTGATCTGATCTCAAATTTATTTTCCAAGATTAAGGAGAAAGATAACAAACACTGGTCACCCTTAGATCCATAGGCAGACCATTATATTATGTGACACATTAATGGTGAAATAATTAATGGTGATTTTTGGTCACTGTAACAATGAGTTTTTACTGGCTTCTGCACCTGCCCTGCCCGGCCTCTTCATGGATGCCTGTAAGTGCACCTGTGTGTCTGCAGGGTGAATCCGCAGCAACAGGGTCTCTCCTCCTAGTGTGCAGAGCCCCTTCTCCTTCACCCTAAATCGCTTTCCCTTGAACATGGGTTGACTCTGGCAGTGAGTCTTCCTCCTAGACACTGAGCAAAACCAGGGCTGTGCACAGAGCAGATGTTAAGTCAATATTTATTAAATGGGCTGTTATTTTGATTCTCTCTGCCTTCAAGTGTTCTCCTCCCTAAGTCACCTGGGTTGTCAGGTACCCAGTGGGATACTACTTTCTGGCACACTGCAGTTCCAGAGCTTATAAAGGGAGGGGATGGGAAGGTGCTGGTATTCTCCTTATAAATAGTCTCATTTTTAAAGATACTTTGTGGTTTTAAAATTTCTCTCCTTAAAAGAGAAAGCAAAGTCAACAAGCAGAAAATGTGGCCCTCAGAAGGCGTCTGAGAATGAGTGCTCTCCCCCTTCCACTCCCTTAACAAAGACACAGAAGGTGTTCTCGACCACCACGATGACAAGCCCGCCCCTCCTCCCGGGGCACAGGCCGCCTGCCCACAGCCCACCTTCTCTCAATCCAGCTGCATCTTTGGCTATTGGTTTCTCAAGCCACCGAGTCACTGTGCAGCCTGTTCTAGCAGGAAACACTTCAACCCAAAGCCCCCCAGCCTGGGGGTAGACAGGGGCTGCTCCAGGTGTTAGACGGAGCTGGGAAGCAGCTATTTAGGTGACTGCTGCTGTTCTCGGTGTGTGTGAAGAAACTGCCCAATAAAACATGTTATCCATGCACTAATTTAAGCATGTGAGATACTCACCTGTATTTTACAGAAACCTAAATACCCACCTCCTAATCTATCACATATGCTTAACACGATCAGAAATCATTTTATAGCATCAATGGAGTGAGAAAACCATGGAAGCAATGCCACCAGATCTCTTCTGCCTCCTCCAGGAAGTCTTCCCGGAAGCCCCACTGCAGAAGTACTATGGTTTCCAGCCCAGAGAGGTCAAGTAATTTGCCTAAGGTCAAACATCCGTCAGCAGCGGAGGCCGGGATGGGAGCTTGGTCTGTCTGATCAGTCCTCACCCTGCTGCCCAGCAGTGGCCTCTGTGGGAGCTGATGTGGCGCAAGGCAACTAGCAAAAGCAAGGGGAGGCTGGGGACGAGGGGGTGTGTGCAGCTGGCAACCGCCTCCGCAGTCATGAGCATCCAATGAGAGACTGCCCCAGACATGTGGCAGAGGGGCGGGGGATCTCCCAGACTTGGCAGGAATCGCAATGTAACATCAAGATCAGATTCACAAAGGGGCAGCAAATCTGACTCCCAGCCACCCCTCTAGAGCTTTGCATCTGGGTCAGCAGTAATCAACCAAAATGGAAGTCAGATGGTTTAAAACAGGGCACCACTAACATGTGGGGCTGGATAATTCCCTGCTGTGAGGGGCTGACCTATGCACTGTGGGATGCTTTGCAGCACCCCTGGTTGCTACCCACGACTAGACGTCTGCAGAACCTTTACCTTCCCACTCCCATACTCCTGTTGTGAGAGCCCAAAGTTTCTCCAGAAGTTGCCAAATGTCCTTGGAGAGCAAAACCACCCTGGTTCAGAAGCACTGTTTCAAAAGCATGTACTTGTAATGCGTGATCCAGGGAGGAAAAGCGTTCTTCTCAAGTCCAAATGCTTCAGTCACCTGACAGCAGCTGTGCCTGGAGTTTGCGGCTCAACTGTGTAGAATCCAGATTGATTGGTAATGTCTGCTATGCACAGGGAAGGGACAGGCTGGCAGCATTTTTGCCACCTCTGTAGCTCAGAGATTCTCTGCATCTCAATCACCCAGGGAGTTTTCAAGCACTTCACATGCTGGCTGTGCACTATGGCTCATGCCTGTAATCCCAGCACTTCAGGAGGACAAGGTGGGAGGGTGGCTTGAGCCCAGGAGTTCAAGACCACCCTAGGCAACACAGTAAGACCCCATTTCTTTAAAAAAAAAAAAAAAATTAGCCACACGTAGTGGTGAGTGCCTATGGTCCCAGCTACTTAGAAGGCTGAAGTGGGAGGATTTCAGGAGGTTGAGGCTGCAGTGAGCCATGACTGAGCCACTGCACTCCAGCCTGGGCAACAGAGTGAGACCCTGTCTCAAAAGAAAAAAAAAAAAAAAAGGAACAATGCATGCCCGAGTGCACCCAGATTGTGAATTTATAAACCTGAACCCAGATAGCTCATCTCTGCTTTCAACATGCTCTACAGCAAAAAACCCAAGTGGAGAGCCTCATGGCAATGAGCCTCCAGGAAGCACCTCCCAGTCCCCCACCTCCACCCCGAGGGCAGCGCCAGGCACCCCAGCAGAAGAAGAAGAGGGCCTGTGGACAGTAATAGCTTATATATCATCTGAACGGTTAGAGACACACATCTGGGAATCTTAGAGTTTTGTCATCTCCTTGTATCCACTGTGACACATCTTTAGCTGGAGCCACAGGATAACAAGTGCCTTTATACACACCCCCAGCTCTTCATTTCAGACACACGAAGTCAGGAATGTCTACATGAAGAAATTCCCATTCTACTCAACATCCAAATCTTTGCTTCTCTTAATTTTCTTAGTCCTCCACAGAAATCAATGTTATTCACTTTAATATAGTTGAGATTCTACAAATACCACTGAACCATGTGGCAACCAGGTTTACGTTAATGGGAACGCTTCGGAATCGCATTCAAATCTCCACCCAGGGTTGACACTCACGGTGAACAGGTTGGACCGGCGCTTAGACTGCTTGCGAACGGGCGTGGGCGTGTTGGCAGTGGGAGGAACATCGATCCGAAGTTCCTTCTGGCTGGTGCTGGGAGTCGATGGAACGGAGGAGGAATAGTCGCTTAAACTCCCACCTCCATTACTTGTCTGAAATGATTAAAATCCAAGGTTTCATTAACGACATACTCAGGAACCCAAGACCTCCACTTAGGCAAGGTCATAACCAACAAGTGAGCATGAGCCCCATGGAAGGGATGCATGGGAATGGCTGACTTGCGTCTATGGCTTTGCCAGGTGTATTAGTGTCATGTCTACAGAGTCTCATCCTGGAACATGCCAATCATCTCACTCAGTGGCATCCCCTGAGAAAAGTGACTGAAGACAAAGAAGTCTCTTTCATTTAACTTAAAAGATTTCTGAGAGTTCAAATTTGATTATTTTCTCTTTCCTCTGAAAATGAAAGGGGTTGGTTAAACTAAAGGGATTCTATGGTCCCTCCACTGCTCTAGATCAGCAGAACCACAGCCAACATTATGAAAATGACACCTGGAAAATCTAAGTGTTTTTGAAAAGTATTTCAAGATTCACAGAAAATTAAACACAGCAAGTGAAGACATTCTTTTTTTTTTTTTTTTTTTTTTTTGAGACAGGGTCTCACTCTGTCACCCAGGCTGGAATGCAGTGGCACAATCACACTCACTGCAGCCTAGCTCTTCTGCTGGGCAGAGGTGATCCCCCCACCTCAGCCTCCCAAGGCACAAGCCACCACGCCCAGCTAATTTTTCTCTTTTTTGTAGATACAGAGGTGTGGTTCTGCCACGTTGCCCAGGCTGGTCTTGAACTACTGAGCTCAAGCGATCCACCTGCCTTGAGCTCCCAAAGTGCTGGGATTACAGGCAACTGCCACTCAGCCCAGCCAGCATGAACATTCATGACTGTACCTTGACAGGCTCTGACAATACATGCCATAACTTACTGGCTTCCCAAGCAAACTGAAAGTACGACACCGAACCCTTCCACCATGTCCTTAAAAAAACAGTGCCAATAGAATACCTGCCCAAGAAACGTAATCAAAAAACAAGCACAGACAAAAACAAAGTCAACTGTTTCCTTAGGAGGTTGTTGGTTGAGTTCTTCAAAGTGACCATTATTTCATTTGCTTCCAAGTAAATACTTTTGCAAAATGTTGTTATGGAAAGATAGCAGTTTCTATGGGACCTAAGGGAGATGGTAATTATAATTGAATGCCACTACCAAATTTAAGTATAAAGCGAGATTGGCCATTAAGATTTACTCACAACTGTTCAACCTATAAGCAGACTAGGACCAAGACCAGAGAAGGGTGGTTTAAATCACCAGCGAGGACTGCAGCACACACCTCCCATCACCACCCGGGCCAGCATGCCTCATAACACAGGCAGCATGAAGACAGAAAACATAAAAGAATGATTCCCATAAAAATCACTTGGCCACAGCAGTTTCTGAAGAAAATGTGAAGTCAATTACAACATGCTGTTACTTATAAAGTTGAAAAGAAAAAAAAAATCAACCTTAGCATTGGCTGGGAACACTATTTGCATATTGTCTTTGGTTCTAAGAGTCTGACTTCTCATGTCACCTAACGTACCTGGCTGATGTGCACGGCAGACACCTGCGCGGAACAGACGGAGGAATGGCTGGGAGAATTAGGTAGCGACTTGCAGGGTCCTATGGACAGCTGCTGCTTCTTCCTTGTGGCAACAATCTTCTGGGCAACTGGTGGACACACAGACAAAAAGAAATCCATGTCAATCAATTTCCAAATTCAGGAACAGAGCAGAGATCATCAGTCTGTTGTCGAAATCTGTTATTTCCTTCTTTCGCAGTAATAGCATTCCTGGTTCTTAGGTGGGCAAATGACAACCAGAATAAACATGACATTTGCCAGAGCCTCCTCCCGTCCCCCCACCCCCGCATCAGCTGAACATGGCCAGGTACACAAGCTCTGGCCAGCAGGATGAGAGCAGAAGGATCACAGGGCAGCTTTTAAGGATCTTCCTGGAGAGCCTCCCTTTGCCTAAATTCTCGTATGTTTTTCCTACTTGTTGCCTGAAATGCACAAACGTTACATGGCCTCAGCAGCACTGTGGAACACGAGGCGACACTGGGAACAGGAGCCACATGGGAGACAGATAGAGCCGGTCCCCCAACTCCACAGAAGGCCTCAGCAGCCCTGCACAGACCACCTCAGAGGAATGTAAAGCAAAAAAATACACACCTATCTCATTTAAGTTATTCTCATAAAATCATCTTTTTTTCCAGTTACTTGGAACAAAAATAATCCTAAATAAGGCAGGGCAATTTAACCAAACCCCTTGGAAAGACAAAAATCTTTTTTTTTCCCCCAAAGCCTAAAGAAATCCTCTTCACTCTACAAGCTATCATAGAGAATTATATTCAAGGAGATGTAATTATATCAAAGACCTTTTTTATTTAAATATATGACTGCACACATTGTAAGTTTATCTTAATCAATACAAATCTAAATTCAACCAGCCATAACTTCTCTTGGCAAATAGGCTCGCTGATAAAGCATACTGAATGTAATTGGAAAGGAAGTCAACGATTAGAAAACTCTTCCTACACCAATGGTGTCACTGCCGCAGAATAACTACACTTTTGATTTGAATAGATGTGTGTCTTTGGGGACTAGCAGTAATTAAGTTCAATGATATTCAATCCTTGACTTTGCCTAGATAGTTGCTATTTTCGAAGATGTCCACGGAAAGGAACTTGTCATCTCTCCCCAGCAATAGGTTATAACGTAGACGGGGCCCATATAGTGTTTGCAGATAATTTCTTTTCCAAATGAATACAATTTTAATAAGAAACTGGTTTGTCCACAGCCTATGGGTTTCATGTAAATGAATGATAGTATAAATATGATTAAGTGAAAATGCAATATATAAAAAATGGCTCACAGAGAGGAAGAAGCAGCTTCATTAGTTACATCCCACCTCCAATAGGCCTCTTATCATCCTGAAAGGATGATATCAATTAATTTATCTTCCGGTAGTGTATTGATATCACATAACCTTCATCAGCTAATCATGTTTAAATTACAGAGGAATATCGCAGCACTCTGTCATCTCAGAACCATTGGCATATTGATCTGGGGTCTTTGAAGACATTTATTAGAATATTTTAAAGTCATTATGTGAACTCAAAAATAAAATCTAAGATTTCAACAGATGCAAAATGTGTTGTCTAGGTATCTTGAAATTGCAAAAACCAAAAGTAAATTAGCCAAAAATCATAATTGCCTGGGTGAGTGCTAAAGTATTGCTACTTTGTTTTTGAAAAATAGCAATAAGGGGCTTTGATTATCAATTACACTGAAATCTGATTTTACTCCCAGCTTCAGAGTTACTATTCAGCTGGATGGCCACACTGACTTTACATTCGTAAGAAATGTGCAGATGTCAGAATTAAATAGGACTAGGATGCATGCTTTGAGAGCTTTGCAGACATTTTCATTTGTAGAAACTAAGGGAAGATGCGAGAAACTTCCTAAGATAAGTCAAATATGTTATGGAAACGACTGTTGTATGAAACTTCAAATGCAAATGAATGTTCTATCCTTTCTATGGAGTCTAGGAAGAGTCAGTTCATGAGTAAAGAGAATATTTCTACAACAAAGCCTCTCATCAAACTACAGACAGGATGTACAAAGTATGAGTATTTAGCATTGTTAACTGCTAAAATTCTTCTGTCCATTTAATTACTATTCTACCACATTAATTAAAAAATAAAATGAAGTCACAACATCCGGTAACTGGTAGTAGTTTTTAAACTCTACTATTTTTTTTTCATATTTGTCCTATTTCCCCTCTACCTGTTATGTCCTTCCTGCTTCCATACACAAATCAAGGAAAGAAAATGATTTATAAATATATTGTTCTAAAATATACGGACTGCTTGAATGCTTTAAAACTACAGGGTAACCCATACGAATAAGGGAAAACTTTAATGAAGAACAAAAAGTATCTGACTTCAGGAGGAGGAGCGGGAGCATGAGGAATAGGAAGGGGAAAGGACTCCTTTGTAATGTCTGCCCATGTCTCCCCCATCTTGAAAATGCAAACTGACTACAGAGTCAATGCTGCAAATAGCCACAAATTTGCCAACGGCTGTTGCTGCTATTTGCTTGATGTCCCAGGGACGGGGTGGAATCTCTGGGCGCCTCACTTAAAGACATCCCTAAATGAATTGTTTGGGGAAGCAAAAAACTAGTATGACAACTGCCATCCAAGACATCCGCAGTCCTTCCCCACACAACCCAGCAGCAGGCTGGGTAATCTCCTAGAGGGAAAAGCTTGGTGTGTCTATGTGAGTGGAGGAACCCCCCTCCATTCCCACCCCAAAAAAACAACTCAAAGAAAATGGATGGAATGTCACGGGAGGGAGCTGCTCTTCTGTGGCTGTAATCGTTAATTACTCATACTATTTAGAACATTTAAATGTTAATAGGTTTAACATGTGAATATTACCCCAGACTGTGCTGTCTGGGAAGCTTTTTATAACCATTGAGTTTTTGTCTATATTTGATTATCCAAGAAATAAATGTGTTGTTTCATATAAATACGTATGTTCAATGTAAATGTGTGTGGGTGCATAGACATAAATATGTTCAATGTAAATGTGTGTTGGTGCATAGATCAGAAACACAATCACGTGGATTTACTTAAAAAAAATCTGGAAGCGGCTGGGCGCGGTGGCTCATACCTGTAATCCCAGCACTCTGGGAGGCCGAGGCGGGCAGATCACCTGAGGTCAGGAGTTCGAGTCCAGCCTGGCCAACATGGTGAAATCCCGTCTCTACTAAAAATACAAAAATTAGCCGGATGTGGTGGCGCATGCCTGTAATCCCAACTACTTGGGAGGCTGAGGCACGAGAATCACTTGAACCGGGGAGGCAGAGGTCGCAGTGAGCCAAGATCATGCCACTGCACTCCAGCCTGGGTAACAGAGTCAGACTATCGCAAAAAAATTAAATTTAATTTAAAAAAAATCTGGAAGCTTTGTCACTGAGATTTGATCTTTTCTCAAATTGGGCAGCACACTTCCCTATGACTCTGTCACATGAGCTACTCCCAAATCTAAAACGGTGTCAACGGGTACTGAAAACATTTGCGCTTACTACTGACACTACCAATTTAATTACCCTCCTGAGACTCCCAAGAGTAATGCTCAGTGTTCTTTTAAAAGTCACTTCCTCTATAATTTTAAAATTTTATTTGGGTTAACAGATAAAAGATACCTCTAACTAGCCCCTTCAACTGTGCAAGTGTGCGTGTGTGTGTGTACATTGTATAAAGGTGAAAACCAAGCTGGCCTCACCATGGGGTCAGAAGGGAGAATTGTGCCCATCTTCAGGGAGCAGAGCAGGCAGGTGCCTGGGACAGGACACAGGGGTTTCTGGGGTCTAGAAATAGGCCCTCCTTGACCTGAGGATAATTTTGTGACAACTTTTTAAGCCCAAATACACTTTCATGTATGTTTCCATTCTTCAATAATAAAAAAAAAGTTTAAGAACTTAACAAAAAAAGTGAGGTATACATTTACTTTATCCACAAACTGTAAATGTTCTATTCTATAGAGGGAAATAGCACCCTTTAATTAGTGGTTAAAAATAAGACAACAGCTCCCAAACAAGACTTCATTAAATCCTGACATAATGCCCAATTTCTACTTCCATCTTGTTTCTAAATCACACAAAATGAGGCAAGGAATAGCCCTTGGTCACACTAGGAGCCTCCGGGCCAACCTCACGCCCTCTATAACCAGAGGACAGCTCCTCCTCCTCCCCCTTCCTCCTTTTTGCTGCTCAAAGGCTGAGCAGGGCTAGGCGGCCCACACTTCCCATCTATTAACTCATTTCATCCTGTCAGCTCTTTCATTTTGCAGGTGAGAAAAACCAGGCAGCAAGTGCACCAGAGCAATCCGACGGCTCTGGGACTGCTCATGACACCACCATGTGGCAATCGAACACCCTGCCAGCACCCCAACAGACTGTCCTGGTTCCACAGCACGAATCATGTGTTCTTTTGCCCTGCACCCTCAGTTTGTCATCAATTTCTAACTTCTACTTGGGTGACTAAATGAAATGGATTGGGTAACTAAACAAAATGCTGAAAAGGACTGAGTGTGGTGACTGGCACACAGGAGGTGCTCGCCAAGGCTGCCCGGATTACACCGTGTGCCACGCCCCATTCCCAGCCAGGCCTTCTGGAAAGCCCGGGGATGCTGCTCGACTCTGCCTCTCCTGCTCTCTGCAATCCCTAGGCTGGGCCTGCCATTGCCATGGTCACTGGGAGTGGTCCAGAGGCTAGGTCGCACCTTCCTGGACCTCTGAGCAGCATGTGGCGTTCCTCGTCATTCCCTCCTTTCCTCTTCTGCATCCTCCTCGGGCTTCCATGAACCCTGACGTCCCTGGTTTTCCTCCTCCGGCTGGAACTTCTCTTTCTCATCCTCCCTTGCTGGCTCCTGAAGTGCGGGTGCTTCCCTGGCATCCTCCTGGTGTCCTTTTTCCCATGCCCTCTGCCTGGGCAACCTCCTCGCGAATGTCTCGGTCACCACCTCAGTGCCAGGAGCTCCCAGGATCGCCACTGCCACGAAGAGCTCTGCCTCACATCCTGCCTTCTAGAGTTGTGTAGCCAATGACCAACTCGGCATCTCCCCTTGGATCTGCTAGAGGCGCCTTCAAGTCCGCGCCGCCCAGCCTGGGCCTCCTAGCCTCTCTCAGACCTGCCTCTCGTCTGTTTTCTAGCTCAGTCGATGGCACAACCCGCTCTTCACCATGGACAGAACAGACCTAACAGATGATTGGTTCAACCACCAGAGTTTCTCAGAAATTCGTCTTCACTGCCACTGCCTTGGTCTAAGACTTATCCTTCCACAGCTGGTGACCAAAGCAACTTCCAAATGAGTCTCCCTGACTGTCCCCTAAATGCCCCTAACACACCACAGGGCGACCTCAAAGGCAAATCTTACCACAGCGCTGTTCTATTTCCAGTTTTTCAACAGCTCCTTAGCAAAACTGGGCTCTTTCATGTTTGGGGAAGGTGGCTTGTCCACTCCTGGTATTTCCGCACATTAGTACTACTGGATAAGGACCATAGTCTCTCCTGGAATAGGCAGATGAACCCCATGCAAAAGCTTTGTGGGGGACCAGATGACACGTGAAGGGTGGGGAAAAGTGGGGGCAGAGAACTAAGGAAGACACAGAGAAAGCGTATAGATTGCAGTGACACTGAAGAGCCACCATTAGATGACAACTAATGACTCGGTGTAAATCAAGCCCACGTTTGGGAAGAGGGTTCCTCTGCTACTGGGAAAGCTGGAGCACAGTGAGGCCAGTAACTTGGGAGGCGGGGGAGCAATTCCGAGTAAGCACTGTTAGGTAGGGATTATAAAGTACGAACCACACCTCCAATAAAACCGTATTTTAAATGCTCACCATAGACACACTGATGAAATTCACATGAGACTAAACACTAATTTTACTCCACGAAAATATTTTAAAAGCAAAATTTATGCAGCTGAGGGCACTGCATGTCTTGTCTCTGTCTTTGGTGTCTCCACCCAAAGGTGACACTTACTTCACATTTCATTGAAAGGCTCTTCCCGGCTGGGTGAGCTGGCTCACACCTGTAATCCCAGCACTTTGGGAGGCTGAGGCGGGCAGATCACCTGAGGTCAGGAGTTTGGACCAGCCTGGTCAACATGGTGAAACCTTGTCTCTACTAAAAATACAAAAATTAGCCAGGCATTGTGGCGTGTGCCTGTAATCCCAGCTACTTGGGAGACTGAGGCAGGAGAATCGCTTGAACCCAGGAGGCAGAGGTTGCAGTGAGCCGTGAGCCAAGATCATGCCACTGTACTCCAGTCTGGCCAAAGAGCAAGAATCCGTCTCAAAAAAAAAATCAAATCAAATCAACGTGCCATCTTATTGTTTATCACGATTCTGTGCGTCAGGAGTTTGGACAGGGCATATCAGCATATCAGGGACAGTTTGTCCCTAATCCATCCCCCGCCCCTACAAAAAAAAGAAAAGAAAAGAAAAAGAAAGAATCTTCCATTCGAACCATAGGGGGCTTACCTGGAGACCCTCCCATAAATAATGAAAGCCACTACCGGCTGTAATCTTCCAGTAACAAATAAAAGATCCCCTAACGTCTCAACTCCATTTTAAATCACAGTAAAGTGATCATTAAACTATCTTATTAAGAAGAAATTAATTACCAAATTATCTATATAGTTCAGAATGTGTGACTTCGGAGTGAAAAGAAATATGTAGAATTTTTCTCACCATGAAAATCTCAAAGTTAAATGTTAAAGAAGGTGTACTCTATATTGTTGATAATTCAAGCCCATCTCCTAAATGTGTTTTCATATGATCTGTGTTTTCAGCGATAAAGAAAAGCTAAGTCAAATCATAGCCATGTGAGGAAGCACACACATCCATGATGGTCTCTTGGGTTTTCTGGCTACAGTATGTTCCTTAATGACAATCAGTGAACCATGGGACCCATGGCATAGCCTGGCACTTACACACCTGCGGAGATCCTGCCAAACTGTGCCGTCTACTAAAGAGTACAGTCAGCCCATGTTCCAAGACAATGGGCCAATTCCACCGAGCTGGGACCTCTTCTGGAAATGCTTGAGGCCATGCTGTATTTAACTTCCCGGGGCCAGGGCCTGCCTGACACTCAGTGGGCACACAACAACTGGATGAATGAATGGATGAGTCAACAGTGGGGCTGGGGTGGGAAGGTTATAAGAAGGTAGTGGGAGAAGATGCTGAAACAGGCAACTAGAAATGCATTTCTAAGGACCTGATATGCAGAGAAGAGTGGCAAGTGTGAAGTTGTCCTTAAGGCAATGGGGGGTTATTCAAATTGAATAGAGAAGTGAAGAGATCTATGCTTTGGAAAGATACCTGGGGTGGTTAGAAGATACAGGTCATTTCTACCTGGACACTCAAGAAAGGGAGTGTGCAGGGGTGTGGGGAGCGGAGGGGCTGGGAAAGAGCCTCAGGGGCTGAACTCAGCAGCCTGGTTCCAGCGGTTTCCCGAGAAGCACACATATATTTTGTTTTGAGACTCCCATATCTAAAACTGTCCCTCTACCCTTTTACTGGATTAGTATTTTGGCAGCACACAGAATTCTAGGCTAATTATGTGTCATCTGATGATTCTAAGCTACCAAAATGAGTTCTGATAAGGTGATACAAGCTCAGTGATACAGTTTTAGCTAAACTCCGAAAATTTCTTTAATGTACGTTCCATCTTCCCATAAGCACGGCGACCCCACAAGGAGAAATTCATTATCCTTGTTCTAGAAGAGGCTTTCATCATTTTTTTTGCCACTACCTTTAAAATCAGCACTTAGCTATTCACCCCAAATCTACCGATTCCCACCCATCCTTCACATGGATGCTGCATTTATGAACAAGTCTGGTCCAGCTACTTCCACATTTCAACAGGACAAATTCTAAACCATCAGAGTAATTTTCCAATCAGAACAAATACTAACAAGGAAGGTAAGACATCCTGCAACTAAACAGGTCATAAATTTAACTTAGGGGTGTGTAAATAGGAAATGCTCTTCTATGCATTTGCTTTTTGGTTCCTTGTCACTGAAAGCCTAATGAGAAGCTGTGGCCAAGATTCAACTGCTCGAGTAAGTCATTAGGACATGCCATGCCCCAAGCAAGCCAGCAGGAGAAAGGGTTCGGTGGGTGGTAATCCTTTGTTGACTTACCTTGCGTATATCAAAGTAATCCTTTGATGCCTTACCTTCTGAGTATCGAAGCACAAAATATGACTATATATATGTATTTTTTTTTTGAGCAAACAACCCTCTAATCTAAAATAGGCTGTGGTTAAAAAGCCAAGCTTGCTTAAATTTCTTCTAGTGAAGCTTTTAAGTTTTTCCTGAAGTACTGAAGTCTGAATTCTTAATCTGAAATTCAGTTCTTGTCTGTATTCTTTTTATCTCGTTGTATTAAAACAAATTTATCTTCATTTATGTCGCAATTACCTATTAGGGTTGTTAATTTGCTGGAAATGAAGCTATTGTTTAATTGCTCCTATTAATCGGGGGATTTAAATGCCGACTGTAATAAACAGTTACCTTCAGGACAGAGCAAAGTCAAGGCTGCTGACGTTAATTTCAGAATTTTAGAATGAGGGGAAATTTCTACCATGTCTAGGGCAGCGGGATTTCCCTTTTCCTTTCAGAGAAAAGGGGAAAGAACATAATTAAAAACAAAAACAAAAACCCTGTGCTGAAACAAATATGGTGTATTTGACATTTTTAATATGTGTATCCAATTCTGGTATAAAGTAGTTATTTGTGGTAAAGGGGACTTCAAATCACGCTGCAGGAAACACACATCCCTTCCTCTTCCATGCACTCCTTCAAAGCACAATAGTTCCTTAACATTTAATCCCAAAGTCGAGCTGCCAAAAATCAGGAATGTCTGTTCCCATAGTCACCCTGGGCTAGAGGGCAGCAGGGGCCAGGGAGCTGACCAACTGCCAGGCTCCAGGCCTCAGGAGGACCAGGGATCCTGTGTTCAGAAGCACCAACATGCAAACGTTCACCCCACTGAGAGATGCCGAAAAGCACCCTAACGTGGTGTGGCCCCGCAGCTGGTTTTGTCTACTGCCGGTCTGAATGCGCGCTTCTGAGGGCTCCATTCTGCTTCCGCCAGCACTTCTCCCCACCATTTGGGAAAGAAGGGGCTCCAAATGATCCTGTCTGGAGAACCCTCGGGGGTCATGTCTCAGGCTTCAGTCTGCCCCATGCACCAACAGGACGCCCACCAGTCAGTTCCAAGCACCGGGATGTGCACTGACGACACCGATGGACCCTCCCACTCCTCTCCTTGCCCGGCCTCACCTACCCTCCCGCTCTTCTCCTCGCCCCACCTTGCCTCCCAATCCTCTCCTCACCCCGCCTCACCTACCCTCCCACTCCTCTCCCCACCCTGCCTCACCTTCCCTCAGCATTGCTCTCATCCATGCCTTCTCCAGTTTTCAAACTCAGCTAACCTCATCCAAGATCCGCACCACACCATCCTGGCTTACTAGTGGGCTCCTAGCTGTTTATCCTTTTGGTGGACTTTCCTGAATTAAAATCCTCAAATCTTCTAGGTCTTTTCCTATCCTTAGGGATTAGGAGTTTGTACATCCAAGTCATACTCCAGCGTGAAGGAATTAAGCTGTGTCTGGAACCCTGTGTCTCCGGCTGGCTGTACCGTAGGGTCCCAGTATGGCACTCTGCTTCTCTGTGCACTTGAGCTAAGTACTGTGTATGATCATGTCCTTTCAAAACCTCCTGCCCTACTCAAGTAAGTCCTACCCATCAGGTTAAGTCAGGATGACCCCATGAGGCATGCATGACTCAGAGGCTGCAGCGTTGATGCCAATGGCCTAGGAAGGTCCCAGAATGTATAATACTTGGTCAAACTCTTGGTCCCAGAATGTTCATGGTCATGCTCTTGGTCTTACAATGCTCTTGGCCTTGCTTGCTCTTGGTCCCGGAATGCTCATGGTCATGGCTCTTGGTCCCAGAATGCTCATGGTCTAGAACGCTCTTGATCTTGCTCTTGGTCCCACAATGTACTTGGTCATCTTCTTGATCCCAGAATGCTCTTCAGCTTGCTCTTGGTCAATGCAGAATTAAGCAAGTCCTCACAGAAACCAAGCAAGTTGCTGCCCATTCTTTAATATGTGGAGTTGGCTGCTTTTCCCTTTAATGTGTCAAGGAAGGTTTCTTTACTATGCTTTATAGCATCCCTCACTCATCCCATTTACTGACTGTTTTTATTGAGCAACTAGTATATGCCAGGCAATTTGCTAGATGTGGGAGATTGTGAAATCCAGACAAATCTGCCAGCTGCATCATCTAGAAAATGTCAACCAACCAACCACAACATCACATCCACCTCCTGCACACCTTGTCTGCACCTTTCTCTCCCAATGTGTTAGATAAGTGGCAGCATGTGGGATATAGAAAGTGCTATAAAGAGAGGCGTGTGTCTATGATGCAGACAAAGAAGGAATAATCTGCAAGGGGGAAATACTGAGAAATTAATGAATGTTGCACAGACATAGAAGAGGCACTTAAAGCAGGAAAAACTCAGATAGATGAATGAAACATTAGAAAGTGTTACGCCTGTGGAACAGGAAGTCATTAGCACGTGATGAAGAAAAGCTTTCATGACATAGGAAACCCACATGGTTTGGAAGCAGCAGCCAAGGGTAGAGGCGGCCCCTGCTAGCTCAACTCTTACAACAGGAGAGGGGAGAAGCCTGAGAACTCAAAGACAAGAAGTGAGAACCGGAGCCCACTGATCACAAGCCTGTGGGGCCACGGCCCCAGGCCAGCTCGACTCTGAGCACTGCCTAAGTATGTGTCAGAGTGGCAGGAGCTGGTGTCAAGACCCTGATTTGGGGGGCGACAGCTCCCTCAAGGAAGCCTGATGGAAACAAAACTAGCATATGCTGGGAAAAGGTGTCAAGAATACGGGAGCCAGAACAAGCGGGGAAGAGAGTGGCAGGGCCAGGAGGACCAATGGACGGAGCTCACGCTTTCTCACTGGAACTCTAGGGGTCTCCTGAACCCTATAAACAAATGAACTTATTCTTCAGGACCTTATTAATGAGGTGCTTCTTCAAGACCTCACCTGCTCAGAGTAAGAGAGCTGTGCTCTTCTCGTCACAGGGCACAAGAAACTAGACGAGATCTTGTCACAGGCACATTCTCCTTCAGATAGCTTTTCATTTTCCAGAAAAATGGACTTATTACAACTGAAGCTGTTTTCCTATTTCCAAAAATAATTACCCCTACAACAATCTCGATAAAAATTTCAGAATCTCTTAGAGAGCTGAGTGTACCATTTCCCTCCATGCCCAACTATAATTCATTATTAATTATTCCACTTAATTGAATAAATCATCATCAAAAACAAGTAGGCAGAATTTAAAAGCAGCTAACATAGCTTAGATTAATCTGAAATGGAGAAAGATATGCAAAAAGCATAAATTAAAGATCTTCCGAAGAGCAGAGCTTTCTAGACTAGGTCACTGTGCTATTCTCCTCATGATACAGGTTAACACAAGAGTTGAATATAGACTCTCATTAGAAAATATGTAACATTTCAAATGCTACAATTAAACACAGTACAAATCTGTTCAAAAGGCCAGGAGATGATTAACTTTCTCTCTCACTTATTCTCAAGCTGGATGCAAATCAGCGTCTTCCAAGACGAGGCAAGTGAATATCCCAGTAAATTGGCAATACAATTTAGATGGCAGGCAAGGATCTCAAAGATAAATGACTTAAACAAAGAAGGGAAAGATGAACCTGTCACTTCTTCTCAACTCATCAAGCTGTCTCGCAGAGAAAGTTGATGATCCTGGAGCAGAAATGTTTCTGCCATCCCCTGAAGGTGAAGGCTCACCCGGCAATTCTTCAATCTGCACGTGAGGCTCCTCAACACTCTTCCACGCCAGGCAAAGCTACGGGACTTCCCTCTTCCATCCACGTTTTTTTTAAAAGGCCCAAATTTGGGGTTACAAAGTAAACTAACACAATTTGTCAGTGGAATGAAAGAAAGACCTAAGATAAGTGCAGATAAACATGGTGGTATCAAAGGAATACGATAAACTATGAAGACAGAATACAGAAAAAGTGACTGGCAAAGGATTTTAAAACATACAAAGAGAAAAAGGTACCACCAACAACATGATAGCGTGCCAGACTGATTATGCCAAATTATTCCAGCTAAAGAAACTACACAAAATTTTAAAGAAAAATGGATTATGCTAAATTATTCCAGCTAAAGAAACTATACAAAATTTTAAAGAAAAATAGATTATGCTAAATTATTCCAGGTAAGAAACTACACAAAATTATAAAGAAAAAAAGATGAGAAGATCAAGATAAATGAGGAACAGGAGACGCAAGAGTTCTAAAGAAGGGAAAATGTAAGACGTAAAGGCCAAAAGTCGATTTTGAAATCAGGAACCTTGAGACAGATCCAGTTAAGTGCAATAATTGGTTTTCTTTTTAAAAAATTAACACAGTTTGATTAATATAGGCTTAACAACTTATCAGGTCTAATTTGCTTCCTATTTTTAGATATGAACACCAACAGAAGAAGGAGTTTAGAAACTTCTGTAATCTTTCCATTTCTCACAGGCACACTCTCCTTCGGATAGCTTCTCACTTTTAAGAAAAATGGATGTATCTACCACAACTGAAGCTGTTTTCCTATTTCCAGAAATAATTATCCTTACAACAATCTACATAAAAAAGACATTTTCTTCTTAAAGTGGGGGAGAGAAGATGTCTTGGTTGGAACCTGAGAGAATTATTCGTCTCCTCCCTGCTCTGTTAATAATGAGCCAGCAGCGGTGGCCCTGTGCACGGGAAGAAGTGACAGTGACACACAGGTTGAATTATACAATGTATTGTGATGCAATTAGGAAGAAGGATGAGATGACAAAACAGATTTCCACTTGGTCTTCAACAGGGCTTTGTGCATTAAGTCATTGTAATACTCTCCCCAGCACCCATCCATTATTATTACTTAACCAGCATTACCTCCCAGAAACCTACCTTTTCTGATACGTGAAGTTCCTCTGGGGAAGTTTTGCCCTTTGTGATGTTATAGTAACATTACCCACAAACTTAGGAGATGCATGATGAATTTGAGGGTCCACATAAACATTTTTAAAACGATCTAAATTCTATATGATTAACATATAAACCAGGTAAATTTTTTTTGCATAGGCCATGGCTACTGAAGAGTTAAGTATATAGCAGAGAGAAACTTTTCATGGTTTTTTTTTTTTTTTTTTGCTTTAATAAGAAATTAAGTTTATCAATTGCCATTGTAATCGCTCACAGCACCTCAGGTAATTAAAAGGGATCTAAACCTAATTTTATTTACATTTAGAATACCTGAGGCCATCTCCGATCAAGATTTCACATTTGTGACTAATAATGTTAAGTGTTAATTAGAGTTCAGCAGAGAATACTGATTGATTTTGAATCTGTAATCTGCTGTGATTTAGGAATAGTGAGGAAGTCAAAGTATTCTTTTCTGTTACCGCAGTTTCTATGCATTAGTGAAATTCTTCAAAGAATCATGTATGCCTTTTAATTCTGGCAGGATTCATTTTTGTAAAAATTGTGGCTCCTCATTATACTGTACACTTCTACTTGTGAGAAAGCACATCACATTAAATTAGGTTTATCTGGACCCATCTTAATGTACGAGACCTACAATGACATTTTTAATGTAGTAACAATTTTTTTGATTTCCCCCTATATTTTATTAACACATTTTTTAAGCATACAAAAAAAATTTGAAAGCGAACACCTCCTTCCACTCCGGCTACATTTTATAATTGTAACATGTTGCTACATACTTGCTTTATTATATATCTATCCACCCATCCATCCGTCCGTCCATCCGTCCGTCCGTCCGTCCATTTCATTTTCTGATGCAATTCAACTACGGTGCAGGCATCAGTTCACTCCCACACATTTCAACATGCACGTGATTAACTATTAGGTTCTTTTTTTGAGATTAAATGTACATACTGTGAAATGCAAAACATCTTAGTTGTACCGGTCCATGAATGTTGACAGATGCCGTGTAACCCAAGCCACGATGAAAATATCCCCCTGAGGAGTTCCTCTGGGCCACCCCCAACCCCAACCAATCCCTCCTTCTCACTTCCTGGCAACCATTCTTCCGATTTCTTTCATCACCAATCAGTTTGCCCGTTGTAGAACTTCATATAAATGGAATCATTCTTTTCTGTGCGTGCCTCTTTCCACAGAGCATAATGTTTTGTGGGTACGTCCATAAAAACAAGTTTTCAAACCACATCTCTGGCATAACAAGATACTAGAATCCTGTGATGACAGGGACGTCACAAGGTCTTTTTCTCTCCACAGTGACACACAGCAGTCCGTCCTCTGCTTCCTAACAGGACTCTATGAGAACATGGTGATGTCCTACCACAAAGAAAGCAACACCTGATTATCAATAACTTCTCTGGTCCGGCCAAGGATGAGCAAGGAACAAAGAGCTTTTAGAACATTAAGCATACATCTAAATTTATTTGACCTGAGGTATGTAAATGTTAGCTATAGGTAAAAGGTTATAATGACTCTTCAGGCCATAAATTCAACTCTTTTTTTTAATCCCCAAATCTTGCTATAAACTACCTTAGGAAAGTATCTTTCACTAAGAAAAGCCTGAGAAACACTTTGTCTTTGGTGACATCATGGTTCAAAGCTCACTGAGAAAAATGGTATTTAAGAAAAAAAATTCATGGTGAACACTTTGAAAACAAGTGTCAATCACTGACCAGATCCTCACTCTGCAACCTAGACACACACACACACACACACACACACACAATCTCCTGCCGATCACAAAGTAGTCTAAAAGGTTAAAAACTAAAATAAACAAACCACAATTTATTGCACTTACAGCTGAAAATGCTGCCTCCCATACAACACCTATTCTGTCACTGCCAGTTACACAGCTACTTGGAAAAGGTATACTTCAACTTAAACACAATCAGTAGGTTTACCTTAATACTGAACGCTGTGAAAATTAGGCATGCAATACGGTTTCCTCAATACCATCCAAGGGTGATAGTTAAAGAGAAAGTGGGAATAGGTGACTGGGACTCCTATTCAGTTATTCCAAAGAAGGTAGACTTTCCTTCTGGGCTTCAGCGTTCTCCCACTGGTACTGCTACACAGCACCTTTTATCTATTACTAGCATAAATGTTTACACATAAGCTTTTCTAGTGATGCTTTTGCAAATTCATTTTGAAGGGGGAAAAAAACAACAAGCATAGACAAAAAGAACTCAGATCTGTGCCAGTTAATAACCCAAACCATTAGCACCCATCTAAAGAATTAAAGGAAGTAATCTGAAAGTAATGCAACCATTTCACTGTGGACACTCAAATACATCTGTGGATGAGATATGTAAGTAAAAGGCAAATTACAGCTTGTGAAATTTTAGATGGCAAATGGTGACATTGTCAAAGTATAGAAAACTGGCTATTTCCTTCCTCCAAAAAATAATATACATGAGAAAGATGGTAAAGACATTACCTCTGTTTTCAAAACAGATTTCTCTTTTGATGGAAAAAATACAAAAAAAAAAAATGGGCAGGAGTGTAAATACTATATAGTAGCCAAAGTTATCCTTCAAATAGATTGAAAATCCACTCAACCATGGCTTTGAATCAAATGCCATGCTCTTGGTGCCCTGCGTCTGGCCTGTAGCCTCTCGTGAGGAGGGCACCTGCCCAGCTCCATCTCCTGGGCTGCAGGCCTTCCTTCTGAAATGAAGAGTTAGTCCTGCTGTCCAGTTAAACTAGGCCTTAAAACAACAATTCCAATCAACTATGGCCAAACAGTGAACATGAAAGGAACCACATTGTGTCACTGGGTCTAGAAAGTTAAAGGGCATCACAGCTCCCATGATGCATGAAGACGTAGCTTCAAGCTTCCTTGATTCTACAAAAGGAATGCGGAAACTCCGTATACACTAGCGGCATCCATTAGAGAATCAGGCCTCTGATGAGATTATTTACATAAAAAAAAAAGTCCCTCCTCCCCCCAAAAAAGCCAACTGGTGATGGGAACAATAATTTGCTATTTGGGTATTTTTCAAAACAGCTTCCATTGGCTCAGGCCTTACCCTTCCAGAGCCCACTGCATTAGAAAAGAGAGGCACTGGATACTGTTTGGCTTACGAAGGCTTCTAGGTGCCTCCGAGACTGTGAATCTAGGAATGAACACGTGTCCAGTGAAAAACTGTCTGCATTCAATAAGTGTGATTTAGTCTCCAATAAAGACCCAACTCTTCATTTGTGCCTTTCTGGCCTTTATAAGCATTTAACTGTCATAACATCCATAATTCAGCACAGAAAAGGCATCATAGAGCATTTATTATAAATCTTACAAAACATCTAAGGCCCCTTTGCACTTTAATCATGTGATAACAGTTACAATAAGATTGTATTAAAAATTTAAACTGCCCTACTTAAGCAATTTACCTTCAAACGTCCATTTCCAGGGAATGAATCCAAGGGATATGAATGTCGAACCCCTGGACAGATTTATTGCACCAAAGAATATTTCTCCCAATATAGCTCTGATGAGTGAAGTCTAATGACTTTAGTTTTATTACTTTTTAAGCACTTAATGGGAAAATTTAGACATTTTCACAAGACTGAGCTTCAACAAGAATGGTACATTTAAAAAATGACAGGTAGGGAAAGGTCTGTAAGATTACTTTAGACATACCCAGATTAAATATAATCAGTGGAAATTTTAAGGCAATGACTAATATCACAGGTTTGCCTCTGTCATTATTAGTTTGGGTTTCTTTTTTTAAAATGTCTTAAATAATTGTCCAGAGAATATTTAGCAAAGAGTGGCTGCAGAGAATTTTATTCTTATACATGTAAAATTTTAAAGCCATTTAAAAACCCCACAGTATTTAATTTTTTTTCCCACACTTATAAACCACCTACCTTGAAGAGGCTACACAGCAGATACCATCATTATCTCAGTATAATTACCCCAGCCTCGGCCAGGATCAACTGTTTCTACCACCAACCAGACTGTCAGCGGGAGAACTATCTTCAAAATGTTCAGAAGCAAATCTAAAAGTTTTCCTTTACTTGAAGTAATTTTTCCCCCAACTTAAACCCACAGCTGTGATCCCTCAGATTTCAATTAATGCCTAGGCAGTAATCCTATCAATCACCAAGGACTATAAATTTCTTATCTTTCTCATTAGCTACACCGTTGCACAGCTTAAATATAAACATACCTTGCCACAGCACTGTAAATTACTTGGCCGAGCAACTCTACCCACCGTCAGAAGGGGCAGGAATGATTTCAGCAAATCTGTGGTGTGCTTGCTGCACTAAAGCTGATTTACACTTCTCCAAAAAAATAAAAAACCACCAAGAATCACACTGACAGAAGATCTCTTTGAGTTTGCTTACTTGGCTTAAAACTGGTAATGACCTGTCTTTATTAGTATTACTAAGTTTTATGGGCAGAATCCAATTTTCTGTGGAAATACATATATATATATTTTGCTGCATCTGCCAATGATATCTTTTGCAGTTACCTGTAGCTATTAATTTTCTTAAACCTAAATTCCTCAACTTATTTTTTAAAGCTGTAAAAAAAGAAAAAAAGCAACAAACTATCTTCTTCTTGAAATAAAATTAGGCACCACTGTATCAAGAAATGGTGAAAACAGGAGGTAGGGGTGGAGGTGGGAGGGGCAGCCCCCCCCAGGAATGTCACCTCCTATTTCAAACACTCTTTTAGGCTAACGTGGTGATACCATCACTCCAGGTCTTGCATGAACCGCTTCATCAAATTTTCTCTAAGGAGATTGTGCAGTCCAATTCTTTAATGGAATAGAGGCTATTTATGCCATTTGCTGTTAAGTACAAACTTTGCAGCGTACATTCCAAGCACGAGTGGTGAGGATTTTGCTGCTGCTGCCCTTTACAAAGCAGCTACCAGGGGTCCCGGCTTTAGGCTGCACAGTTCTGACAGCGGTCCAGGCTTCAGCCATGAGCTTCCAGTTTCCTATCACATTCACTTTATGCCTAATTTAATTCATTGTATCTTTCAAATTAAAATGGATGTAGCACATTAACTGGTTTTCACCTTCAGTCTGCAAAGCCTGTAGGTTACTGATGATCTCACCTGAAGGAAACCAGGGGCAGGGATGTCTGAGCCTCAGCCCCAAGGGCACCTCTAGCCAGGGCGGTACTGCCATCTAGTGGCCTCCGCTTTTCCAAGGAGCAGCTTGGGCTCTGGACTCGCAGAGCTGAAGGGCAGAACCCGGAGAGCCAGCGGGTTCTGAGTGCTGAGCTGAGCTCTGACAAATTCTCACATAGCCAAATATGGCATTCGAAGAGCCTGGAGGGGTAAGTGGTGACCAGACAGACTAAGGTCCTACGGGATGAAATGTAACCAATATTCATCCCCAATTATTTTTAGATTACAAACAACCCAAGAGTGGCCGAGGCCCCTCAAAAAAAGTCAAACCCAACACAGTCTTAAAAGCAGAGCTAAATCGTTAGGTTGGAGACTGTGTGAATTGTATCTTGGCGAGGCTGTATTTTAAAAATAACACAAGTCACCTGAATCCACTGATGTGTCTACAAGGATTTTTCTCCCTCGAGTCTTCTAGCTGCTCCTCATCAAGTTACTGAGGCTTCCTTGCAGATGAGTCTGTGTTCTTGGTAAATGTTCATAGGTTGCCTAACAGGGGTGGGGAGCGCCGAAGCTGACTGCCTGGGTTCCCAGCTCAGTGAGGCAATTTATGACCTGCATGATCTTTACCAAGTTACCTGGCCCTTTTGTGGCTCAGTTTCCTTATCTGTAAAACATACACACAGGATATGCTTCTTGGGGTTGGTGAGGGAAGTCAGTTGATCCATGTGAGGCACAGAGAGGGTGCCAGCCTCCTGCAGTGAGGACTGCCACGGGGCTGGAGAGGCCACAGAGATGCAGGTGACAAAGATGTGGTGCCCGGGCTGGCATCCCTAATATGAGGGTCTAGATGTGGTTGTTCCTGATCCCATGGGGTTTACAGTCTAGACCAAGAACACAGCCATCAGAGGCCACCGTCATCTCCAGGCCATGCTGAGTCCTACCTTGTGTGGGGCCCTGCTCCAAGCACTGGCAGGACCTCTATCATCACCAGTTTCCCAGATGAGGACCCTGGCACTGCGTCTCCAGTCAGGGGAGCCACATGGTAGCCGGGAATTCCGACCTCAGAACTGAACTAGGGAGGAGAGGGGGAAGAAACACTCCCTGGGAAGCCAGAAGCTGGAGCTCTATGCTCACAGATAAGGAGCGAGTGAGTGAGGGGCCTGGGGCAGGAGGAAGAGCACGGAGCAGGAAGCATGAGGACAGGGACTCTTAAGAACCTCGAAGAACCTTCTGGCTCTCAGGACCCACAGCACAGTGGTGGTCTGAGAAAGACACTAAAGAGATGCTGTCTGATTAGACGTGAAATAAAATTCCCTGCTGGCTGCACTGGTCAAAGAACTGGGGGAAATGGGTGGATACCCAAAGTGGAAAGTGCAGAAGGAAACCCAGGCGGGGCGATGGTGGCTGGGGCCAGGGCTCTGATGGCAAGGGTCGTACAAGGTACATGAACCAATACAACCTGGTGCTCAAGCAGCCACAGGGAGGAAGGGAGGGGAGTCAGAGTGGCCCAGGGGTCTAACCTGAGCCAGGGACAGAGGGGCCACCCAGCTGGGGCCCAGGTGTGATGTCAAGGACACAGCTGATATTTAAGTCTCAAGCTCAGAGAAAGGGTCTCAGTGGCCAGAAATGTGAGTGCCTCGGTGAAACACACAGATATGAGATCGCCCAGGTCTGAGGCAGAGGGTGAGGGCAGCGGGCTCAGGGCAGAGCCAGGAGGGGCCAAGGAAGTCCCCTCCTTCCAACCACTACAAACATTTCAAAGGTACAGAAAATGTAACATACAACAGATAAACCCCATAAACCCACTAATATCCAATAAATACAAGTCCTTTGCCATATTTGTTCTATCTCTGTATGTGTCAACTGAGTCAATTACATCACAGCCATCATTCGTTAACGTCTCAAACACTTGAGCGTGCACCTTTATCAGGACATCTGCCTACCTAGTCCTTATGCCAATGGCGGTGCTCTAGGAAGGTGCTGGGCAGGAGGCTTGAACGTGCTCAGGTGACAGCTGAAGGCACTTAGGACCAGCGTCGGATTCTGAGAAGGCGATTGGAGGGGTGCAGGTGAGACAGCTGTGACTCGTCCTCTATGGCAACAGGACATGGCGAGTACAGCCAGCGTAATTTGCTGGTGAAACAACGGTTTCTGCTCCCAGAGGCAGACGCAAGGCTGCCTGCTGATAACGAGGAGGCAGGTGGGAATCAGCCCCACACGGGCGCTTCACACCTGTAATTCTTCTTCTGTCCCATGTCTGCTGGTTCTGTCTCCAGCTCGGAGCAGCTCAGGAAATCACTTTTGTCTTTTTTTTTGAGACAGAGTCTCGCTCTGTCACCCAGGCTGAAGTGCAGTGGCGCAATCTCGGCTCACTGCAACCTCCGCCTCCCAGGCTCAAGTGATTCTCCTGCCTCAGACTCCCGAGTAGCTGGGATTACAGGCGCACGCCTGGCTAATTTTTTGTATTTTTAGTAGAGACAGGGTTTCACTGTGTTAGCCAGGATGGTCTCGATCTCCTGACCTCGTGATCCACCCGCCTTGGCCTCTCAAAGTGCTGGAATTACAGGCATGAGCCACCGCGCCCAGCATCACTTCTGTCTAATACTTCCTCGTTTCTCTGCAGGATCCAGCCTGGCCTCTCAAGAGCAGACGCTCACATGATAAAACGTGCTGGGAACTCACCATGTACTCAGCAAAGGGAAGCAAAGGTGAGCACGGCCCCAGCTTTTCCTGCTCCGAGGCTGATTCCAGTTTGGCGGAAAAGCCAGAGAGGTTGCAGCCAAGAAAGGGCTAGGAGAGCCTCGAGATTTTGGAAAAGGGGCTCCGAGTTGGTGCCGATGCCTGAGGGACGGGCAGGTTTTCGCTCAGAGCAAGGCTTTGAGGCTAAGGAAAGGGTGCGAGCTTGCAGTGCCTGGAGTACAAGGTGTGCAAGGGGAAGGGGGAGGGCCCTCCGCTCCCTGCAGGGCATAGCACCTGCAACACAGGAGGCTCTCTGGGAATAGCTGCTCATGAGCGAGTGACGCCCACTGGGACAGGTGGTGCCACATTCAGAGGGCGGAAATACTGGCGCCCTGCACTGCCCACTGCCTTACACACTGGCCTTCAACTTAGGAGACCCTCGACAAGAGGGGTTCACAGCCAAAAACAAGTTTGGAAACCACTATGGTAGGTGCTAGGGAGGCATCAAAGGCTTTCGAACAGGAAAGAATCCTATCTGAGCTCTGTCACAGGCAAGAGCAGAGGCCAGCACAGCAAAGATTCAGTGTGGGGTCATCTGCCTGGATACAGAAGCAGGAGGCTGACAAAGCAGTCTCAGTGACTGAGGAGGAGGCCTGGACTTCCGAATGGGCAGTAGGTAGGGGGAGAGAGGCTGAGGGAGGAGGCAACACCAGTCCTGACCACCCCTGCGAGGCCTTGGAGCCCCACCCTCCTCCCTTGTCACTCTCATTCATTAAGCCACACTGATGGAGAATTCACCACATCCTAGACACTGTGACCAGAATTTTGAAACAGGTCCACTTTTGGCCCTTGTAGATCTTCTCAAAGCAAAATCAGTTCTTAAGAGGGAGGGTCACGCATCTAATATATATTCAAAACCAAACACAACGCAGTCTCCTAAGCCGTACAATGTCCCATGTCCACACTTCCTATTAAACTAGGAAAATATCTTAGGAAAACCTTCAAAGGACAGAAGCTGGCG
Organism: Homo sapiens; assembly: GCF_000001405.40. NCBI lineage: Eukaryota > Metazoa > Chordata > Mammalia > Primates > Hominidae > Homo > Homo sapiens. Next base: position 235,775,964 of record NC_000002.12, on the reverse strand, counting down.
GTTGCACATAAGGCAATCCCAGGCACGGAAAAACTTAAACGCTTAAAAGGAATCAACAGGCCATCTTCATACTCAATTCTCTTTACCAATTCTGCACAACCTCCTTGAAAACTTATATCAGAAATTCCTAAAATGTGTTTCCAATGTTTTTCTATCTTTGAAATACTTCCAGGGGTATTAATCAATGTTTTGATTAATTACACGTACATAGAATTTAAGACAAAGTAAAGGCTCTTCCATCCCCGCAAGTCCCCAGAGAAAATTTATAACAGCAAAGTATCATCATTACTAAATTAGAGCGTGACCAGGTATGTACTGGGGTTAACACTTAACTCGGGGCGGGGTGGGAGGAAGGACTATGACACTTCTCAGTGGCCGTGAATTATTAAGGCTTTATCTCCTGGCAGACAGAGAAATCTAGGCTGACAATAACAGAGCAAAGTACATTTATTTTTCTTTTTTGTCTTTAAGAAATAGGTTCAGAAGGTAGGAAAATAAATGTTGTTTAAAAAGCTTTCTATGGTAACTCGTCCTGGAAAGGACGTCATTACACCTATGATTTAAGAGGACAGCTTTTTATGCTTCCGCTAATACAACTCACTTTTGGCTGGCACAAAATGATCTCACAGGAATTCTTTCAGTCATCAGGGCACCAAACACAGGCTATACCGATGCAAACCTCCTTTCGTTGAGGGTGACACACCCCATGACAAAATCCTGTGCCAAAGAGTGTGCTACAGTCTGGGACAGGAATCCCAAATTGGTTACTGCTCATCACTGGTTGGTTCCTGGACACCTGCAGGACCTGTGGGCTCTGTCCCCACTCACCTTCTCTGTTCCCCAGCTGGCTGCAGGCAGACAGGACAATCTCCGATGCCCCTTCTGTTCACCCAGTCCTTTTGCTTTGTCACTACTCCTGGAGCTTTCTCTCAAACTTTCCCAGAATTTACAGGGGAATCTCTTCCATAAAAAAAAATAAATTTGGCTCTCAGAAGGGAGCTCCAGCTTTCCCCAAACTGACATTTTGGCACCAGAGAGGGGTGGTGGCTTCGTTTTTGTAGCCTGGTGACAAGCACAGGAGGTGAATGAATGGGCGAGTGAATGCAGGCGCCAATCACTCAGATCAACCCACCGCAGAGATCTCGCTCATCTGAATTCTCTTTCACAAGATAAAAAGGTTAGTAATTACTTTAGGACTGCATCTGTTTTCTACTCTGAGACGTCATTGAAAAGACCAAAATAAGTTCATGTGAAATCTCTGATTGGAATCAAAGTACCGCCATAAAGATGCAGGCAGCCTGCTGCATCTAGGGTAATTGCGAGCAGCCTAACGACTATTTTAATCACTGCATTTAGGCCCAGCTCTACTTCAGAGCCCTGGCTTCATTTCCATTTTAAATGCGACAGTTTTCAGTCCTTGATCGCTTTCCTATCAGCAATTTTTAGGCTACTACACTTAAAGGTTTGGAATCTTATTTTCCCATTAGCCTACTGGTCTTGCCCAAGTCCACGCTGACTTGGGAAAAGTGACTGCCTGCCGTGATGGAAGGGAAGTACTCAACCCGACAGACTCAGCCCTTTTTAAAAACTGGAAGCAGGGGTGAGTCATGGAACTCCCTCTGCAGCAGCACCTCTATCTTCCCAGCCCTGGGCTGGCGACAGGTGTGTGAGGGACTCCTCTGATGGCTGTGGATAGGGGAGGCTGGAATTTCTGCCTTACGGATTTTCCAGATGTGCATTTTTAGTTTATAGATGTGCCATACTTTACAGAAGAAATGTCTATAATATCAAGAATAAGGGCATTTATTTATGAGTTGAATTTTCAAGACTTCTACAAATAGTTTTCTCCTAGATCTGGATATTTAATTGCAAGGCAGTAAAACAATCTGAGATTAAGAAATTTAACTTTTGTTCATCGTAGTCATAATAGTAGTAGTAATTGCTATCTCTTGGTCCTGTTTTATTTTTGTTAAAAATCTTAGAGGGGGAAAAAAAGTTGGCTGAATGGACCAGCAGGTGAGATGAAGAGTTGATTGTCTTCAAACGTAAAATATCTCAAGCAAGAAAAGAAGAAAAAAGTCTCTTCAATAAATGTTGGCAATATTTTCGAGATTTTTTTCTTTTTTTGGTGCAAGGACAGTAAAGGAAAACAAAGGGCACTCAACTAATTAGAAGATAAACTGTGATTCTCCGAAGAAAACCAGCCCCCATCTCAGGAAACTTCCATAGGAGAGGACATGACTCACCAGTCCATTCCCAGGTCCAACCACTGTTTCTAATGAATGAACTGGCGCTATTATTTAAAAGGATCAGAATCTATAGTGAGGTAGTAGAACAGAGTATGGGGGCAGGGAACCTAAGGCCGATTCACGCTGACTTCCTAGAACTAAATCGAACGAAAACCCCAACTTTCCACACCTAAGTAACAAAAGGACCTGAGGCTGCTCCCTTTGCAACCCCCTCCCTGCCTTTTCTGCAAGGCAGATGGAAAACTGAAAGTGCCTCCACCTGGTTGCTTTCTGCAACCAATCAATCAGACATTTGCATAGGAGTGTAACTTTGTAACTTTGCTTCAGCCTTTGATTGGTTGCTTTCCACAACCAATCAGACTGACCGTAGGCCAAATCTTCATTTGCATAGAAGTGTAACCTTTGTAACCTCACTTCCACCTTGGATTGGTTGCTTTCTGCAACAAATCAGACTGACTGGGGGCCATGACTTCATTTGCATGGGGTGTACACCAAATGGCCAATGGGAAACCTCTAGAGGATATTTAAACCCCAGAAAATTCTGTTACTGGGTTCTTGAGCCCCTATGCTCCGGCTGCTCCCACCCTGTGGAGTGTACTTTTGTTTTCAATAAATCTCTGCTTTTGTTGCTTCATTCTTTCCTTGCTTTGTTTGTGCATTTTGTTCAATTCTTTGCTCAAAAGGCCAAAAACCTGGACCCCCTCCACCAGGAACAATAGTAAGTTGATCTGCTTCCAAAACACAGAGGGGAGAAAAAGTGGCTACAGACAGCTTGGTGCTTTTCACTCCATATCCCAACAAAATCAAACAGAGCCATCCCGACAGCTTTACTGGGCACATAAAGAATGCAGGGCCCACAAGGACTCAGTGACCTCCTGAAGGTCAGAGAGAGACCCGCTTGCATCCCAGGCTCCGAGGGCGGCCTCTGCCTGTCTACTCGCGGCTGGTTCCATGTGAAGGCTGGTCACAGCCGCTCAGCTGTGCTCAGTCCTGTGACAATGAACTCTCTGCCTTGTGTTCAGTGTCACCCACCTTCTTAGGCCCAAGCTACAGACACATTTCAGCTATGAGAGGCATTCCCAGAAGAAGATAATCAAGAAAAGGCAGATCCATTTCACAGCTGGGTCAACTGACTAAGTGAGATGCTGAAGCACCATGAATGGGAGGACTCTGTGGTCCAGCCCAGAGTTTATCCATCCACAAGCCATAACCTACAAGTGCTGGCTTCTTGGTAGCTGACTGAGGAACAGCTAAGATGGAGATCTGATGGGGCTGGAATACATGCGCCTGCTGGTGAGGAGCTATTTGTCAACAGCTGTCTTTAGGGAAGTTCGTCAAGAGAAATCAGAGTTTCTCAGTGTGGTCTGTCATAAAGCATCAGCTCTGCTTGTCTTGTCATTAGCGGGATTATAAGAAATATCTGGGGTTGGGTGTGGTGGCTCACACACGTAATCCCAGCACTTTGGGAGGCTGACGCAGGCGGATCACCTGAGGTCAGGATTCGAGACCAGCCTGGCCGACATCCCTGTCTCTACTAAAAATACAAAAAATTAGCCAGGCATGGTGGCTGGTTAATTAATGTAATCTCAGCTACTTGGGAGGCTGAGGCAAGAGAATCACTTGAACTCGGAGGCGGAGGTTGCAGTAAGCCAAGATCGCACCACTGCGTTCCAGCCTGGGCAACAGAGTGAGACTCCAACTCAAAAAAAAAAAAAAGATAAGAAAAGAAAAAAAAAAAGAAACAAGAAACATGTCAGCTCCGGAACATTGCATTTACTTCTATTTTCTAAACAGAACAGTTATGTAATTCCATCTGAATTTTTTGTCACAGGCCTCGAAACAAGTAAAAAGGATGAATGATTAAAATATGAAATATTGTAAGGTTAAAACGACATACTGATTCTTTGAAGAGAAATTCAGAACTCATTTCTAACACTGGGGAGAGACAGGAGTGCTGGGAAGAGGGGGAGGTAAGGAGTGAGTTGGAAGAAGGAAGGAGGGAGCCCCTGACTGCACAAGATGTAACTGACGCAGATGAGCACCCACCACAACGGCCGGAGTCACACAGCCTCTCCTCGCTTCAGCTTCCTGGGCTCTAAGCCTCTCCAGGTGGGGATCACTCTTCGGGGAAGACCAGACAGGGCAGATGGAGCTCTCAAGTCACGTGAACACACGGCCACCAGTTCCACAGGGCAGAGACCGGCATGTCTCCAGTTGAAAAGCCACGCCCGTCATCTTTGCACGCCCACATGCCTTAGGTCACCCTGGCTGCATCCTGTGGCAGGTCCGTGGGTTCCTGGGGGTGCCCTGCTCCCAGCTGTGCCCACGTGTGGTGGGAGCCCCAGAGTGGCCCCAAGGCTCCTCAGGTGCACCTGAACCTTCTGCACCTATGGCGCAGCCTGGAGACCGTGCTCCCCAGCAGAAGCCCTCTGGAGGCGGCCTGCCTCTGACCATCTGCCTTAGCTTCCTGCAGCTGCTCTAACAAGTTCCCATGAACCCAGTGGCCCAACAGAAACTTAATTTTCTCAAAGTTCTGGACGCCAAAGTCCAAAATCGCCATCACTTGGCTGACAAGGTGCTGGGGGCCATGCCGGACCCAGAGACTACAGGTGAGCAGTTATCTGTGGGCCTCCCAGCACCTGCGGCGGCCGCACTCCTGGGCCATGTTAGTCCCAACATCCAGGCAGCATCTTCAAACTCCTCTGCTCCACGTGGACCCTTCTCCCTCCCTATTATAAGGATACATGCAATTGCTTTCAGGGCCCAATCAGAAGGTATTCAAGATTCTTAACCACATCTGCAAAGACCCTTTATATTTTGGACACAAAATATAATATTCGTCAATTCCAGGGATTAGAACTTGAGTATCTTTTGGGACCCCATCTTCCTGCTCACCACACCATCTCGGTACAGGGGTCAGACATTCCTGAAGCATTGGAATCTGCCACTTTGAGCTTAATTATCCTAGCACTGACTGTGATAATCCATGAAAGGCAATTTTTTTCTCAAAATCCACCAGCTTTTCTAAGCAGTTTAAATAAAAGTCTGAAATGATTCTGAGTGTTCTAAGCCTTGTCCTTCAGTTTAAGCTTCTATTTAAATCTTCTACTTTAGGAGATTTTATGATTGCGTGAATATCCATCATGGGCAATGCAGGAACCCTCCGGAGCCCCCACTTGAGAATCACTTGAACCTAGGAGGCGGCAGTTGCAGTGAGCCGAGATGGCACCACTGCACTCCGGCCTGGGTGACAGAGTGAGACTCTGTCTCAAAAAGAAAGAGGCCAGGCGTGGTGGCTCACGCCTGTAATCCCAGCACTTTGGGAGGCCGAGGTGGGCAGATCATGAGGTCAGGAGATCGAGACCATCCTGGCAAACACTGTGAAACCCGTCTCTACTAAAAATACAAAAAAAATTAGCCAGGCGTGGGGTGGCGTGCGTCTGTAGTCCCAGCTACTGGGGAGGCTGAGGCAGGAGAATGGCATGGCATGAACCCGGGGAGCGGAGCTTACAGTGGGCGGAGATCCCACCACTGCATTCCAGCCTGGGCGATACAGTGAGACTCCGTCTCAAAAAAAAAAAAGAAACAAAGAAAGAAAAAAATGTGTGTGTATATATATGTGTTATTACTAGGAGGTGGGATTATAGGTGATTTTTACTTGCTGTCTTACAGTTTCCTGTATTTTTACAAACAAGTTATTTTAATCACAAAAACATGTTTAAATGTGTGTATTCAGAAGATATGAGATACACTTGCTAATATATGAAACATACATAAGTGTGTATCTTAATAGAAATACATGTGAAGTGTAACTCTGGAAAACCAAAGTCCTTGGAAAGGACTGGATGCTCCTTGGCAGCCGAGGGCCATGTCCTCCCTCCCCTGTGCCAAAGCAGAACTCAGCTAACACAAGCCAGGCTGCCTCGGAGCGTCGCCTGTGCCTCCCCCATGATCCAGGACCAGGTGAGAGGCGGCACCTGGAGATGCCCTTTAGTCACTGCTTTCGTTTTTTTTTCACTGCCTCCCCGAGATTTTGACCACGATATTTTACAGCAATTAATTGTATATTGTGTTGGAAGGATTTCCTCTGAATGTCACTAAACTTCTTCAAGAGCATCCTAACTTATCTCACGCAACAGCATGAACGGAACAACTAACTGTTTGCATTTCTTTAACAACCATTTGGGCAAAGGGCCTGCCCAGGAAGGAGGACAGAAACCAAAGACCTGAGTGAGGCTTGTCACCATCTCCTCGCAAAACTCCAATTCCTTAAAACATTATTTAGTAGCATAAGCCAATGATGCAATGCCAACAATTTTCTGCAAAAGAGTGAAGACCACGCAAACCTTGCCACTGGAGGAAAAAGAAAACTCAAAGCAGAAAGAGTTGGGCACGCCCCACTCAGCAGCCCAGGCATGTCCTGGCTCTGGTGAGCAATGACTGCATGACCTGCCACCAATCCCAGGAGTACTCCTGGAGGGCACCGTGCCAGGCACTGGGGGACAAAAGACACGCCTGGGCCCCAAGGTAGCAGCAACAGGACTGTGTGACGGAGCTACGGGGGACGGGCACTAAGAACCCAGAAGAGGGAAAATACCCAGGAAAACAAAATATCTGAGAAAAGGATCCAAGGCTGGCAATTTCTAATCCAGTTGAATAATTTTCACTCATTTATGGTGAATTACTCGAGTACTGGGATCTTTAGTACAGTTGGTATAATTATTGGAATATTTGCTAAGGTCTGTCATCAGGAATCCTATTTCTGAGATCAGGGTTTTTCAAACTGTATTTCGGCAGCAGGTGTTTCTTCTTCTGTAAGAAACAGATCTGGGAACTCGATGAATCAGAGAGAGGAAGCTGCAGCGCTGGCCAAACTGGGGCCTGGCCCACATGGCTGCCCAGATCCCCGACAACACTGTCAACCGCTAACAGTGCTGGGAGCAGGCTTCATCCCACGGCGGCTGTGCCTACCCTCTCTACAAAGCCGTGCCCACCTGCAGGTAGGTTCTGTGAATGTGCCCCGGCACCGTGCACATCCCTGGATGCCGCCGGAGTTTACTGATTCGACTGCAACACCTGAACCTTGGGCCCCAGCTCTACCCATTGGCTCCCCACAGAATGCCCTACATCTTAGAGGATGGTAAAACATTGTCCTTTGGCACTAAAAGACTACTTTGAGAAAGCTACCCTCCTAAGGGGAATGTGGCTCTCCGCTCTGATGAAATACCCACTTTTACTTAACTTCTTTTCTCATGACTTTCTGCCAAATTTTCACTACTCTATATACTGAAAGTAGTAAAATTCTCCAAAATCTTTATAAATTCTAGACATTCAATTTGTACATATTCTGATAGAGAAAATGTTTGAAGAATACTGAGTTTGTGATTGGATCTATTTCTCATTTGAGGTACTGAAAATACAATTAGTCCCATTTTACAAATATAGAAATTGAAAGTGTTCTAATATGAGATGCTACAATTTCTCAAATTCTAATGAACCTTGTGTAGTGAGAGAAAATAAAGGGTGAAAACAATAAACAAACGAAAAACTGGTAGGGAGAAGCCCTCTATCTTAGGGTAAGAAAAACTAAGAGGGAAAAGAAAAAAACCTTCAAAAACTAGAAGACTCTGGCCAGGGATGTTGGCTCACACCTGTAATTCTAGCACGGTGGGAGGCAGAGGCGAGTGGAATGGCTGAGGCCAGGAGTTCGAAACCAGCCTGGCCAACATGGTGTAACCCTGTCTCTACTAAAAATACAGAAATTAGCCGGGCATGATGGCGTGGGTGCCTGTAGTCCCAGCTACTTGGGAGGCTGAGGCAGGAGAATTGCTTGAACCTCGGAGGCGGAGGTTGCAGTGAGTCCAAATCACGCCACTGTACTCCAGCCCGGGCGACAGAGCGAGACTGTGTCTCAAAAAAAAAAAAAAAAAAAAAAAAAGACAAGAAACTGGAAGATTCTATACCAAGATAAATGGTATACATTACAATCCCATCCGTGCTGTGCCCCCAGCCCACTGCCAACCCCACAGGGAACACAGCAGCTGCTAATCCTCTGGAAAGGTCCTACTGCCTGCAGAAACTTACCACTCTTGGTAACGGTGCTTAGATTTGTAAACGGAATATCTACATTTCCAAAAAATGATCAACTCCCGTCATGCTCCCAGGAGTGTCAGTCTGACTTTGCCTTTGAGGCTTCATCTCTCTCTGAACACGACTGCATAAAGGTAAGGTCATGGCTTTGGTCAACGGAAAAAGCAACGGCTGCACAGAGGCTGATGGTGTGGGCCGGACCCCCAGCCCGCAGAGCCTCCACGCTTGGCCCGGGTGCTCGCTGGTGCGCACGAGAAGCCTGCGCCCAACCTGCCTCCCGATTCAAGGCTGCAGACGCTAACGTGAGGTGCCTGGCCAATCACTCAAGCCAGAGAAACTCTTGGTGCATTCTGTTAAGAGAGAATGATGGGCTAAATAATAAGTCCATTTATTATACTCTATAAAGAAGTATCAGGCCAGGGTGCAGTGACTCACACCTGCAATCCCAGCACTTTGGGAGGCCAAGGTGGGCAGATCACCTGAGGTCAGGAGTTTGAGACCAGCCTGGCCAAGATGTCGAAATCCCATTTCTACTAAAAATACAAAAATTAGCCAGGCGTGGTGGCGGGCTGTAATCCTAGATACTTGGGAGGCTGAATCAGGAGAATTGCTTGAATCTGGAAGGCAGAGGTTGCAGTGAGCCAAGATCATACCACTGAACTCCAGCCTGGGCAAAAGAGCAAAACTACATCTCACAAAAAAAAAAAAAAAAAAAAAATTAGCCGGTGTGGTGGCACGCACATATAATCCCAGCTACTCGGGAGGCTGAGGCATGAAAATTGCTTGAACCCAGGAAGTGGAGGTAGCAGTGAGCCGAGATCTTACCACTGCACTCTAGCCTGGGCGACAGAGCCAGACTCCTTCTCAAAAAAATACAAAAGAAAAACTTTGTATCTTTGGCCAACTTTTCTTTGATTCTTCTGTAAAGTTACATGCAGGGCAAAATCACAGAATATATAACCACAGAATGTAGAATTCTTTAACCACAGAATATAACATTTCATCTTTTTAATTGTGTTCTCCTCCTCATTCCAATGAATGAAACTTTTTTACTTCTGCATTTGTGTGCTGCTGATCCAGTAACTTCACACGCTTTACGGAGTGTATCTTATTACAGGTCTAAATGGTCTCTTAAACCAGTGTGTTTTATTATATCTGTATTCTCCATGGTGACAGCAAAAGGAAAACATTTGCGCAGGAGAATAATCCTTAGACGCGCTTTCAATGCCCCCTAGTGGCGGTTTACTAAATTACAACAGCACTTGCATACACTGTGCTTCATGGGCCATACGGTCCTTCTAGCTCAGACCTTGTCACAGACCCAATGTCCTGTTACCCACATATTCTGTTGCATGCAGAAAACGCTCTGTGAATTTTTATTAGTTAGCTTATAAAAATAATCGATGTGTTATCGTACTGCATTTAATCCAAGCACCCTGTGTTAAAATGGCTTAAATTTTACTAAAAACAATTATAACTTAAAGGAGCATTTTATTTTAGCTCACTACCAAGTTTTTTAATGTAGCCAATGGCTTCTAAGTACGACATTCATAAAACAAGAATCGAACTGTGCAGCCAAAAGATACAGACCTAATTTCTAGCACCTGCCTTGCTACTAAACACTCTATCTGACAAGACCGGTCCTGTCCACCTGTGAAGGGAAGGGTCGAGCTAGGTGGGGTCTCTGTCCTTCCAGCTCTGAAATTCTACACATCTAGAGGTCAGGCCAGAAATGTAAGCACTACCTTGGACTTTTCATTGAATAATGAAATCTTGGTGCGGGCATGGGAGTATTTCCCAGTACCCAGATGACTATGTTGGTGTTCAATATTTTTTCTTACGGTTTACTCACAACGTTGAATGAGAGAGTTTTCTGAAACTCCAGAATTCACAGACCATAAAGATTCACTCTGAACTATGGCTGTGCTTGGAATACAGTTGGCTGGGGATGAGTCACAGCCCCTCCTGCAGACGTAGACACGTACAAGGCAAAGTGCTGCCGAACATTTAGCGGGGAAGCGATTGCTCAGCCCAGGGAGAAGGGAACATGTGGTACAGTCCGGTTGGCTGTGCTCACGGCACCAGGACTGACCACGCGGCAGTGAGCCGATGAGCCCCCAAACGAACAGTGTTCAGCTTCTCTTTTTAGGCTGGACTGCTGCTGATTAATTTACATGTTCGACTAAAAAGTGCAGGCACATGTTCCCACTGGAGGGGCCGGGCCTGTGGGGGCAGCGTGAGACTACCACCCATGGGGAAAGCAAAGCAGCTGCCACGGGCGCTCGCAGGTGCCCCCATCCCACAGACACTCCCAGATACGCCCACCCCACAGACGCTCCCAGATACCCCCACCCCCACGGACGCTCCCAGATGCCCCCACCCCACGGACGCTCCCAGATACCCCCAACCCCACGGACGCTCCCAGATACGCCCACCCCACGGACGCTCCCAGATACCCCCAACCCCACGGACGCTCCCAGATACCCCCACCCCACGGACGCTCCCAGATACGCCCACCCCACGGACGCTCCCAGATACCCCCAACCCCACGGACGCTCCCAGATACCCCCACCCCACGGACGCTCCCAGATACGCCCACCCCACGGACGCTCCCAGATACCCCCAACCCCACGGACGCTCCCAGATACCCCCACCCCACGGATGCTCCCAGATGCCCCCAACCCCACGGACGCTCCCAGATGCCCCCAACCCCACGGACGCTCCCAGATACCCCCACCCCACGGACGCTCCCAGATGCCCCCAACCCCACGGACGCTCCCAGATACCCCCACCCCACGGATGCTCCCAGATGCCCCCAACCCCACGGACGCTCCCAGATGCCCCCAACCCCACGGGCGCTCCCAGATGCCCCCACCCCACGGGCGCTCCCAGATGCCCCCACCCCACGGGCGCTCCCAGATGCCCCCACCCCACGGGCGCTCCCAGATGCCCCCACCCCACGGGCGCTCCCAGGTGCCCCCATCAGGGGTGGGAACATGCAGGCAGCCGAGCCGACTCAGGACGCAGCAGAGATAAGGAGACATGTTTGGGTTTTAATTCTTTAGCTGTTGTGGCAGTGACCTGTCAGTGACTGAGTTCTGAAATCCTGATATTTCAAACATGGAATAACAGATTTTTACGATCACCAAAGTGGGGGGGATGTGCTTTAGGTGCCTGGGAAACATGGATCTACGTGACCAAGATCCCCAGTCCAGATGGACAATGAGGAAAGGCAGAAAAGGAATAAACATGGGCAACGGGGAGGGGCTGAAGCGACCGTGGTGGGCCACAGCTCTTCCCTGAAAATCGGTTTCTGTGCATGAAAATGAAGGGTAGAGAGAGATTCTCAAGCCCTTCAGAGCACCAACGACACACAGCCATGCTCAAGGAACTGGCAGTTTTGCTTTTTCTTTGCCTCCTTTGAAGTGTACTTCAGATATTTGTCTGTAAGGTGCTCATGTGCCGATAAAAGCGCCTACCAACCAGTCGGAAGAGCTTACGGAAGCATGGCACTTCTGCCGTGGAAGTTCGCCTCCACATGTCACAGCCACACATGGGCAACCGCCACACACGGGCCGGAGCCACGCACGGGCCAAAGCCACGCACGGGTCACAGCCACGCACGGATCACAGCCACACACAGATCTTCAGACCAGTGCTCTGTGCTGTCAGCATTCTGGGGAGCACGGCTGCTCCCACCTTTGCAACCGCCTGATGACCCCAAAAGCGCGCATCTGTAAGAGCAGCAAGGACTGCCTGGGTCCCACGTGTCATCCTCAGGAGTACACCTTTCCTACCTAGGACAGGTGGGAAATCAGATAACAAAACAGATTACAGGACGTGGACTTATTTTCATATTTGGGGGTGACTTACATGAAATAATACTTCTGTGTATAAACTGATAGAGGTTTTCAAAATGAATATACCCAGTGTGGCCAGGTGCAGAAAAAGGGCAGCTGCTGGAGAACGCTGAATTAGGACAGGTCTCCTGGAAGGCCAGTCAACACCAAGGATTCAAAGCCTTAACATTCTGAAGGATGTGGACACACAGTCTCACTTCCAGAGATGGATCCTCGGGAAATTAGGAAGGACAGAGACACAGCTTTCAGTAAAGAAAACCATGCACGGAAGCACTCATCTAAATCAAATACAGAGGGATAAAAAACCAACCAAATGTCTAATTGGAGACTGGGTCCAAAAGCTGTTCTGTTTGCTCAAGGAAATGCCGTGCAAAAATCAATAACCACAGGGTGGGAAAAGTTTCACGGTCGCGGATCTCTTGTCCAAAATGCTTGGAAACCAGGGTGTTTTAATTTTTTTTTTTTTGTGGAATATTTGCAGGCTGAGCATCCCTAAACTGAAAACCTGGAATCCGAAATTCTGCGTGAGCACTTGTGTGCCATGTCTGCACTCAAAACATTTCGGATTTTGGAGCATTTCCAGTTTAAGATTTGGATTTTCAGATTAGGGATGCTCCACGTGTATGTGAAAGAGTATGCTATAAAGTCTCACAATGCATGACAGTCCATTTTTTTCAAACACGGCAGGTGCACGTGTGCGCGCGCGCGCACACATACACACACACACACACCCGAGCCTTAACAATCATTGCCCCCGGGTGGCAGTGTTGTCAGTGGTTTTTATTTCCATATTTTATATCCTTTAAAAATCATCTTTCTTCTCTTTGGCAAATTTCACAACATCCAACGTACTCACTGAAGGTTTTACAATCTATCTTTCTTTCCTGTTTTTTTGAGATGGAGTCTCACTCTGTCTCCCAGGCTGGAGTGCAGTGCCACGATCTCAGCTCACCACAACCTCTGCCTCCTGGGTCCAAGCAATTCTCCTGCCTTAGCCTCCTGAGCAGCTGGGATTACAGGTGCCCACCACTATGCTCAGCTAAGTTCTTTTTTGTATTTTCAGTAGAGACAGGGTTTCGCCATGTTGGCCGGTCTGGTCTTGAACTCCTGACCTCAGGGGATCCACCTGCCTCAGCCTCCCAAAGTGCTGGGATTACAGGTGTGAGCCACCACATCTGGCCTATTTTTCTCTTAGGAAAACAAAGTTGAAATCCACTCTTCCCAGCTGACTTTTGCTTATATCAGGGAGACTCCTAAGGCCGTCAGTGCATCGCTCTCCTCGTCACAACGCTTCGATGAGGCTCTGCATTCAATACACAAACTCACCCGATTCCAGAACCCAACCTTTAGGGATGCCCCTGATCTGCTCGGAGCCTGAATTCCTCACATCCTCTTGGAGCCAGTGTCTGGCCAGGCTCAACCTACAAGGACTATGCAAAAAATATCAAAGTCCATGAGACAAAGCCACCCTTTCTGAGGTTAAAGAACTTCACAACTTAAAAAGGATTACTATTCCTCATCTTTCATCAAGTGAACAAATTCAGTGCTGCTAACCCAGTGGTTTGTGGGTAGCTCCTCGATGAGTGAAGTTTACTTAGAAAAAAGGACCACATGGCTATGTCCATATTCTCTGCAATTTTTTTTTTTTTTTTTTTTGAGACGGAGTTTTCCTCTTATCCCCCCAGGCTGGAATGCAACGGCACAATCTCGGCTCACTGGAACTTCCGGCTCCTGGGTTCAATCGATTCTCCTGCCTCAGCCTCCCGAGTAGGTGGGATTACAGGCATGCACCATTACACCCGGCTAATTTTTTGCTTTTAGTAGAGATGGGGTTTCACCATGTTGGCCAGGCTGGTCTTGAACTCCCGACCTCAGGTGATCCACCCACCTCGGCCTCCCAAAGTGCTGGGATTACAGGCATGAGCCACTGTGCGCCCGGCCTATGTCCATATTCCCTAAGGAAAAAAAAATTATAAAAAACTTCAAAATAACTGGAAAACATCAGCTACAGATTATAACAACTTCTGACTATCCTAGTTAAGTAATATTCTCTTATTCTTTTGATCATCGATTCCATGGAGGGTTAACTAGGTCAAAAAGTACATCACTACTTAATCATTTTAAAAACATTAGAAAGAGCAGAATGCCGTGGCATTATGAACAGATTATGAACAAAAATAAAAGCCATTTGTATGCATTAATGATACATCACGCTAATTCAAGCTGGCTCAAGTCATTAGAGAGAAGTCCTGGGGCAAAACACAGCTATGATACCGCAGTGCAGAGAAGTATTAAAATAACCATTTTCTATGTCATTGATAAAATTAATTCTATGAGCAAAAGAGATGAGTCTTAACATGAAAATCAAAATAGAGAACATTTACTAATAGTGTGTTTAATGATCTAATGTTGGCAGTGTGAGAGTTAATTCAGGCATTTCTCTGCACACGTATGAGCATCTGTGCACACTTAACGTTTCTAGTAAGAGAAGCACAGCAGGAAAAATCCCAGACTTAGGGTAAGAAATTGCCAGAAGAGATCACAGGCTCTATTAACACAATATTCTGCAACATCACTAAATAACAATTTATTTATTGTCTCTGGTTGTTTGCAGCATCAACCTTAAGATTTTAAGATAATTTCTTCCTGTTATTTCTGAAAGAATCAAAATTCCTTTCCTTATAGGTTCCTTGGGTGTCACTCTATCATGTTTCATACTTGACCCCATATTGCTAAGGCCAGCAGGTGCCATCTGTAGCGTATGGAGCACAATGATAATTAAGATATTCCCTCCCCCACCTAAACATTTTCATATTAAATGGCTGGTGTTAAGCAAATCAAGCGATAGACTGAGAGAGAATCCTTTAAAAGTTGGGCTGCTGGGAGTGGTGGCTAACGCCTATAATCCCATCACACTTTGGAAGGCTGAGACAGGAGGATCACTTGAGACCAGGAGCTGGAGACTGGATTTGGCAATACATCGAGACCCTCATCTCTACAAAAATTTTGAAAAATGACCTGGGCATGGTGGCATGCACCAGTAGCGCTAGCTACTCAGGAGACTGAGGTAGGAGGATGGCTTGAGCCCAAGAGTCTGAAACTGCAGTGAGCTATGATGGCATCACTGTACTCCAGCCTGTGTGACAGATCGAGATCCTGTCTCAATTAAGAAATAATAATAAAAAGAAAGGGCAACTCTAAACAAGAAACAAGCTGATTTCATACTTCTAAGATGAAATAATTGAAATAATATTCAAAAACACTTGGATGATTTAAGGATAATCACCTCAAGCACATTCTCAAATTACTCCTGAAAATGTCTGGTGTAGCTTCATAACGAATTCTATCTTACACATTTGTATTTATTTTGTTTTTGGTTTTGTTTTTTGAGACGGAGTCTCGCTCTGTCGCCCAGGCTGGAGTGCAGTGGCGTGATCTCAGCTCACTGCAACCTCCGCCTCCCGGGTTCAAGAGATTCTCCCTCCTCAGCCTCCCGAGTAGCCGGGACTACAGGCACACGCCACCATGCCTGGCTAATTTTTGTATTTTTAGAGAGGGGGGTTTCGGCATGTTGGCCAGGCTGGTCTCAAACTCTTGACCTCAGGTAATTCGCCTGCCTCAGCCTCCCAAAGTGCTTAGATTACAGCTGTGAACCTCTGCGCCCAGCCCATCTTCTGTATTTGTATTTACCGAGTGAATATGGAAGATTTTTGTCTCAGTTGATGTGCCAGAAGCTTCTCTCATCAGTAAAACATGTGCTTTTATAGCTTCATGAGGGTAAGAATTTTTCAACCCAAACTAATTTTTTTCTAAAAATAGTAACTCAAAAGTATTTTTCATTTTGTTGGATTTTTTTAAACCTCTGAATGTATGGTTTACTATACAAAAAGCTTTATTTTAGTTTTGGTATTAATTTGCTATTTCAGTTTATAATTTAACCCTGTTGTAGAAAGAGCTTCTTTGGTTAAGAACTGAATTCGAAAATGCATATGAAGAAAGGAGTTGACAATGTCATGTTTCATAAAAATGATCACCATCAAACATTTATGTATTTTCCCATCCAAATATAAACCAGGGATATGGCATAAGAGAAAGACCCACACAAACCCACCAAGGCTTCTTCCTCACATGTGCGCCCCCACCAACAGGCTGAATCAAGTCTCCTTACAGTCAACAGCAGGTCTGCACCTCTCCCATTCGCTGGGAGATAAGCTACTAGGCAGGTCAGATGTGGCTCTTCTGGAGACCATCTGCAGATTCTCACATGCACTGGATGGCCCTACATGTGAAGCTGCCAGGGCCGGGCGCGGTGGCTCACGCCTGTAATCCCAGCACTTTGGGAGGCCAAGGCGGGCGGATCACGAGGTCAGGAGATCAAGACCATCCTGGCTAACACGGTGAAAGCCCGTCTCTACTAAAAATACAAAAAAATTAGCCGGGCGTGGTGGCAGGCGCCTGTAGTCCCAGCTACTTGGGAGGCTGAAGCAGGAGAATGGTGTGAACCCAGGAGGTGGAGCTTGCAGTGAGCTGAGATCACACCACTGCAGTCCAGCCTGGGTGACAGAGCGAGACTCCATCTCAAAAAAAAAAAAAAAAAAAAAAGAATGACATCAACAACCCTAGGGCTAACGACACCAGAATGTCTCCCAAACCAGCATCAAACCCCCTTATATGACCGGGTGCCATGGCTCATGCCTGTAATCCCAGCACTTTGGGAGGCTGAGGCGGTCGGATCGCTTTGAGCTCAGGAGTTCGAGACTAGGCTGGGCAACATGGCAAAACCCCATTTCTACTAAAAATACAAAAACTAGCTGGGTGTGCTGGCACGCACCTGTAATCCCAGCAACTTGGGAGGCTGGGGCGGGAGGACGGCTTGAGCCCAGAAGGCAGAGGTTGCAGTGAACCAAGATTGTGTCACTGCACTCCAGCTTGTGTGACAGTGAGACATTGTCTCAAAACAAAACAAAAACAACACGCCTTACGTGACTTGATCATTTAACTCTTGAAGAATGTTTTCTGCTCAGCCCCCAACCCCCATTTGTATTGGTACCGCATAAGTGCTGCCAGAGCCTTACAGAGGTCACTTTCTTCATGTCATCTTTGTTCTCAGAAAATGTTCAAATATGAACCCCCTTAATGAAGTGTAATTTAAGCAGCTGAACCTCTTTCATACTGTCCCAATACACATCTACCACCCATCTGTCCCAGGAAGTCTTAGAAATAAGACTTTCAATGTGTGGAGGGGGTGAGGGTGTAGAGACGGGGACAGTGATGAGTACAGGTGCACAGCCAAGACCACAGGTAGAAACGGGAAATGATGGCCTCGCCTGACACCAGCTGCACCATGTACCTCTGGGAAGGCAGCATTTCCAACAATGTAGTCCCAGCTGTAAACTGGGCCTAATAAGATCCACTATCCTACATCATAAGCCGTTAAATTGTTGCATAATTATTAGTCATTACTACAAGTGATTAAAAAATGGACAATTAATGACCCATTAATCCACCTTTTCAACATATATCAAGTGCCTAATGTACACATATACATGGCTTGCTTTCAAGTGTAAAAAATCTTATTTTTTGAAGTATTCCCTCGCTAACACACATATACACACACACATGCACGCATGCACACACACACTAGTTCCAATCTAATCTGTAATAAAGGAGAAAAAAATAGCAACAAAAACAAATCATAAAACAGGCCACCCCGACAATGAAAATTAAGCTGATTTCAGGAAAGAATGGAATAGGCTTAACTGATACATCCTTTAACAGCACAAGGACTGTGGTGTGAGCAAAACAAAATGGTCCAAGATGATGCAGGACCCAGGAGAAGAGGCCCAGAAGACTGCTTACATTCACAGATGCTCTAGTGCGTGCAATTAGGTTGCACAAACGGACTCATTAACATAGCTCCCCTGGTTCTGGACACTCCTGTAATTAGGACCAGGCAGCTGCAGCCATTTAATGTGAGATGGGGTTCTTTGCACACACCAGGATTTCAATCTCTGGAAGCAAAGCATCAAGAGCACACCGAGGCTCCCTGACTTCCCGCACAACCTTGGTAAAAATCATGCAACCTCTCCCAGCTCGGGCTCTCGGCATGGGTTAGATAGGCCCAGGTGAGCCGTTACTGGGAAGGGACAAAAGACAAATGGAATGGCTTCTATAAAAGTGCTTTCCAGAATGTTAACTGCAGCACAAACATAAAAAGCCAGGGGCAATGAGGTCAAAGGACTGACATGGATCTGCCTAGACCAGGAACTACTCTACCAGATAAACACCCATCCACCAGGACGATGTACACAGCGTGTGAACAGAGGAAGCCCTAATAAGCCACAAGGCTGTGGCCACACTAGCACCTGGCACACAGAGCCCGGGAGCACTAGCACCTGGCACACAGGGCCCGGGAGCGCTAGCACCTGGCACACAGCGCCCTTCCAGTGCCACTGCCCAGCTTTCCCATACACCTAGAACCTACTGTCTCTCCCTCCACAATAATGCAGATCTGTTCTAGGACAGAAGTCTATGTGAGATCACCAAACTGGCCCTGGAGACCGTTAAGCAGAGAGATGATAATTTGTAATTTATCTCTTTGACATGGATCTTGACCTGGTCTAACAACTACTATCAAAGTTCTGCATGTAGGTTTTCCTATGGTCATATGAATACAAGCTTAAGACGCTGACGTTTTGGTGGGGAGCACGTCCTAGCACAGTGCAGATCATATATCTAATGTGATGTTCTGAACTGGGATTTAACAAGTGACTAGAAGGTTCAGAAAATGCATGCAAGAATATTAAATTCTATATAGCAGCAGTCCCCAACCTTTTTGGCACCAAGGACTGGTTTCATGGAAGACAATTTTTCTGAGGATCAGGGGTTGGGGGGCAGGTGGGGGATGGGGATGGTTTTGGGATGAAACGGTTCCACCTCAGCTCGTCAGGCATTAGAGTCTCCTAAGGAATGCGTAACCTAGATCTCACGCATGCACAGTTCACAACAGGGCTCGTGCTCCTAGGAGAATCTAAGGCTGCTGCTGATCCGACAGGAGGCGGAGCTCGGGGAGTAATGCTCACTTGCAAGCTGCTCACCTCCTGTGCAGCCTGACTGGGGACCCCTGCTGTATACAAAACATGCTGGGATGCAAATAAACAATCCATGCATAAAACCACACTGTGGACCACTCACGTACATCTTTATCAGCTCATTCTAGGAGAGGGGGAGTGAAGAGAGAAAGGGCATCGAGCTGCTTGGAGAAGAAATGAAAACAATTCTTTGTACCACTATCAGGTTGTACTCCTGATTGCCTATGAAAGGGAAACCCCTCTTTCTTTAGGAATCAGGGGCCTTTAAAATCCCACATGCCATACAGCTACCACAAAGACACCATAATTTAACAATCATAAACTATGCCCAATAAAAGTTAGGGTGCATTGGCTCAAGAATGTCAAAACCAACAAAAAAACCCTGATCCTGTCTCCCCGATTGAACAGATGCCACAACACAGGCCCCTGTGTTCCTCTGTGGCACCGCCACCCGCAGCAGAGAAAGCTCCGAACACGCTACTCAGGAAGACGAGAAACTCAAAGCATTTGAAGACAGGCTAAAATTTACACTCTCCAAAACCTAACTGCAGGGAACGACAGTGCTGAATGCACCATCTCCAAGAATATACAGGCAGAGCCCGCTCTCCACTCTCTTCCTCCCAAGGTGCACGTGTAATGCTCAAAGGGGCCCTGTTGCTACCTATACACAGCTTGCTACCACCTTGAACATGACTTGGCCTTCTGAAGGGAGGATTTATTTTTGTCACTAAGTTATAACTATTTTAGGTGACCTTTCAGCATGTAGGCTGAAAAATCCCATCACCAAAACTATACCCTTCCTGACCTTCCGGAGACCTGACTACAGTCCCATGTCAGACACACACTCTGTCTGTCCAGAAGAGCTGCTTGCTGCCACTCAGAAAGCTGCTTCTTCATATGAAGTGGGAAAAATGTCTCTTTAAAGAAGAATCGCAAGCTGGGTGCAGTGTGTCATGCCTGCAATCCCAGCACTTTGGAAGGCCGAGGCCAGAGGATCACTTGAGGCCAGGATTTCAAGACCAGCCTAGCCAACATGGCAAAAACCAGTCTCTACTAAATAGCCAAAAAGTAGCTGGGCATGATGGCGCACACCTGTAATCCCAGCTACTCAGGAGGCAGAGGCAGGAGAACTGCTTGAACCCGGGAGGTAGAGGCTGTAGTGAGTCTAGATCGTGCCACTGCACTCCAACCTGGGTGACAGAGACCCTGCCTCGAAAAAAGGGAAGGGGAAGGGGAGGGATCGTAGGACCAGAGGAACAATGTCTACATGGAATGAACTTTATTTTTCTGTAATCCTTCATGTTCATGTATCCAGGCCCTAGGAGAACAAATCAACAGGGACTTTTGAAAAATTTAATGCCAAACACTGAAATCACCATTTTAACTTTAAAAATAGAAAAACTTGTATATAGGTTATTTCCCAGTTGCAGGAAGAGGCAAACAGAGCCATGCAGAATCTGACAGGCACAGAGCCGCTGGCTGTGAAGCAATCTAGGAACGAGAGCCCTGTGCAGTCCCTGCAGACGGACCTGCAGCCCCCAGCTGCCAAGTCCGCACATCCAGCCCGCCCCAGCCCCCAGTGCCTCCCTTCCCCAGGGCTCTGCTGAGAATCCAAACGGTTGGGTACCCACAGCCCACGTCCGGCTCAGCTGCCCAGGTCAAGCAGAAACCATCTTGTGGAACCAGCTCACCCAGCCCCGCAAGCCACACAAACTCGCCTGTGAGCAGGAGCGAGAACGCTCCACCCCCAGAAAGCAGCCTGGGCTGCCACACTTCTTTTCCACCCCTGAGCAAGACACAAGGTCATGTTTCTGGGTGACCGTTTGATGTTTACCCTCCCTAGTGGACCTTAACTTCACGGAGGAAGGGACCCTGCCTGCGCTTCCCAATCTGCCTCTAGCCCCTGACCAGACGCACAGTGTGTGGGAAGCTGGTGCTCAGATGAACGAGTGACTGGGTGGATGAACCAGCCTGCTAGGCTGCTTCCCAACACCTACAGCCACTTGCCAGTAGCCATCTGGAAACTCCATGAAAGCAAAGTAAACAGGACCACACAAGCGAACAAAAAGTGAATGCAAGGTTTCTCCATTCATTTTTACAATGTCCTTTTGTTACAAGACACTAAGAAGTCAAATGTTGGAGAAGAAAGAATGAGGTCCCTGGCCTTTTAAATGAACCTCGGTACAGAGCCAATCAGGAACATGGCCTCCGCAGGGCAATGGAAGCAGCTGGATTTTTTTTTTTTTTTTATTTACAAGCCAAACATTATGTAGAAATTACACGCTTTTCCTTTATGTTTTCTTTCTACCATATACAGGTATAAAAAGTAAATAAACAAAGTAAGCCCTAGGGCAAAAAAGAAGCCAGAGAGTTATCAAGAAATGTGAATAAACTGAGTCGGCGAGCAGGCAGGGGCCCTGCTGGCTGGGTGCATCCCCTGCAAGGCCCTCCCCAGACCTGTGGGCAAAGCTGGTGTGTTCTTAAGGCCCCAGGACCTGATTTGCTTCCATTTTAATGACAAAATGTCCCGGTGCTGTGGTTAAGTCGAGGCTCTCAGGTCCCAAGATGGGGGATCCAGTCCAGGCTGTGTCCCTTTGGGTCAAGCTATGTCATTTCTCTGAGCCTCAATTTCTTCAACTTTATATAAACCTTACAATGTTTAACTTTCCTTGAGGATTTTTACTTTGTTATTAAGGATTGCTAAGTACTGAATAAAGCTCCTACTCAGCAACTACTTTTCTCACTAACAATGAGAGTGTTTGTGATTTACATGAAAATACATATACAAATAAGAAACCATATACCATATAACTATGATATAAAATATACAAAGTAACTGATTTTATTTTAAAAATGTTATCTTCATATGAAAATATTTTAAGGACAAAAAAATCGCAATAGTCACGGAAGTTGTAGCTTCACAGGTATTTGCTTTTCAAATTCCATAAAATCCTACTTTTTTTTTTTTTTGAGACAGAGTCTCGCTCTGTCACCCAGGATGGAGCGCAATTGTGCAATCTCAGCTGACTGCAACCTCCGCCTCCCAGGTTCAAGCGATTCTCCTGCCTTGGCTTCCTGAGTAGCTGGGATTACAGGTGCCTGCCACCATGCCCGGCTAATTTTTTGCAATTTTAGTAGAGATGGGATTTCGCCATGGTGGCCAGGCTGGTCTCGAACTATGGACCTCAGGTGATCTGCCCTCCTCAGCCTCCCAAAGTGTTGGGATTACAGGCCTGAGCCACTGCGCCCAGCCAAAATCCGAATACATAATGAGAGTGTATTATTTCTATAATACGAAACTGGAACGGAAATCTCCTGTGCCCATGAAAACGGACACTCATCACAGCATCACCTGGGGAGGTGCGACATGAGCTGTCACAGTAACGGAAACGCTTTTTCTGAATATTTTAAACTAATATTTAGAAATATCAGTCCTTATTCTCCTCTTGCCACCCCCAACCTGAAGAAAACGAAATGCTTCCAACACAGAGGTGGGTGGCTGCCTGTCCTCTGCCTTGAACGTGCTGGGTGTGGTATGGAACTCAACCCAAATTCTTATACTGAAATCCTGACCCCCAGGGGAATAAGAGGTGGGGCCTCTGCCAGGTGACTGATCACAAGGGTGGAACCCTGTGATGGGTTAAGTGCCTTTATGGGAAGGGACTGGCGAGGGCTTGTGTCCTCTGTTCTCCACTATGCAAACACATATCCCACTAGGAGGATGGCCCTCAGCAGACACCACACCCACCAGCACCTGGCCCTGGACTCCCATCCTCCGTAAGTAGGACAAGTAAAAGTCTGTTGTATAAGCCACTGGGTCTTGTTAGAGCAGCCAGAACGTACAAAGGCTGTTTGGCAGGAAGGCAGCATCATCCTGACAACCCCCAGTATTCATTAATTGACAACATTATTTTTATAAGAAGCACTCATCAATTTATGGAAAACTCATGTATGTTAACCGTGATAAATACAAAAGCAAAGGAGTCACTGTGGAAACTAAACTTATCCAGACAACTGAGTCCCTGATATCCTGCATCGGGGACCGGCAAGCTCTCTGCACGGGGCCAGAGAGTGAATATTCTGGGCTTCTCAGGCCGCAAAGACCCTCATCTCTGCTGTCACAGCTGGAGAGGGGCCCAAACCCGCTGCAGCCCATCGACACAAAGCGTGGCTCTGCGTCATGAAAAGTCTATTTACAGCCAGGCGCGGTGGCTCATGCCTATAATCCTAGCACTTTGGGAGGCCAAGGTGGGCAGATTGCCTGGGCTCAGGAGTTTGAGACCAACTTGGGCAACATGGTGAAAATCCCATCTCTACTAAAATGCAAAAAATTAGCCAGGTGTGGCAGCGTGTACCTGTAATTCCAGCTACTGGGGAGGCTGAGGCACAAGATTTGCCTGAACCTGGGAGGCAGAGGTTGCAGTGAGCTGCCATCACGCCATTGCACTCCAGCCTGGGCAAAGAGCTAGACTCTGTCTCCAAAAAAAAGAAGAAAAGTCTATTTATGAAAACAGGCAGCTGGCCTCATGCACGGGCCTGGGGACCCTTCATCTACGACGCTTTACTTCAACATTCACAGGGGCCTCGGCAGCGCAGCGGCCGACAGTGACCTTGCTCCATTAGGGTGCACCTCTCAGAAGAGCTCTAAGGGCCTCCCTGCACAGTTCTTCCAAGTCTCACTAACATCTCACTCATGTTCACCAGCACGGCTTGAAATGAGGTTTACTCCCCACAGGACATTCTCCCGACAGAGGCAGCAGGAGGTGCCCGAGATATACGTTAGTGGAGGGAAGAAGGGGCTGTGGGACCCCAGCGACTTTGTGCTGATCCTCAGGGGACCCTGCGCTTCTTCAGCATTGGCACTGGATAAGGCGAGAAGAAACCTAAGCCATGAAGCAGTAACTAGGACCAACGTGCTGAAAAACAGGTAAGTATCTGAGAGGCAGAGATGCGCGGGAAGAGACGGCAGGCTTAGAAAGGAACCTCACTGCTCCAGGAAAGAAAATGTGAAGTTTGAGAACTGATGTCATCTTTGAAACTGAGTTGAACAGTGAATGTACAGAATCCCTACAATTTCATCTGAAGACTAATTTAAACATGTAATAGAAAATTGCCCCATTTGGAGGAAGTCCCGGGAACAGTCCTGCAGCCACTGCTTTCACCGTGGGTCTTCAAGGTCAGAGCGCGGCGAGTCCTCCATCACCTTGAAGCGGCTCCAGCACTCTCTGGAGAGCCCGAGTGTGGCTGCCCTGCTCTGCCCCCGACAACCCCCTGGGCACCAGAGCAGGGGGACAGGTGGCTCTGCCCCCATGGATTTAAACCAGAAGGGGAGAGGACCCTACAAGTGACTTCCACCACTCCCACCAGCAAGGGGACCCTCTGCCAGAACCATGCCTCTCCCAAGCTTCCAACTTGAAAAGACTGGCTTTAGAAGTATCAGTCCTTATTTACCCCAGACCCTCCTATCCCCAGGGTGACGCCACCTCTCCCGCCCACCCCACGCATCTGCACAGGCTCCTCTCTCATAGACGACGTCTGGCGCTATGATCATCCACAAGTATGTGACCCTCTTGCAGAACCTCATGCTCTCCTAGGAGAATTTTCTGTCTGATTTGTGGCTGTTCCTGAAGGTAGGTGATCAATAATGAATAAAATAACCTAAAAACAATTCCAAAAGGCTGGTCCTCACCCTCTGCTGTGAGTGGTATCGTGTCATTTTATTATTTTTTTGGTGGGGGGAGGTCCAAACTTGACTCTCTCTCTCCTCCTTTCAGTTCTCTTCTCAAAGCCTAATATCAAATATTTAAACTGCTTTAAAGGACGGGACTGGATTAAGAATGGGCAATTACAATAAAGAAATGCTCACAAACAAGTTTTACAGAGCACATGGATGAGTAACAGCTCAAGAAATGTTCTATCCTGTACACAAAAAGGCCCCATAGGAGACACACAGACCCAACACCAGGCTGTTCTCAAGCCATGCCTTGTTGTCTCTTCTGAACACAGCACTGTTTATATGAAACATACCTGAGAATTGCCTCTGGAATGGACTGCTCTCGATACTAATGCCCACCCATCAACGACATATTTCCACCACCCACATGCACAAGTGCAGGCAGGACTGACTTCTTGAAGTGCCTCCCGTCTATCATGAACTGAAATTAAACTCCCAGCCACGCGCATTTACCGTCCTGGAAGACCCTCTCCACATTCAGCCCGTATGTAGCACACGTCTCGTAGTACGTGCACCGTTTCAGGTCGTTGGAGAGCTTCCTCGCCCTGGCGTCATCGATGACCCTCGGGTTAGCAGAACTTATGGCATCTGGAACAGAAGACCAAAAAGTAACGGCACAGTGACAATGACAGCTCTAAATACTTCCTACACTCCCCACAACACGGAAAACCAGTACCTTACTCAGCAGAAATGTAATTAGTTTATGAATCTGGAATTGTAGAGCATCGTTTGCCTCCCAACTAAGAGACTCAAACACAAGAGAAAGTTATTCATTCGTAGATATTTGTTTTACAGGAGCGCTTCTGAAACTGCAATTTTAAAATGTTCAGAAAGAAGGAAAAAGACTTAAATATGGGTCTAGAGGATACATACTTTAGAAAGGAGGAAAAACCACACACACAGTCCCTATGTGCAGGCCCCCTTCTGTGCACCACGCAGGTGGCTAAGCATACTCCCTACACTGGCATTCTTCTTCTAGGTGTGGTCACTTGTCCAATGACGCACTTAATAAATGCTCACTGAGCCCCCATTTGGGGTTTGTTTCTGTTCTATGCACAGGGATACCCCAGTGAATTGTTGAAACAGACACAATCTGCACTCTCATGAAACAGACATTCTAGTTGGCCAGAGAGGCAAGCAGAAAAGAAAGATGAATGTGATGAATGGTTCTGAATGTAAGATGGCCACACTGTTAACTGATGCCGGGAAGGAGGTCAGGAGGCTTGGGTGACTCTGGGTTTTAGAGCAAGAGGTCAGGGAACCCTCACCTGCAGCAGGTGGGGCGCAGTAGGCACTGCCTGGGGCAGAACGCCTGAGGCAGAGGGCAGCAGGACAGCTGGTGTATATGAGGGAGATGTAGGGGTGAGGCCTAGAGGGGTGGGAGGGAGGTGTGTGGAGAGGGGAGCAGCGAGTCCCCTGAGGTTTTGATGGACCCCCTCAGGGTCACAGGTGACCTGGATCCCCCCAATCTAAGTCATGTGTGCACACGGGGGCGTTTGAGCAGCTGCACAGGGATGTCGGCACCAGTTTCCTAAAAAAGAAACTGAGCTTTTTTTTTTTTTAAGCTCAGCTGCCAGGATTCCCCACCCCCAGCCCTGCCCCATCCATTCCATTACTATTGAGTTACAGTGGCACGTGGAACAGAGAAATGAGGAGCTGGAATGTGAACAGCCACAGGGCTTAGGGAGGAGAGAGGACTTTTCACAGACAGCTTTTTTTTTCTTTTTTTTTAATGAGATGGAGTCTCACTGTGTCGCCCAGGCTGGAGTACAGTGGCGTGAGCTGGCTCACTGCAACCTCTGCCTCCTGGTTTCAAATGATTCTCCTGCCTCAGGCTCCCAAGTAGCTGGGATTACAGGTACTCACCACCATGCCCAGCTAATTTTTTGTATTTTTAGTCGACACGGGGTTTCACCATGTTGGCCAGGCTGGTCTCAACTCCTGGCCTCAAGTGATCCACCCGCCTGGGCCTCCCAAAGTGTTGGGATTACAGGCGTGAGCCACTGCGCCCAGCCTTCAGAGACAGTTTCCTAACCTGAATCTTTTTCATAGGGCTTGAAGGCTCTTATGCCAAAGAAAACAATAAACAACTCTTTAAACAAAAATCCACCAACAGGATTTCTCCACCAGTCAAAGAAATAGCAGCAAAGTTATACAACAGAGCGACCACCTTTGACATTTTATTTTTGTGGAGAAAGGGCATTTGAGAACTTCATTTTTTGAAGTATATTTAAAAAGTGATGTCCTGAGGAATTTATTCAGTTTTTTCTTTTCTCTTTTCTCATGTTATTTTCTTAGCCCTATGAAATAGGGTTGGGCTGACGTTTCCTCGTTACTGGAAGGCAAGTGAACTCTGCAGTTAAGGGTTTCTTCTCTGACAATCACCACTACAGCCTCCATAGGCTGCACCCCCGTTCCAGGGATACGGTCAAAGGGCACCTCGTCCTGCCTTCTTGTCTTGCTGATTAGTAAATCTGACTTGCATTTCACAACATTTAAGAAAAGAAAGTTTTTTTTTTAAGTATAAACATTTCTTTTTAATTGTAAAAAGAAGTTACAAGTCCATGATGTTTCAATGCTCTAGGATAATTTTGAAAACACAGGCCACATAGCATCCACCCAGCTTCCATGAGACCCTGACCTGCGGCCGAGCAATCCCGCAGCCCCTCCGTCCTCAGCGGCATGCTCGCTTGGTTTCTGTCAAATTTCGGCTTCAAAGGTGCACCACGGGAATCTCTGCCACTGCACCAAAACGGGCTTCTGCACTCGCATTTCGGTTCTATACCTGTCTCATTTTCATTCCACTTTTAACTCCGTAGCTTTTTACAGATCGTGCTTCTCCCTCAAATCAATTTAATTTGCAAGTCTTTAAAACAGAACTTGTTTAACAAACATTAAATGATTACCTCATTCATTCCCATCTTGCCCAATTATGAACATTCGTGCAGTCCTTGGCTACTGCCCAGAAAGAGCTCCTGCTGGCAGAGCTGCCCCTCCCGCCAGCGGGCGGAGGCCTCACCCCAGCCCAGGAATCCTTTGGCAATGAACCTAATTCCTCTTCCGTTCTTTCCCATCCCATATGCTCTGACCTCTAACGCTGCCTACCCCAAAGCAGCAGGAAGAGAAATGCCAGGTGCCTTCCTAGACAACCTGATCCCTCTTTTGTCTCTGGCATCCCAGGAAGCCAAACCCCTGAAAGAGCAGCCGAGCACGGGCTTCACGGAGAGCAAGTCTGCACGCAGGAAGCAAGCGTCGCGGCAGGGACCCTCAGAGCCCACGTGCATGCCAGCTTCCTGCCATCAGGCTTTCTGGGGTGCTCCCTGAAGTCTAGGGAAGGACCAAGAGAATCCCGCAGGTGAGGAATACAGCCCTGATTGCAACTTTTCGTTCTGGTTCATCTGGGGGTGGCCCAGCTAAGAGGAGTCCTGCAGGGAGGGCATGGGGCCCGCTTACCTGCTCACCCCGGGAGGGCGTGGGGCCAGCTTACCTGTTCACCCCGGGAGGGTGTGGGGCTGACTTACCTCCCAACCCCAGAGGCCACCCTCGCACACGCACACACTCCCCTGGGGCCTTCCTGGGCATCTTTCCACATCCGATCAACGGATGTTCATGGAATTCATGGGAATAAATGGGGGTACTTTCTTTTACTCAAGGACTTCAACTTCATCAGGGTTTCTCGAGAATCTAAGCAGCCACCCTGGCAGGAGGCTCGATGTGCCCCTTGGCTCAGGCAGGAGACTCAGAGGGATACGCTGCCTCCAGGGGCAGGGACAGTGGGGGGTGGGGTTCAGGATTCCAGGCAGGACCCTGGAACACTGGTCGCAGATTGAAATATGAGGAACAAAAGCAGCCATTGTTAAGATGCCTATCACATACCCACGGATGCACTGAGTGTCTTCTGGGAATTCCTGTTGAACCCCACCAAAGTCCCAGGTGTCAAGGTCACCCAGCCAGCAGCCAGTCACACGCAGGTGTGTGTGGTCCCAACTCCCGGGATCTCAGACACTCCCTTCCTACTGATGGAACATGGATGTGTACTCAGAACTCAGAGAACAGAACCTGATCGCAGGGGATCTTTCCAGGCTGGGAACTTCACTGTCACTTTTCACAGTGAGTCTAAGCAAAAGCCCATTCTGAGTCCTAAAGTCAAACCTCCTGAGCTCCAGCAGCCTGTGAGTGGTGTCTGCACACACAGCCCCGAAGGACCCTGCTCAAAAATGCCACGGTCGGGCCTGCAGGAAGGGGAGCTTATTCGGAATTTCTCTATTCGACTTCAAGGCAGCTTTAAGCAGAATCTGCTGTGGATGAGCATCCACTTTAAAACACGATTAGGCATTTTCAAGATGCCACCTCAAATACGGCAACTCTGCATTCTCACAAGAACCAAGGACTTTTGGGTGGTGCGGCCTTGTCTCCTGGTGAACACTAGAGGGTGCATTAGGCCTAAGAATCCCTCCTCCCTTCTGTGTTAGGATTAAACAGAGCTCTGGCTCTGAAGGTTTCAGGAGTGAGAGCGACCACGTACGCTTTAAAAAAAAAAAAAAAAAAAAAAAAAAAAAAAAAAGTTGGGGGAGGTGCTCTCCAGGAAGCCCAACTCTAACATCTCTCATCTAGCACACTGAAAAGATACTTATAGTTTTGTTTTTTTTTTCCCTTGAGATGGAGTCTCCCTCTGTCTACCAGGCTGGAGTGCAGTGGCACGATCTTGGCTCACTGCAACCTCCATCTCCCCAGATTCAAAAGATTCTCCTGCCTCAGCCTCCCAAGTAGCTGGGATTACAGACACCCGCCAACATGCCCGGCTTTTTATTTTTTTGAGACAGAATCTCACTCTGTCACCCAGGCTGGAGTGCAATGGCGTGATCTCAGCTCACTGCAACCTCTGCTTCCTGGGTTCAAGTGATCCTCCTGCCTCAGCCTCCTGAGCAGCTGGTATTACAGGCATGCACCACCATGCCTGGCTAATTTTTCTATTTTTAGTACAGACAGGGTTTCACCATGTGGGCCAGGCTGGTCAACTCCTGACTTCAACTGATCCCACCTGCCTGGGCCTCCCAAAGTGCTGGAATTACAGGCGTGAGCCACCACGTCTGGCTGGAAAATGTTTGTGGTTTATGCCACACTATTTATCTGGGCTTTTGTAGGTTCGTGATCAAGCAGCCAATCATCTGCCTGGGCAACCTCCTACTTAGACCACACCTAGTGCAGTATGTACAGCTGACGTCCTAAAGAGAAGCGTCTCACATCAGAGCATGGATGGGCATGTCAGATAGGCTCATTCTAAAAGAATTCGCAAAACAGTCTATTCATAGCCACAACAAAAATGAAGGGATATACAATTTTTCCTGATAGGATTATTTGTATGTTACCCATATTTCTGACAAAGCAGTTGTAAAGCTAACCTCCATCTGACTTTTACAAACATCCTACGTGACATCTTAGACCCTAGTGGCAGACCCAGCACAACCATAGGTCTGTGATCAAGAGCGAGGACATTGTGTCTCAGGCCATGTGACGGCCACTCCACTAAGAGACCAAGTTCGAAGTGACCCTCAGAGAAAACAAGAAATGTGCCCAGTTGGATTCTCTGTCTGAGGGGCCTGTCAGATTAAAAATAAGATACAGATCATAAGACGGTGACAAACAGAACTTAATAAACAGAACTGCTCTATGTTCAAAATCAGCACTATTTTCAAGGTGCACTGAAAGATAAGCTTTAATAGATTGTTTATAAATCATTTTATAGAACAGAGAATTAAAATATAGCAGAAAATATATATATGTATTTGACTATATATATACAAAACATATACACACACACATATATATTTTTTTTCCAGAAAACAAGGGAAAATAGATTTTATTTTTCATAAAGCACCTGGGATATGTGTGTGTGTGTTGTTTTCAGGTTGTTAAATGAGTGGTTTCACCATAGAATCAAATCAGGAAATGTGATCATTTCAGTTCCATAATTTTTCCCAAAAAAGTGAGCGTTCAGTAGGCAATTTTTCCTTCTTTAAAGCATTTTTTAAACTCCTCCATACTGAAAATATGTAACTGTTAGAACCCTTTCAAAACAATCTGCACACGAACATCACTCACCCTGGGTTCCCACCAGAACCAGAGGAATCTCGCTCGTGTTCCGATAGTTGGCCATTCGACTGTAGTAGTGGTAAACGGTCTGGAAACTTATTTCATCCTCCAAGCTGAAGACAAATATAACAGCGTCCACCCACATGGCAAACTAGGGAGAGAAGAAGGGGAGGAGAGCAGGAGCTGAGTGAGCAGGCTTGATTAAGAACAGAGATGTCTGCATGGCGGCAGGCAGCAGGGGGCTGCAGGAATCCCCTCGGTCACACACTGGGTGCTTGACTTTTGACTGTCACTTTTACACACTGTCACGGCATCCACGTCCTCCTCCTGAGCACACCATGCCTGGTGTTCCCCTTGGGAATGGGCCCTTCATCCTGTTCCCACCCAAGCCACTCTGTCTTCAGAGGACACAAACCACACAGTGTCCCCGCGGTCCTCATGCTCCTGGCCTGTCCGCCCGCTGCCCCGACCTGCCAAGGCGGCCCCGCAGACAGAAGGCCAGACCCACCTCCTGCCAGAGCCCCTCAAGCCCTAAGGCTTTCCACTGTACTCTCAACCTCTTAAGGAAGCCTTGCTGGACCCCTCATGCCTGCTCAGAACCTCCCCACCCCTCAGTCCTTCCCACTCGCTACCGCAGCGGCTGGCCTACTCTGTTGAAGGGTAAAGATTCAACCCAGGCTCATCCTTGGCTGAACTCCTGCTGCACCTCTGCAAAGAAATGACTACTTATTTTCAGGGAAATTAACAAAACTTAGGGAAGAAAACTTCACAATAGCCTCACTCTCGCCATTTTGTTCTTGCTTTGCCGTATTCATTTTATTCTTGTCTTGCCAGTTGAACCTACATCACATCCTCTTTTGACAGATACCCACACTGTCAGGCATATACTAGTACCTCATTTAGTACCAACAGCCATCTTGGAAAACTGGAGCTGAGTGAGTGGAGGCTGCCTGCAGGGCAGAGACTTCCCACACTCACTGCAACCAGCGCAGCACATCTGACATCAGCTCTATCTGGCAACAAAGATCCTTCTCTTTCCAAGTGCAAATTTGAAAAACAAAACCGAAATCCATCCCGTCTGCTTTCCCTAAAAGAAGCTGTAGTTCCTAGATAGGTTTTTATGGCCAAGGTTATCACCTCTAATACATTTGGTCTAAGTTTTTAACAGGTTAAACTCTGACTTCTGCATGTAAGTGAAAAGTGCATTCAGTTATATGTAAAACATGTACATGGTAAAACTTAACCCAAAGTTCTAGTGATAAATACAAAATTAAATGAGAATGAGGACTTGAAAACAAAGAAGGCCGGGAGAGACCTGGGAAGATCGTGATAGCAGCTCCCACAGAGAGTGCCAGGACCAAGGCTGACGGAAGGCATCTCCTTTTCCTCTTCTCTGCCTTGAGAAAGGCTCTTCCTGTCTCTTCTAAGAAAGCAGGAGGAGCAGACTCCCACTGCGCCCATAAAGAGTACTGGCTGACCCGGAACCAGACCTCAGTTCCCGAGCCGGGAGCTGAAGCCCATCTGAGCATCCACCCGGAGGAAACGTGAACTGTGGCTCTCATCTCCTAAGGGTGCATTCTGACTTCCCCAGCAACTTGTGTGGGGGGCACCCAATAAATAACCCCCCAATCTAACATGTTCACCATCAGAAAACTGAAACTATGCTTTGGGGTTTGTTTTTTGAGACAAAGTCTCGCTCCATCGCCCAGGCTGGAGTGCAGTGGTGAGATCTCAGCTCACTGCAACCACCTCCTTCTGGGTTTAAGGGATTCTGCTGCCTCAGCCTCCCAAACAGCTAGGATTACAGGCACGTGCCACCACGCCTGGCTAATTTTTGTATTTTTAGTAGAAATGGGGTTTCACCATGTTGGCCAGGCTGGTCTTGAACTCCCGACCTCAGGTGATCTGCCTGCCTCAGCTTCCCAAAGTGCTGGGATTACAGGTGTGAGCCGCTGCACCTAGCCTCTTCTGTAGATTTTTCTCTATATTTAAGCTTTTGTGCTTCATATACTGGTAAGACTTGCTCTTCAGTTGTGGAGAAAAAAGCTTGTTTCCAGTCACTCAAAACATTTATGTGCTGGGGAAAACGGAAAATCAACTCAGGTGATTCTAAATGTTACCTACTTCTTTCTCCTATCACCAGCCACAGGAGGGACCTTGCCTCCAAGAGTTCCTTTGTAGCAGAACAAACACGGTCCTATACATTCAGTGGGACTAAGAAAGAGCTGACTTTTATCAGCATCTGACTGATAGGATCCTATCAGACCTCTAACTTTGCCCTGCCATACTATAAACTACCAGACGGTCACTGAACATGGGCTCAAACTGCTTTGTAACTAAGTTTTCACTTTTAACACGTCTTCAAGGTCTTTCCTTGTTATGATCAAGTTCATGGTATCGTTAATGCTAAGAAACAAAATGTTACACACTTTAACAGCTTTGAAATCAGAATGCACCTAATTATTGCGGCTGTTTCATAGTTTAATTGGCAGCATCCTTCTTTCGAATACTGGTACATCTTAATGGTCACTGTCAATGGTCAGAGTCAATGCAACATGGCAAATCTGTGGCATCTTCTGTATAACCGCACAGCCCTCCAACCTGTGGAGTACTAGACCTGAGGCCTAAGAAGTCCTGTATTCAGTATCTTTCACTTTCTCCATCTTACAATCCTATGCTGCCCGTTCACAAAAAGGTTAAGTCCAGGAAATAATGCCAAGAAAATGTCTGACATTCCGTTTGCATTTGAGGTCACTAGCCGTTACCAGCTCTCGGCTCCTTTGAAGTGTTTAAATGGGTCGGGCGCGGTGGCTCACGCCTGTAATCCCAGCACTTTGGGAGGCCGAGGTGAGTGGATCACGAGGTCAGGAGATCGAGACCATCCTGGCTAACATGGTGAAACTCCATCTCTACTAAAAATACAAAAAATTAGCCAGGCGTGGTAGCAGGCGCCCGTAGTCCCAGCTACTCAGGAGGCTGAGGCAGGAGAATGGCCTGAACCTGGGAGGTGGAGCTTGTAGTGAGCCGAGATCACGTCACTGCACTCCAGCCTGGGTAACAGAGCGAGACTGTCTCAAAAAAAAAAAATAAATAAATAATAAAAAATAACAATAATAATAATAACAACAACAACAATAATAATAATAACAATAATAATAAAGTGCTTAACTGGTAAATTATGCTGTAAGTAAAACAAAGCAGGTTAAATAAACCAAAAAAAGAGATCTTCCACACTCATGTTTTGTTATTTCCAGAATGACCATCTTTCCAGGAACTTCCAAAGAAATCATAATATGCTTCATACCGGCTTTCGGTGGAGACTGCCTTGCTTGGGCCAAGGCCAGGGCGGCACAGAGGGGCCAATGCCTGTAGTTACCAGAGACAGAGAGAAGGTGGGACTCCCAATTGCACCCAGCAAGCTCTCTAACTCTCACTGCTCTAGAGATCAAACCACTCAAAGGAAAAGGCCAAAAAACAAACCAAACGACAGAAATTTCCAGATGTCATTTCAACTGGGCTCCCCAACCAGGGCAGAGTGTGCGTTTCCTGCCTTTTTAAAAACACAGAAAGTGAAAAGCCATCACATAAACCCAACTTCCCTGCAGGATTTAGTCTGGGAAAAAAATAAAAAAAGAATTAGCTTCTTAGAGATGAGAAAAAAATGCAGTGAGAGGAAACATTTTTTATGGGGTTTCCACTTTTTTGGAAACCAAGTCACCGATTTCTAGAAGCACTTCTTGAATCAAACCTTAGAAAACAAAGGGAAAAAAAGCAGGCTTGGGGCATGCATGTATACTCACCTGCGCCTCCGGGGGGCCCCCTTCATCTCTGATCAGCAGCAGATAGCTCTGTCCATCAACGACAATCTCTTTCTTGAACCTGCCACCTGCCACACACACAAAACATCTCGTTACACGAGAACAACAGAGAGTGAGGAGGGCAGACAGACGTGGGCTTCGCTTGTGGAAAAATACACCCTAGGCTGTCGCCCTGGAGGCAACTGAGTATTTAGGATGTTGCCAGCAAATGCTGAATTTTAACAGAGCCGAACTCAGATTTAAATGTTTGTCTTTAAGAACCCCTGTGCGTTTCCAGTTGGAAGGCACAGCTTCCTTCGCAATGCCAGACACTCGTGGCCAATTAGTGTGGACTTCTCATGTGGGCTTTCTATGTAAATTCAGGAATTCTCACTCACTGGGAAACAGAGAACATTAAAATTGTCATTCTCTTGTTGGGTTCACAAAACTGAAACAAATTTTTCATGCTTAACAGGTGCCTGATCTGCAACCTCTTGGTAAATTACAGGGCCGAGAACCTGTATTCTCCTCAAGAGAAACCCAGTTCTTGAAAGGGAGACATAGAACATCATGAGAATGGTGTTTCCAGAGTCACAGGCCACAATTAGGGAGGGACGCTTCACTACTACACATGGGTTAGACAGAAACTACTGGATGGGACCTCCGCACGGGTGGAGACAGCAGAGCA
The DNA here is from genome assembly GCF_000001405.40 of Homo sapiens. Lineage (NCBI taxonomy): Eukaryota > Metazoa > Chordata > Mammalia > Primates > Hominidae > Homo > Homo sapiens. The sequence goes on along the minus strand of NC_000002.12, from coordinate 235,740,363 downwards.
GCGGCTGACAGGAGGCGTTAGAGACCACGCGGGGTTAGCGGGAGACCACCGGGACCCTGCAGGAACAGAGGTGACCATGAGGAGGGGGTGCGGGCATGAGGGGCCTGGTGCTACCTTGGACGTCCCGGCCCCTGATGCTCTCAGGAGGGGATGGTACAAGGTTGCTGCAGTGCCCAGCCCGGCCCGCTAGGCCAGCCCTGCTCCTGCTGGGCAGCGGGAAGGATTCCACCCTGGCTCCTCTGCCTTCTCCAATGACAGACGTCCCCCTCCAGATCCTGGGCTCTGAGACCACGCTAGGGAACCCTCATGGGGATTCGAAACTCTTGTTTTAAAGAGGGAAGGCACGCATCGGTTCCCAGCTCTTGTCTTCCGCTCCTCTGTGCAGATGCCGTCCAGAAACCCTGTCTAAACCCCAAATCGCTGGACCCAGAGGACAATGCTGCCAGAGCCCAGAGGCTGCCTGCCAGCTCCACTGCCGCCCAGAGCGACGTCTGATTCCCTCCCCTGCGACGGGAACCTTCCCTCCTAGAATCCTGGGTCTGAACCACATCAGTGCCTGAGAAGCAAAAAATCAGAGTCCCCATCCCAGCCTGAAAGTGTCCGAGGCCCTCCAGACGGGCAGCTACCCTCTGAGGCCACAGAGGGCTGACTGGGGCAGTGGGGCGTTGGCCCGTTCCCGCGAGCTCCTGCCATGCTCGTGTGCTCACACTCAACACCTATGCCACCATCACAGGCAGCCGCATTTGCTAAAGCAAATAAATCTGCTGTTCAGTTCATTCAATAACACAACAATGAAGAAAACCTTTTGATGTTAAAGCAGATAAACTCTCATTTTGCTGTCCCCCCAGTCACTGAAACAAGACGGTAGGGCCCACTGGAAATGGTCAGGCTGAGGCCCGTTAGCAGGGGACACATCCAGGCCAGTCAGGCCGCTGGGTCCAGACAGGGTGAGCCCCAGCTGCACGAGGGTCCCAAAGACTCAGGGTCCCTGAATCGAGAGTCCTCGTAGGCAAAAAAGAAATGCTTTTCTAGCAGAGCTGTTGTCATCATGAAACAAGCTGGGAAACATCTGACACAGGTGGACGTCCCCACGTATGTGACGGTGCTGCAGACGGTCGCCCCCAGACCCCGATACTGGCCTAGCTCTGCCTGAACCCTGGCTCTGCCACATACAGCTGTGTAGTCTTGCCCCACCTCGCCCCATCTCAGTGTCCCCAGATGCAAAGGGGATGATGTCCTAGCAGGCGAGGAGTAATAAGTTGACACAAAGCACCCTGAACAGTACCCGACCCAGTCTTATTTGAAATTTCTGCCAAGGTTCTTTTAACCTGCTTTAATAAAAGTCGTATTTAACATTGAATAAGCCTGCTTACGACAGAAAAGTCTGCAACAGTGATAGTAGTATTATTTCCCTTTAAAAAAACTTTTTAAAAAGAGATGCTGGAAACCTGCTGTATCTTGGTGATGTGAATTGAATTTGACTGTTTTAAGAAAAATAACATTTAAGGCTGGGCGCGGTGGCTCACACCTGTAATCCCAACACTTTGGGAGGCCGAGGCAGGTGGATCACCTGAGGTCAGGAGTTCAAGACCAGCATGACCAACACGGTGAAACCCTGTCTCTACTAAAAATACAAAAATTAGCCAGGTGTGGTGGTGGGGGCCTGTAATCCCAGCTACTCGGGAGGCTGAGACAGGAGAATTGCTTGAACCTGGGAGGTGGAGGTTGCAGGGAGCCGAGATTGCGCCACTGCACTCCAGCCTGGGTGACAGAGCAAGACTGTGTCTCAAAAAAAAAAAAGAAAGAAAGAAAGAAAGAAAAATAACATTTGAAAAGGAAATCTGTTCCTCTTTCTTTGGAGAAGAATCTTCTCCTTCATACCCTGTTCTGTGTGTGGCCCCAGGCACCAGCCCACCAGGTTCAAATCCCTGCCGAGCCCTCCCTGGCTGAGTGACCTCCAGCACGTAACTCAACTGCTCGATGCCTCAGTTTCCTCACCTGTGAAATGAGGGTAAACAGAGCCTTCCTTAATGAGTTAATGCATGAAAAGCTCTTAGAACCCTGCTTGGGACAGAGGAGCTCAGCAAACAGGGATCCTCACCATCCCTGCCCCATTTATCTCACCCCCAAGTGTTTTTAATCTCCCTCTGCTCTCCCTTCCCTACCCCTCACATTCATTGAAATCACCCACACTTCTTTGCTAGGTTTCTGCACAAGTTTCCTGCCTGCCCGTGCCCACTCCCGGCCTCAGTCCCTCCTTCCCCTAACATATATCACAGCCAGAGGGACCTCGCCGCCACACCGTCCCGACCCTGTGTCCTGAGCCCCACATGTGCTCCTCTGTGCCCTCCGGACGCTGAGTGCCCTACAGGGCCCCAGCTCCAGCCCTGCCCTCTGATGGTTGCCCCAGATACAAGGGTATGTGGAAGCCCTCCCTGCTTGATGAACCCTAAGGTTCAACTTTGATGAGGCTTCGTCTTGTCCAAGCACGCTGGCCCCAGGTCCCATTCCTCACTAGATCCCTAGACTGTGTCACCTCCAGAGCAAGAAGGGAGGAGTGGAGCCTGTCCCAGGGGCCCTGCAACGCCAGTGTCCCTCGCTGCCTACCTCTCCAGGAGTGGGAACTTGGGGAGCGTCACCACCCAGCTCTCGTGGAATGACCGTGACGCCCTGGCAGATGACCCTCCCTGTTGCATGTCAGGTGAGCATGCATAGGACGGATTTCACGTCCATCCTCTCCTTTGCTTCCTCTAACATGTTTTTGCAGAGTCACGTTCACAAGTGAAGCTTCCAGGTGGCTGAATCACAATATTCAAGTTACGAAAGGTTCCCTAGGAGGGCACTGAGCCTTCTCATTTCTGCTCTCCTGAAGTCTCTGGCTTTGTGATCTCAAGCAAAGGACTCCAGGCCCAACTTTCATTGCCTCTAAAAGGAGCAGTGATTCCTTCTCTCATCAGCAAGGTCTCTTCGAATCCTAAAGTCAGTTTACATTCCCCCGGCAGATACAGAGTATAATTAACAGTTCTTTTCAGCATCTTACAATTTCAAACACCAGATACTGGTAATTGATTTGCATGATTTTTTTTCGTATTACACTTAAATCAGAAAGCAAAAATTAAATACTGCTAAGTATTTGCCACGAACTCAAAGGTGAATAATAAGATAAAATTCAGCCAGGTGCTCCAGCAGCCAGGTTGTATGAAAGCAAGAATGTCTTTACTGGGGAGATTTTCAAAAGGTCCCGCAGGGCACTACTGATGGGAGCAGGTTCAGCTCAATAGGACCACTGGGCCTTGAGAAGTCTGGGCTGGCAGGTAGGTAACACTTTAAAATTCATTTTCTACACTTGAACCACTTTAACCACAGAAGGAGAGCCTTAGGATGACAGCATCGTTGGCAACAAGCTGGTACTCTGCAGGCACCACCACTTGCACCATTTTAAATTCAACCTACCATTTCATCAGATCTCATCCCAGTCATTAGATTTTTCATTGTTGTTGTGTTGTGTTTTGTTTTGTTTTTTGAGACACAGTCTCACTCTGTTGCCTAGGCTGGAGTGCGGTGGCACGGACATGACTCACTGCAGCCTCGACTGCCTAGGCTCAAAAGATCCTCCCACCTCAGCCTCCCTGAGTAGCTGGGACCACGGACATGTGCCGCCACACCTGGATAGATGAGATGGGGCCTCATTGTGTTGCCCAGGCTGGTCTCGAACTCCTGGGCTCAAGCGGTCTACCTGCCTCAGCCTCCCAAAGGGAGATCTTTTTTCCACCAGAATTTTAGAGGATACCATCAAATTTTACATCCAGTTTCAAGCTGAATGTAGCTTCTGAAATGCCTGTTTTGTCCCCATTTCCATGTATTTTCCTGCAGGTCTGGTTCGCCCACCGGTATCCTCCCAGCACCTGGTGCACAGCTTGGCCCATGGCCCATGTAATGGATCTGCCATGAGTGATGTGCAACCTTCTCTGCTGCCAATTATGATGACGTACGATTAAATGACATCAGCATAACTTCATTTTCAAAAATGGTTTTCAGTCTCCCCAAACCTGATGTCCCTGTCAGACATGCATCTGGCCCAGGCACACCTGTGAACAGGTGCTAGGCGAGCTCCGTGGGAAGGGACCAGCGCCCACCCTGGAACCACAGCACCTCCCAACGGCGGGCACCCCCAGGGTGAGGAACCAGACAGATCGGTCGCAGCTGCCTGACCCTAAGGTGGAACCAGGTCGCTGGGCAGCTGTGACCGCATCTCAGTGAGAGGGGAAAACAGAGTCCCAGTCTCACTGAAATCTGTGCTTCCCCAGGACACAAGGATATCACAGGAGGTAAACAGCATCACCTGGAATCCTCAGCTTAGAGCAGAGGGAGGTGAGAACGGAACCCGCATCCCTTCTGGGCTTGGCTTTCTGCACTGAGTTTGAAGCAGAATGGAGTGCTCTCACCTCGCCCGAGCTACTTGGGGATACAGCGGTCCCATCTTCTTGTCTGAACTCAACTTCAAGTGCAATGTGCAATGTATTAGGTTTCTGGTTCACCCCAAGGCAAGTGTTCAGGGTTCCCAGAACATGTGGAAACTGCGCTGGGTGCCTTAGTTTGCCCTTGAGCTTGTATTCATAAGCGAGTCGAGGTCTTAATTTCTCCCTAAATCCCACACTGCAGAGAGAAAAGTATATGGAAGGTGGAACTGAGTTATTTCCACCAAGATGCTGAAGTGGGTGCGTTCACCGTGAATGAACAGCGCACCAGGAAGAAAAGGATACAGCTACACTCTTTCGTTTTTTAAATACCTTTTTCTAAGTCCTCATAGCCTTTCACGATTACTATTCTGAATGCTGTCTCACAATGTGAGAGCCAGTTTTAAATTTGGGGTGCTGGGGGAAGTAAAACAACTGGGTTCCTTCAAGTTTCTGCACTCACGCGAGGTTGAGCTACAGCGGAGCCTCTTGAACACAAGTGCAGTCTACACAGAGACAAGTCGGAGAGGGAGATCATCTATGCTGTCATTTCTGCTTTAAGAAAAAGAAAATAAAGAGAAAACTGAATTTTCCCATTCCAAAAAAAGGGCCCTTTTGGGAGTCAACATTGCAACAGATGTTTGGCATTTCTGTCATTTTGGCTAATTGAACTGAAAGCTATCAACGTATCATTAACAGTCCTCCAAGCGACAGCTATGGCAACGACAGTGTGCCTTCCAACGCCATCGTCTACAAAGCACTTGTTTTCCCACATCATCTCTGTTAGCCCGCACCCCATCTTATGACGCAAACATCATTGGCAACACCCAAATCCACTCAGGAGGAAAAGGAGTTCAGACACAGAGCAAGAGCTCCACGGCCAGTGCGCGGCAGGATACAAAGCACTTGTTTTCCCACATCATCTCCGTTAGCCCTCACCCCATCTTATGACGCAAACATCACTGGCAACACCCAAATCCACTCAGGAGGAAAAGGAGTTCAGACACAGAGCAAGAGCTCCACGGCCAGCACGCGGCAGGACCAAGACTCCAATCCAGACGTTCTGACTGCTTCTTACGCCTCCTCTCTTCCATGTGAACTTCTGCTAAGACAAGCCCTACAGAAACAAAGCCGGCAGCCTCCGTGTTTGCTGCGTTTTGCAGCATCCACAGGGCCAACATCAAACAGGCAGAGAGGCGGGACTATCTTATCCTTACTCCACTCACACTTGGGAAGGGTGGCCTCTGTCTTTAGCTCCAATAATCATCACTGTGCTTAGGAAACTAAAAAGACAGACACCTGTCTGTAACTTTCATTTTTTACTGTTGATTTTTATCTTTTTAAAGGGTTTTTAATTTTTACTATTCTTTTTTTTTTTTTCATGCCTGAGCTAAGGATGAAAATGACTCTTGACTTCAAAGCTCCATGTGTAGAGCCCACTGTTTCCCTTTGCCATCAGAGAGGGGAGGGACCTCATGGCAGTGTCTGATCAAGATGCAGTGGGGCCACCCCGGTTCTTTCAGCAGATGCAAGCTGGCCACACCTCGTCAACCGCCCAGCGCTGTGGGGTTCAGACTGGAAGGGAGAAAGACAGGAGGAGCATGGCTGGCAGGTCCTGGGTCCCTTTCGGCCACACGTTTGGGATTCTCTTCCAGGAAAAACATTTTCAAAATTCATCTACAATATTCCTTGTTACTGAGTGCCATGATGACATCGGGAGAAAATCTGCAAACTGTATTATTCCCTAATTATTTTTAACAAGTGGGATGAGATGGATACCTTGAAAAGGACAATCAGCCCTCGTTTTTCCCTAGGAGAATATTTAAAATTTCAATCATGAATGCGCCAGAAATTTGTAAAAAATAAGTTTGGCTCATTTAACTTTGATAAAAATACTGAAGTCAGTCACTAATGTTGGGGTTTTGGAAAAGTTTTGTATTGTGACATTTAAAAGGAATTTTGGACCACATATTATTTATACACTGGGAAAAAGGTTTTATTGGTAACATCTTTGTTTACAAAATTTAGCCAAATCAGATTTCACTTCCTCTCCCAACTTTTTTTTTTAATTTACATTGTAAAATACAAAGTAACTACTACACAAAGGTACCAGCAGTGAGTGAGGACCCTGCATGTGGCGACTGCTGACTATTTCCATGGGTGAAACACTCCGGGGTTCTGACCCGCAGTGAAGTGAGCACTTAACACGATTTCCTTGGGCAGGCCACGGTCTCTCATGGTTTCATTTAACCGAGATCTAAGTAAGGTACAAAAGGAACACAGAACAAGAAAAAAGCCAAACTCCAGGTTAAGATGGCAGATTAGAACTTCACTATAACTGAATTTCCTTTCCTCCTTTCCTAATAAAACAAGGGGGAAACATTAAAGCCAGAAGGAAGGAACTTCACCATCCAACAGGAAAAGGGGCACGGCTTTACATAATAAACCTCAAAAAACGCAGGCTCTAAGGAACAAAAAGGAAGATTTGAGCTGGGCGGAGGCTCCTCATCTCTCCTACAACCTGAGCCAACAACACCCCATCACTTCACCCCAAAGTGCGCAGGGAAGAAACAGAAGGGGCAGCCGTGGCCTCATCTTTTTCGTCTCCTGACTGAGGAATGGAAATAAGAAAGCCTTGGAAGTGAATGGCCGGCAAAGGCTCTCCGGAGGCAAAGAAGATGCCCGTGTTGCCTGGTGAGCGGGAGAAGTGACCCACGCAGGGGGGCACCTCAAGGGGAACAATGATATATTCCTCCCACCCCGCAGGATGGGTGAAGGGAACCTGGAAGAGGATGTGGTAAATTCCCAGGAAGAGCAGAGCCCTGGTCCCTAAAGAAGGGCAGACTCTTTCAACGGGAGGCAGCTCCCTCCAACTAGACGGATGGCAGAGCATGGATGCTCAGTAAATCCTGGGATCTCCAGAACAGCATCCAGTCTCAGCTCCCACAGCGTGGGCAGTGAGACTCGAAAGATGCCCCCAACACCCCTGGGGCTGGCTGGGGGAGGTGGCTGAGGTCTGGCAAATGGGAGTGTGGGTAGAATGGTCTGGCCCATCTCGTCCAGGACACTCAGGATGAGAGCATCTCCTCTCCCTCACCTTCTCCCACCACAGGAAGCAGGGCGGTCACGGGCTCCCAACAGCCTAGATTTGACTCAGAATGAGGGAGAAGTCTTCCCAGTGGTCAGCATCGGTCTCAGGGAAAGACAATGTCTGGGAAGAGAGGTCCAAGCCAAGAAGGCTGAAGAGCAGGGCTGGGGACATTATGCAAAGGCTCCCCAGCAGGGAAAATGGGAAGGCGGGAGAGGCTTGGGGAGAGGAAGGAGGGAAGGGAACAGAAGAGAAACAAAGCAACAATGGAGAAGAAAACAAAGCTCAAAAAGCAGAAGGAAGTCCCTTACAACCGCTTCCCACTCCAGTGTGACTTAAGAAAGAACAGCCATTCCAGGAGACGAGAACCTCCAGTATGAGAATTTGAAACAATATGAGATAAAATGGAAACGTCCAGATCTGAGGATCAAAACGGCATTTGGGGAACTGATGAATAAAATTAGAAAAAGTAAGGAGCAGAAGAGACAAGGCTGAAAGCTGAGTTTCTGACACAGAGGAATGGCTTGAAACAGACACAGTCAATGAGATTAAAAAGACAGAGGTAAAGTATTTAAGAGAGAAGTTCATTGACAAACGGACCTAAACAAAAGGATAAATGGTATCTCTGACAACACATCCACAACAAAAGAACTCAAAGACTATTCGAAGATAAAAGACAAAGGAATGTTCCTGAGACGCAGAAAGATCTGAATCCGCAGATCAAAAGTGCACGCGATACACCAGGAAAATGTGACACAGATTCACAACTTTCAAGATGAGAAAACCAAGGTCTGCAGAAAAACAGCACACAGGTTTTTGTGCTGGAGAAAAACAGCACAAAAGATGAGGCCACGGCTGCCCCTTCCATTTCTTCCCTGCGCACTTTGGGGTGAAGTGATGGGGTGTTGTTGGCTCAGGTTGTAGGAGAGATAAGGAGCCTCCACCCAGCTCAAATCTTCCTTTTTGTTCCTTAGAGCCTGCGTTTTTTGACGTTTATTATGTAAACCTCACACATAGGCTGTGTGACCCTGAATAGCTTTTGTGGCCTCTGGTGCCTCTGTTTCCCTAGGTATAAATGAGCTAATCCATGTCGGCTGTCAGCTTCCTGAAACGTCACAAGTGGCTCATAAAAATTAACGAATGACTGCTACATTACGATGATGACTATACCATTTCCAAATGGAAACTCACACATGGAGAGCTCTGAAACGCTAATTCAATGAACAGAAGAAGCAAAACTGCAACAACCAGAACATGAGAGATGCCTGTCTTCTGTTCAATTCCCACAGGAAAGCCAGGCCTCTTCCTAATACGCAGCCATAATTCCATGCTTTCTGGAAGATCCAGGATACGTCTTTTCCCTTACATCAAAATAGCCTATAAAATAGCACGTCTTGGACAAGTGCTTCTCAAATGGCTCTAGGAAAAAGATTCTATAAATCTCTAGTAAAGGAGTCCATGTTTATCCAAGTGTGTGGCATGTTCCTAAAGTCAGACCAGAGCTTCCAGGTAAGCAAGTGATAAAATAACAAAGGGGAACGCATCTGCTGTATACTCAGCCAATGATACAATCTGGTTCCCATTAGTGTGAGCTCCTTTTTCGCAACTACACCACAAGGGCCTGTGCCTGTTTCTCCACTACCACCCTACACAGGTCAAGAACATCTTGGTCATCTCAACCACCACCAAACAAACAGCCATCCCCATTACATGTCAGACACAGCCTTGATGCCAGGAATAGGGTGAACAAGACAAGGTCTCTGTCCTGATAGAGGTTTTTGTCCAGAATAGCAGCAGAAGGAAACTGACTCATGTAAGACAAGGAGAGCCGGGCTAGGGGCTGGGGGTTGGGGGTAAGCTGCAGGCAGGCTCAGCATGCACCTCTCGGAGAAAACGGTTGGGGGCTGCTTTTCAATCACCACTCTGAAGAAAAAAATAGTCACATAATGATTGGCCCCACCCAATACAACCTAATACATAACCAAATAAGTAAACTATTGATTGAAAATCTTCCGATACCCACCAAAACAGTGGTGCTTGAATATTTCAGCATCTCCCACTGTCTCTCAAATAGCCTGCATGGTCAACTAAACATATTTAGTAATACACGTTTGGTTCTTGGGAGGAAAATGATTTTTAATATTTTATACATTTATTTTAAGCATAAAAAAGGTAAATGGCATGGTAGCTCACACCTGTAATACCAGCACTTTGGGAGGCCAAGTCAAGAAGATCGCTTGAACCCAGGAGTTCAAGGTATAGTGGGCTATGATGGCACCACTGCACTCCAGCCCAGGTGACAGAGTGAGACCTTGTCTCGTTTTTTTTTTTTTTTTTTTTTAAAAGGTAAACAAAAGAGCATTGCAAAACTGGAGAAAGTGCCTAACTCCTCATCTGGGGTATTTAAATAATGCTTTCTCACCAAGTAACAGCACCATGACCTGAGACGGATGCACAATGGCACAAGTGTTAGAATCCAGAGAGGGCAGGAAGCAAGTGGGACAGCAGAGTGCCAAGCAGGGGACCCTTGGCAGTTACTCGGCTGCCGACACGGGCACACAGGCTCCTTGTCCCTCAGACCCTATTTCTCTACACTAGTGCTTCCTATGTGAACATAACTTTAGATTAAATAATAATCGGCTTTACATGAACTCTCTTTTTCAATATGCAATTCAGGAAGTGAGTATGTAAAAGTACGGGCTTATGAGCTGTTTGTCCACATATAATTCTCTGAATGTAAATAAGGTACTTGTTTCAAGAAACTAAGAAAGGATGGTTGCTATTCGATGAGCCTGCATGGAGAAACTAAGAAATCCTACGTGATTTGACTGTTCTATGCCTTTTTTCCATACTGTAGGGTAGGGGGCTGGCGAACTGCCTGTGTAAAAGGCCAGAAAGTAAACATTTTAGGCCTTGCATGTTGTATCCTTCTTTGTTTTTATGTTTACAACCCTTTAAAGAAACTAAAAACCTCTGTTCTCAGGCAGTAGCAACACGGAAGAGGTGACAAGTCGCTGCTGTAGTCTCATCTTTGGTATTTCTTTTGTTGACAGATGCACTTTACTCTTCTAACTGCCAGACTCCTTTTTCTCTGGGGACTCTGGAAAACGCATTTGTAATTCTTACAATCCTGTGGTGACACTGTAATGGCTTTAATGGAAGGAGGCCAGCAGGTTGTCTCCAGGCCTCTGTCCCCATCCTAGCTTGGATTTTGGTCCCCAAGAATAACCAAGTGGACCAACGCCCTGAGCTGGAAAGCACCAAGACCCGGTCCAGCCTCTCATCCACAGGTGGCAGAGGTGAGACCGCCGTGAGACTGCCCCTACAGCATCCTCCTGGGGGAGGGGGTCACTGGCTCTCAGGCTGAGCTGACCCTGCAAGGCCCAGTGGTTCTTCCAGGAACCTCCTGCCTCTGGAACATCTTGGAACGAGCTGCATCTGCCACTGAGGTACTGCCAGGCTCCCTGGGGCTCCCAGCCGAGATGCTGCCCAAGTTGAAGTGGCTGCCAGGTCACATGGTTCTAGACGGCCCAAACACACCTGGGAATCAGTTTTTCTTAGGCCCAATAAGCGGATGCGGCTCCTCAAGGGGCACACGCCCTAGTTAGTGCAGGGGGCTTCATGGTGATGGGTTCCAGCAGCTCATCCCATTAGTCAATGTCAAGGTCCAGAGGTGGCCTGGGGATTCCCCTATCTGTCCTCTTAGGTCCCCCTCCAAAGCCAGTGCTCCTGCTAATAGCCTGGCTGGAGCCCTGGAGCCCAGCCACTCTGACTCTTATCATGCCTCTGCCTGGCCAACCCCACTTCTCCTCTCTCCGTCCCTGGGACATGGAAGACCCACACAGCAGCTGGCCTGGTCCCCTGCCAGATGGTGTGGTCACATCACGCCTGGGTTTTGACCATTCCTCCACAACCCCTGCTCTCGTCCAGGCTCCAAACCTCCCTTCTTCATCCAACCTAAACCTACTCCCTTCTTCTTAGTGTCTAGAGGGCAATGCTGCAGGCTGGCTTCCCCTCCTCCCCGCCCCGCTCTTGCTCCACTAGGCACGCTTTCATTTCAATGTATTTGGCCTTCAAAGAGCAAGTGTTGATTTTTTCCTTCTTGCTTATGGTGGTGTTAATTTTTAAAAAAATATACAACATTAAGAAATGGGGCTCAGAAAATAAATGCTGGCGACATGGGCTGCCCTCATACAACAAGAACAGACCACCACCAGCTTTCGGACCCAGGGCAGGCACCAGCAGCTCTCACACTAGCACTCCTCCTGCACACAGACCCTGCCTCAGAATCCTCCTGAACACTGTGCGTTCCAGAAGCCAACAAGCATGGATAAAGGACTACACTGTGAGTTGAATCAGGTTTCCATTTCTGGTCTGGGTCAATCATTCATGAATTTGTTAGTTTAAGCCATTGGAATCATATGAAACTGTCATCTTTTGCAGATTATTGGCAGCTGTATATAGCCTAATTTACATTGATTTAAGAGCACGCACACACACACACACACACACACACAGAGTCTGGGCCCAGTCCTTTTCAGATCTCACAGCCAGCCAGTAGCACATGAAATGGAGCGGGGAGCTTGGGGGCACTTTCACTACATCTCAGATTCTCCTGATGTAATTCTTTCTGGCACTCGACCTAATTTGCCGTTGGGAGTTTCTTTCAACTTCTACTTCCCTTGTCTCCATCGTCCTGGCCCTTGGAATTTGCCATGGGCAGAGAAGTGGCACTTAGTGTCCAGGCCCCCACTGGGCAGACACGGTCTTACAAGGACGCAGCATTTTCTTTGGGGAGTTGCGAGAGGCAATCCCAGCTCTAATCGGTGCTGAGTGGAACGTGTGCTCTGCACATTCAATTTCATTCCCGGCCTTCTCTGAAGTGTCAATCTCTCCATTCTGACCCACAGCCAGGCCCCCAAACTAGACATGCTGCACCCCCACCCTGTCTTTTCTCTGCACTTCGTCTTTTTCAGTATGCTACCTTCCAGAGGAAACCATTGAACCCTGATTGCTGGACTGCTACGCCTAAGAAAGGCTATATTATGATCAATATGGGTACCTCCTGAGAGACTGATCGCTCCCCTTTCCTGACACCGATAAAACAGGTTGGGGGAGAAGCGGAGAGGAGGAGTGGTGGTGAGCTAATGCGGTTGATGATGTTGGAGGAAGGATGTAAAAACATTATTTTGTGAGCTGACATTTTTAAGATCCAAACAATGTATAACATTCCAAAGACTAAGCTTTCAGCATTGGAGATTAAGAAGCAAAAACTTGCCTGAAAATGTCAGAGGTCCACAGCCCAAGTGAGACTGTAAAAGTCACAAGGAGACACTTACCAGAGGTAGCTTTGGGGTGAATTCAAACATACCCCAGGTGCTTCTCCTTTAGCACCCAAGTTCAAACCGTGCAAGCTGGGTGTAACGTGATCTGTGAATTAGGAAAGAGAACTGCATTGCACAACACCCCCTCCCCCCAGCCCCACCCTGGCTAAAATGTTTAAAACGGACAAACCCTGAAGACACAGGGTTGGGACTTGCCTCCCGGCCTTTTCTGGAGTCCACCTTCTGCCCAGCCCTAGTCTATCATACTCCTGCTCAAGCCACTCAGCTCAATTAGGCTGACCTCATCTCCCCACCCGAAGGGACAGAACAATCAAAACATCCCCTCCAACCTGTGATACTGATTGTTTTAGGGAAAAGCACCTGACTCAAATGAGGCCACATGGAACTGACTTAGAGTCTTTTGCTGTAGCTATTGACAAAAATCCTCACCTTTCCCTCCTCACCACATCTGAGCACTAAGGACCGAAACCACCATGAAGGGCTTGCTACCAAGTGGGGAGACCTTGCTGGGCATGATGCCCACCCAACACAGGCAAGAAATGGGGGAGAGGGCTCCTCAAGAACTTCAGTGCATCAGGAGATTAGGGTCTTTCTAAAACTAAATCCATCCCCTTGGCAGCTCCAGAGATGCAAGTTAAGAAGTTAATAATTCACCACTGGCCCACCCCCTCCCTGCCTTTCTATTTTAGCTAACCTAAGTTGGTCAACTATCTCATGCAACCAAAAGAGCATTGACTAACACAGCGAGCATGGCCCCGGGGCTTCCAGACCAGAGCAGGCGGTTCCCTGGCCAGGGGCACAGTGGTCTGCTATAATCTGGTTTCCTGGACCTGGAGCTGGGCTTCCAGAGAGATGGCGTGATCAAGGCCAAAGACATGGGCAGACGGGAGGAGCAGTGAACACAGGTGAAAGTGTGTGATGGTGGTTCCATTGGGATAGATTCAATGGCTCTGTTAATCCGCAATAAACAGGTAAATGCACCCACAGCCTCAGAACACTTTTGGGGTAAAATTTCTCTAGGAAAAATGATTTGTAATTACATACGTGAAACTTTCTAGGCTCTAGTCTCCATTTTCCTCTTAAAGAACGGTTTTGTTAAAATATCTGATGCCGTGAGGTTTCTTAGGAAAGCAACAGTTGTGTCAACAGCATGTGCTGTGCTGTTGTTGGGCTCTGTGAGTGAAGGGACACACATGAGCCTCTGTGCGCTGCCCTCAGGAGACAGTGACTCCCCACAGAAGCCAGCGGGCTTGTCCTCTTTAGGGCGCTCCCAGACCGGGTGTAAGTCCCAGCCCTGCATCACAGTTACTTATTCAGAAAGGTATTTTCTCTGGAACACAGGCTCCAATGCAGGCCCAGTATGGCTTTTGGTAAGCCCTGGATTTCTTGTCAAATTAATTATAACAATATGGGACAATACATTCTGAGTTCCATACAGCCAACTCAAAAACACACTTTGTCCTGCCAATTTCATCAATGCCAAAAACATGACTATCTCCTTATTCTGATTTTACGGCTTTTTTTCTTGCTCAAAATGAAACAGAACATGCTTCCCTTTTATTATTTTTTTGAACATCTAATAATAATGTTAGCATCCTTTACCTATTTTTAGACAATATCACCTGATCCTCACTGATGGCTTCCATGCCAGGGGTCAAGTTAGGGACTGTCACACACATAGGAAGACAAGAACAAAGGGGAATGGTATTTCCATGGTGAGTGATCAGGTTAATTCTGAAAATCATCAGTGAAGATGGCTGAACTGACTTCTGCTTTATCTATTAAACCAACATAGCAGCAGGCTCATCATCTCAACGTTTACAGATAATTCTCATTAAAAAATTATCATGTGTTTATAATCACTTGGTTGCAACTAACGGTCAAATTGAGGTTGAAAAATCTAAATGGCTAGATTTCACGACTAGTCAAATGTTACTGGAGTATTACAGGTGTTTTTTTTTTTTTTCCACTGGAACATTAAACAGCACCCAAGAACAGCTTTAGAAATAAACTCTAACATCTGGGATGCAGTGGTAGCTGACAACCTTTTTTTTTAAGTTATTTGACTTGGAAAGGGTTTTTGGAGCTGACAGCTTAAACACACTTCATGTGTCCCAGAAAATAAGACTGGGTGTTTACCACGTTTTGTTTCTAAGAAACTAAGTAAACATTCGTTAAAACATATTTAAGATACACGTGCTCCTGAGAACACATTTACTACCCCGATGACAGGAAACAATTCTAGGCAGTCCTGAAGGAGGGTGGCAAGGCTAACCCCGGGAACAAAGACTTGCAGGTGGCTGTACAGCCAGCTGGCCCTGGAGGCCAGAAGCCAGTGGCCAGTAGAACTCTCATCCAGCACACCGCGTCAGCAGCTTGGAACAAGCAACAGAAACCAAACACACAGTGGAAAATCCCAGAACCCTTCAGCCTCAGTGCAGCACAGCCTGACCCCCGACATGCTGGAAACGAGACGTCCTTTCTCCAGGAGGTGAAGCGGCTCATTCCTTCCTACAGAACCTCCAAGCCTTTAGCAAACTCTGATGTGAACCAAATAAACCAAACAGACAAGCGAAAGGCTTCTCTTGGAGAGATGTAAGAAATGAGGTGGGTCTGGTGTACTTTCCTGCTTCCCAGGCACAAAGCAAAAGTATGTTTGAGAATTTCCTATGACTTATGCTCAGAAACTCGACTTTCCTGAGTTAGGGAACTGTCGAGCCTAATCTCACCCACTGTTTCTCACTGGTCCTTACCTGGTAGTTATAATTACTCTTAGCACCTGGTATTTTCTCTTAAAGCTTTTCCTCATGAGCACTGGATGTTCAGGTTTCTTCAGTCTCCCTTATCTGTTTTGGACTCTTCTTTACATAGGGAACTCCCCCTCCCCCCACCACCGCAGGTACCTTTTCCATCTGGGAGGGCACTGACTTCCCCTGCCCTACGCTGGCAGGCTCCTGAGTGAAAGAGCTGCCTTGAGCTCCTTGACCATACTCTTCCAGCTACCTCAGCTATCATATTCTATCGGGAAAATGAATGAGGGAGGCTAATCTCCCAGTGACCAGTGTGTTCCGTCTCTGGGACAGAGCATGGGGGCAGCTGCTGCCTATGTGTGGCCCGAGCTGGGAAGATGGGAGAGCCTGGACATGGGGCTGGAGGGTCGCCCTTCTGGGAGGGAGGCAGGGCCGGCACAGCCTTTACCAGCCATCCCCATTACCAGGCTCCCGGCCAGGAGCTCGCTGGCTGTTGGCCTAGGCACATTCAGGGCTGCCTCAGCCTTGGAGCTAGCTTTCTGCCTAAAATTTTGAGTTGGTTAAGAATCAGTCAGAAACTCCAGATTCCATCACTGAAGGAAGGAGCCCCTGCTGAATTAAGCTCATGAAGACCCGGGAATGCCAGGGCCAACGCTCCCACATCATGCCTGGCTAAGGCCCTTCCCTGCAAATCCCTCTGTGTGGCGGCAGCAGGCTACGACACCACTGACCCTCGCAGGCAGCCGCTGGGCCTCAGTGGCAGGCAGGCCCCGGCCCTCCTTTTGCCACTTTCACACCTAGATGTGGGTTTCTTCCAGATCTGGGATAAAGGCGGCTCTCAGATGGCCCACCTTCCTCTCGGTACTTTCATTTTGCAGCTTGGAGTTGGTCTATGAACATTCTTAAGTCTCTGTCGATCGACCAACCAACCAACCAACCAACCAACCAACCAACCAACGATAAAAGCTCCCACTCAATCCATATACAGTTTAGTTTCATCTTGGGAAGCTTGTGGGGCCACCTTTCTGCCCTCCTCAGGTGTGCCACGATCTCAGCGTGGTGCTGGCTTTCAGCTTTTCTGGTCCTCAGGTCCTTCTGGCACACAAGCTAACCTGCACAGCTCGGGAGGGCCCATGGCCCAGGGTGCCTGTGATGCCATGGGTGACACAGAGAGAGTTGTCCTGGGGAACGGGTCTCAGAGCAATGACTCAGTTCTGCAACCTGAAAAGATCTCAGGAGGACGCCACACTCTCCCCACCTGCAGGGGGTGAAGTGTCTTGGGCAGGTCCACATTTCCTATCTAATGTCCACATAATACTGGACATCCTAGCTTTGTTTCCTTTGACTTTTTCTCTTTTGAAAGGAGAGTTAAAAGCTGAGTGGCATCATGTGGGGTCTGTGTTGGGGGACGCTGAATATTAAGCACATAAACACACCACGAGGGAAGTCACATTACACACCCAAAATGTCACACGATTCTAATCAGCAGCCATTAATAGGGCTCAATTGGCAAATAACTAATTTTCATCTCATTCTCTTTATAGGAAGTGAACGGCAGCTGTGAAATTGTCCTCAGAGGTGTGAAGGTCACTGCCAGCCGATGAGTCCTTGTGAGGTTCTAGAACACCAGCAGAGCTTGCAAAAGCATCACTGGCAGAACCATGACCACCACCAAGTGATGGGGCCAACTCCAACAGTTCTAAGTGCAGCGACCGTCTAAACCAAGCTTCTCTAACCTGCCAACCAGGACAGCTTTGGATGCGGCCCAACGCTAATTTGTAAACTTTCTTAACACATGAGTTTTTAGTGTGTGTATAATTTTTTTTTTTTTTAGCTCATTTGCTATTGTTAGTGTTAGTGTATTTTATGTGTGGCCCAAGACAATTCTTCCTCTTCCAATGTAGCCCAGCAAAGCCAAAAGATTGGACATCCCTGGAGAACATCACAGGTATATAACACACACTGCTGTGGGTTGAATTGTATCCCCTAGAAGATACGTTCAAGCCCTAACCCCTGGGACCTATGGTGTGACCTCACCTGGATAGAGGGTCTTTGCAGATGGGATCAAGTAAAGATGATGTCATGCTGGAGGAGGATGGGCCCTAAATCCAATGGCTGGTGTCCTTATAAGAAAAAGTTTGGACAGTCACAGATAGCCAGGAAAACACTGTGATGACAGAGGCAGAGACTGGGGTTAGGAGTCTATGAGCCAAGAAACAGCATGGATTGCTGACAGCCACCAGAAGCTCTCCCCTGAAGACAGGAAGGCCCTCACCACCTTAACCCTCCCAGCCATCTACATAACCCAGCCATCTACGTATACCAGCCACAGGTCATGATTAGGATAAAGTATATTCACGCACTAATTAAATCAGAACAACTGTGCACAGACATGCAACAGATTCAACCTCAAAGTCTGCAGAAGGACCAACCCCGTCAACACCTTGATTTCCGACTTGTGAGAATACATTTCTGTTTTAAGCCAGTTTGTGGTACTTTGTTACCACAGCCCTAGGACTGAGGTACACATACATATATTACACACCCAGATGTGCACACACACGTGTGAGCACGCACACCCAATTAAGGAATCTGTCTATACAAGAGGTTTACTCTTTGATGGCTTTCATGAAATCACAAGCTCTCTATGGAGTAACCCACTTTTGCACTGTTAATTCACTAATTGAAAAACAGTATTTACATCCTTCCCTCATTTGAACTGCATCTTTAAAATCATCTAAATCTGTGAGTTGGCTCTCTTCACTGTAACAATAAAATATCAACCAAAATGCATCACACAATTAAGACAGCAGATGTTACCCTCTGGGATGGAGCTAAAATGCATCTGATGTATCTGCTGAAAAGGAGGCCTGGATCTGGAGACGGCTCTGCACCAGAAATGTTTCTACCACAAGAGAGCTCTCCCCTGAAGACAGGAAGGCCCTCACCACCTCACCCCTCCCAGCAATCTACATATCCCAGCCATGGGTCAGGATTAGAATATAAAGGATATGCACACACTAATTAAATCAGAACCGCACAGACATAGAACAGATTCAACCTCTAAGCTGCAGAAGGAACCAACCCCGTCAACACCTTGATTTCAGACTTCTGAGAACTATGAGAATACATTTCTGTTTTAAGCCACACTGTGTGTGGCAGTTCGTTACTACAGTGCTAGGACTGAAGTACACATACATATATTACACACCTAGGTGTACACACACACACACACACACACACACATAATATTAAGGAATCTGTCAATCCAAGAGGTTTACTCTTTGACTGATTTCATGGAATCACAAGTTCCCTACGGTGTTACCCACTTTTGTGTTGTTAATTCACTAATTGAAAAACAGAATATTTATATCCTTCCCTCATTTGAACTGCATCTTTAAAATTATCTAAGTCTTGGCTGGACGTGGTGGCTCATGCCTGTAATCCCAGCACTTTGGGAGGCCCAGGCAGGTGGATCACTTAAGGTCAGGAGTTCAAGACCAGTCTGGCCAACATGGTGAAACCCTGCCTCTACCAAAAATACAAAAATTATCCGGGCGCGGTGGGGGGTGCCTGTAATCCCAGCTACTCAGGAGGCTGCGGCAGGAGGATCACTTGAATCCTGGAGGCAGAGGTTGGAGTGAGCTGAGATCACGCCACTGCACTCCAGTCTGGGTGACAGAGTAAGACTCCATCTCAAAATAAATAAATAAATAAAATAAAATAATCTAAATCTTGTGAGTTGGCTCTCTTCACTACAAGAATAAAATATCAACCAAAATGCATCATACAACGAAAAGACAGCAGATATTACCCTCTGGGATGGAGCTAAAATGCATCTGATGTATCTGAGGAAAAGCAGGCTTGGATCTGGAGACGGCTCTGCACCAGAAATGTTTCTACCACGAGAGAGCTCTCCCCTGAAGACAGGAAGGCCCTCACCCTCACCCCTCCCAGCAGTCTACATATCCCAGCCACGGGTCAGGATTATGACATAAAGGATACTCACGCACTAATTAAATCAGAAGAACAGGGCACAGACATTAAGAAGCGCAGGGAGAATCCAAGGAACTATCTGGACAGGCAGATACACAGCAAAATGCCTTTCATTCAAAGTAGCTGCCCAGTTGATCGCTCTAGCAGTTGTAAGAGGAAAGGAGGTCTGATGAGAAGGCAGCAGTACACCAAGAAATGGGAAGGCCACAGAGCTCACTCAAAATCCAATCCCTCAACCGGGCGCCAACCACTCCCACCACTGTGGGAGTGCCCTCACCTTTGTGTGGGTAAGTAACCACAGGTGAGGCTGGGCCATCATCAGCTTTGTCAGCCTCCAGCACTCCCCGAGGACAACACATCCCTTTGATAGTCTCCACACACCCAGGTGACAACACAGTAAATTATATCCCAAACCCACAACACTCTATACCTAAAGCTTCTCAATTAAGCAAAGCATGGGTAATTGATCAACACTAACTCACTGGACAAAAATTGAAATCACTTTCCAGGTACAGGCTCCCTGAGCATGAGAGGGAATTTCAGGATGGCAAGACCGTGGTATGAAAGAAACACGGCTTCTCATTTGTTTTCTTTCCCAAACAACAAGTATGGCTCCCTTCATTACAAGTGACATTACAACAAGTTATGGCTCCCTCCTGCCACTGTCATGAGGCACACAGTCACATGAACAGGAAGTAGAAGTCCATTCCCTGGTCTCATTAAGAGGGGCAAAGACAGTGGCCACCTGCTTGGTTCTACACGGGAAAGGTGGCTCAGCCATGAGAAGCATGAATTCAGCAGGACTAAGAAGCTTCCAGGCACAAGGAGCCATGTATTCATAATTCTTTCAGCACCCAGGGGCCCTAGACACACACCCACTGGGGTGCACCTGGGTGTCTGCTGCTGTCAGCTCCTCACACTCCCACAGAACAATCCCTGGGACCTCGAGTCAAAAGGTGAGAGGCCACATGCCCAGGGAGGGCTGCTGCAGGGCATGAGAAAAGGTCAGGGATCATGATCTTTCCCCTGACCCAGGAAGCCTTGGGCATGGGGCCCCATGGAGGGGATGAGCTACTTCCACTTTGCAGATGAAGAAAGGAAGGTACTCACCCACGCTCCTACTCTTAAAAATAATGTATTTTTAAAAACCATACACAATACTATGAAATTTCAGTGCAGTAAAATGCATTACTTGAAAAATCAAAGAAGCAGGGATGTTAGTGATCAGTTTAGGTCACCCCACAATCCTTCCTTTTGATGTATAAACGTTCAAGAGAAATGCTTTGGTGTGAGTCAACATGTAAGGGTCAATTATGCACTGCAAAAGACATCCCAGCTGGGCCCAAATACAATGGAACACACTGTGAATGCCCAAAGGGAAAACAGCGAAAAGCCACAAAAATGACCAAATAGCCATATAGCAGAAAGGCCACCATGAGTGAGTCGTGGTCCTTGTTCTTACTCCAGAAACCCAGGGCCTCCAGCGCTGCCCCACCAGACACCTGAACCCCAGGGCCAGAGACTGCCAGAGCAACAGCAACAAAACCAGGCCCGACTCATGTAACTTCCTGTGGTCCCAGCTTGAAATCCACAGAGTTGCAGGGCCCTGAAAGTAGATTTACTTAGAAAAGGTGGTCATTTCATTTGCAGGTGAGTTAACCTCTGTATAACCTCTACAATAGCTAGCCCTTGAAAATAAGTGGAAAACCCAAAGGAAAAATCTCTAAAAGATTCTCTAAAAGGTGTCACCAGCTGGCCGTGGCTAAAATTCATATTCCGACACAAAGGAGCAAATAAAAGCCGTCAAAACCCAGGGACAGAGCCCTGACAAAATGTGGCCTTTGCTCATTTCTCCAAATCATGCCATTTTCTGGCATCTGTATGCATTTCTCAGTGAACAGGCAAGCTTTCTCCTATTGACCCCTACATACAAGCCTTCATTATCACCTCTAATCTTCCTAGATCATCATTTCAGTATGGAAGGTCTCTTCCTGATGCATGAGGTGTTCATGACATGACTACACAATTCTGCAAAACGGTGGCAGAGCCTCAAGCCACTTTTATACTTCTCCGAACGGTTCCGCAGTATTCAGGACAAGAGTTAAATGCTAGGACAGGTGTTACAGGGAACAGGTGAAGCTGCTTGGGACTACTGCTAAAAAGACAACTAAGGGACAAAACAGGGTGGAATGTTCAACTGAAGAAAAAGATAAAATGAAACAAAACAGGATGGTACACAGAACAAGGAGGGAAGGGAACGCTACAGTACAAAGTGGTGCCTTTCCTCTCTCTCCAAAACAAGACAAGCGCTGCCATGAAGAAAATGAATAGTTACCTGCATCCATATCTGCAAAGAATGGAACAGCCAGTAAGAAAAAGAAGGAACCAGAAATTCAGTGTCTCAGAGTTGGATTTAACAAAGTTACACGGAGAGAAAATTTCATTTAGAAAACTGCTTGTCAACTACACCCCTTCGTTAGGGGACACGGGAGCTAAATGCTTCCTACCATTATCATAATTTTATTTAAGGCAAAAAATAAAATATGGACATGTTAACTGAAGAAGCAAATGCCTAATGGCAAAAAAAAAAATCTTACTCTCATGCAAAATGATTATTAAATGTTTATAATATAAGGGGGGAAACATACTCAAACATATGGTGGTGGTAATCTGAACGTCTTATCCCGGAAGGCTCTTATCTATGACTAAGTAACATTACATACAAATTATGTATAAATTCAATATCCAGATCACAGGAATGTCCAGTCAATATTTAAAGGAGCAACAATGGATAAGAAGGACACTGGATTAAAAAGGACATTTGAAAGGACAGAACAATTAGATAAGAAATAAATTCAATAGTATTTCATGGTTCTACTGCGCTATTCCAGATATCAAAGTGAATATAACGGGTTTGCTAAAAATACTACAGAAGAAACCACATACTTAAGGGTTTTTACCGCTTGGTATGTTTTATTGCTTTCTTGACCTGTGATACATCAAAGTCATGATTTATAATATGCTAAGGAAAAATTTTAAAAAACTACATTCTTAAGTTTGCAACTGCCTGCCAAACAGCATACCTTCCGGAGACTCCTCCTGGACATATGTGCCCGTCAGGTACCGGTGCACCAGGGCAGACTTGCCGCTGGCCAAGTTACCCACAATTCCCTGAAACAGAAACGGACAACCGTTAAGCATCATCAAATCACTCTATTTGGCATTTTGCAAATACTAAGAGGCTAAAATAGACAGGAGGCCTAAACACAAACATAACCAAGCACTGGCTGGATGGCCAAAAACAAGCTCATTCAATACTTCCATTGGAGTAAAAGGGAGTCCAACACTCTTAATTAACATCTCACGTTCTCATCAGCCTCAACAGCTGCAACGGCATCAGCAATGCTGGTATAAACACTGGTTTGGCATTCTTCCAGAAAACAAGCACATTGTTTACATCAGGGCTGTGTTCCTTGAGTTAGCCCGCCGGCATCTACTGTGCACCCTCCAGAGACTGGGAAAAGCAGCAGGTGAGGTGGCACCCGAGGGCAGAGGTGAGTGACGTGGGGAGAGTGGCGAGGACCCATGCATGGTAGCATCTTTAGGGGATGAGTCTAGGGTAGACTTGGGGGCAGGACAACAGGAGCAGAAAAGGGCAGTGTGGGGAGACCTGGGGGTGGAGGAGCAAGGCAGGGGCCGGCCACACAGGCGAGGAGGGCACACACCTGCCTCCCAGACACAGGACCCACCAAGGCATCTCCGAGAAAAAGGGGACAGTGCCAGGGCTGCTGGGAGAGACGGCAAAGGTGCTCGTTTGTGCTGGATTAGAAGGCGACCCTCAGGAGGGAGGGTGACATGAGGGCCTCTGTCCTAGCAGTAACCTGGCGGCAAGGCTGACTTTCCAGGGGATTCTTCACAGGAAGCCTCCCTGTTGACACAGGAGACACACCTGGCCTCCCAGCCTCCAAGTGGCCGATCCTACAGGGAGCCTCCCTTTCCCTGTGCTTGGGAGCTGGATACCCCCCATGCCGCCTTCTCTGGGAAGCTGCTCATCAAAAATCTCCTGCATTTTAACCTTTTCCTCCCCCACTAGAACATCGCTAGTGATCAAATTTAAGCATGATCTAATCGATTCCTTAAAAAGCCCAAAACATCACAAGGCACCCATCCCCAGGCACAGGTGCTCATTAAGGCCACCTGCCATTCCCTGAGCTGGGACTCACCCCGCTTGCTCTCGGTTCCACTTGTTGACCTCCCTCCTGCCTCCACTCAAATTATCTGAAGCTCTGGCCCTGTTGCTACCAGGAAACTGCCCACTAGGTCACCCGCAACTTCCATTTCAAAGCCACTAGCCTGTCTCGCTCTGACCTGGCCCCATCACCAGCAGCTGCTGTTAAGACACTCTCTTCCAACTCTCACACTGGCTTCCGCCTCTACCTCCCTCCCAGCCCTGTGGGTTCTTCCTCCATCTGCAGGGACATACTGGGACTCGCCAGGGCTCCATCCTCACATCTCCAGCTGATCCTCCACTCTAATGTCCCAACATGCGCCTGTCCACATCCAACCTTCTCTCAATGAGCTGCGATTCCATTTAACAGGAGACACCCTGCAGACTCTGGAATCATAACTCATTGATAGAAGGTTGGATGTGGGGGGAAAAAAAAGCTGCCTATTCCCAAATCGCATCCCCTGGCCGCCGTCCACCCCAGCTCCAGGCGCCCCTACTTAGCTCCCACCAGGACTTTATATACATCCGTACGCCACCTATGCGGTATTCACGCCTCGATGGGTCCACACCTTGCCTCTCTCTCCCAGTCTCCTCATCAGCTTCTGAGGCCACATCACACCCAGCCTCTCAAGCCAGAAAGCTGGAGGCCATCCCCGACTCCCAGTGGCTGGAAGTCAGGGAGTCCGCTCCCTCCTGGGCACCTTGCTGCCACCTCAGTGTGGACTCTCCAGTGTGCACGGATCAAGGAAGCAGCCTCTAGGGCCTCTCTCTGCCTGCAAGCACCTGCTTTTCAACCCGAGAACACCAGAGAGGTTCCTAGAAACAAAGTGACCATGAGAAAGTGGCACTCCTTCATTTCATAAGCCGTGGGAGACTCCTGCTGCCTGGAGGCCCAACTCCAAACATTTTAGGAACAAACTGTCTCCTTCCAAATCCTCGCACACAACTTTGCTGGCAGCTAACAGGCCCAGCAGGTCCATGAACTTGCCGCAAGAACACTTCACTGCTCCTGTCACCTGAGCACCCCTCCCCTTTCACCTGAGGAGGGCTTCACTTTCTCTTGGGAAAGCTTCCCTGCTTTCCCCTCACCCCCAGACAGCCTTGACAGTGGCTGGTGAGGCCCTGGGCTCCACCTCCCACTACACTTAGGACCCCGAGGGCCAAGATCTCTGTCTCTGGATACGGGCCAAGACACCAGCTCCGAATCTGTACACTTGTCATAGTCCCTGGCTCCAACAAAGTCCTGGTAAACACAAGATGGGTCGATGGATAGATGGATGACAAGGAAGAAGGATGGGAGGGAGGAGAGATGGAAATAAAGGGGAGAGGAGGAGAGACAGGAGGGAGGAAGGAACGTTGGTTAAGTAGATGATGAAGCCAATAGCTATTAAGAACAAACACAGGGCTGGGCACGGTGGCTCACGCCTGTAATCCCGGCACTTTGGGGGGCCGAAGCGGGCAGATCATGAAGTCAGGAGATCGAGACCATCCTGGCTAACACGGTGAAATCCCATCTCTACTAAAACTACAAAAAAATAACAAGGCGTGGTGGCACACGCCTGTAGTCCCAGCTACTCAGGAGGCTAAGGCAGGAGAATCGCCTGAACCCAGGAGGCGGAGGTTGCAGTGAGCCGAGATACACCACTGGACTCCAGCCTGGGTGACAGAGCGAGACTCTGTCTCAAAACAAAACAAAAACAACAACAAAAAAGAAAACAAACAAACATATAAGAGAACAAATTTGGCATGACAGTGTGGAAAAAAGGTTCTCAGTGATTTACAGGCCACCGTGGTCTGCTGTCTGAGTGATGGCTCATGGATCCAAATGTTCTCTGTCACCCAGTCCTGGCCGCTCCCACTCTCTACTCATCAGCCAGAGTGGCCTTTCTAAAACCTATGCTCGGTCCTGTCCTCTTACACCCCAGTTACAACCCTCCCGCCTCTCATCTGCCCGCTCCCTGCTTGGCCTTCTAGTCAATCAGCTACCAAGCCCCATCCTAACAGGCCTTGCTGTCTCCAGGCAACTAAAGCTTTCCATATCAATCATTCCCCGAAACCTACTCTTACTATCAGTTCAGATGTCACCTCCTCTGACAAGCCTTCAACTATATGGTAGGAATGTTTGTGCTTCCCCGTCCTACCCCCACACTCCCAGCCAAACTCATATGTTGAAACCTAACCCCTGGCTGGGCATGGTGGCTCACGCCTGTAATCCCAGCACTTTGGGAGGCCGAGGCAGGTGGATCACCTGAGGTCAGGAGTTCAAGACCAGACTGGCCAACATGGTGAAACCCTGTCTCAACTAAAAAAATATAAAAATTAGCCAGCTGTGGTGGTGCATGCCTGTAATCCCAGCTACTCAGGAGGCTGAGGCAGGAGAATCACTTGAACCCGGGAGGCAGAGGTTGCAGTGAGCTGAGATTGCACCACCGCACTCCAGCCTGGGCGACAGAGTGAGACTCTGTCTCAAAAAATAAAAACAAAATAATAAATAAAATTTTAAACAAAGAAACCTAATCCCCAAGGTGATTGTATTACGAGGTGTGGCAGTTGTGGGAGCAGATTAGCGCCCTTGTAGAAGAGGCCTGAGAAAGACCTCTCGCGTCTTCCTCCACGTGAGGACACAGCAAGAAGATGCCACCTACGAACCAGCAAGCAGGTCCTCAGGCATCAAATCTGCAGGTGCCTTGATCTTGGACTTCCTGGCCTCCAGAACTGTGAGCTATATATTTCTGTTGTTTATCAGCTGCTCAGTGTATGATATTTTGTTACAGGAGCCAGAAGAGACGAAGACACCTTCCTGATGCCACAGCCTCAACTGGGTGCCTTTCCTCAAAGCTCCCTTAGGTCTCTGCCCCAAGGATATCTCACAAGGGAACACATTATTTTGGAAACATCAGTGTGTTGATCTGGCTTCCTCCAATACTGACAATTCCTCAAGGACAGGCACCTTGTCTCATTTGCCTTGTTCTCTGAATCCCTGCGTAATGCAGAGCCCAAGGCAGACGCTCAAGAGCACGGGCCGAGTAAAAGAACGGATGAGTACATGCATGACTGCACTGCTGGTGAGTGAATGAGATGCTTATTACTAAGGCTCAGAGCCAGGCTCAAGCCAGGCTGTGTGGACAGATTCTAAATAAAGCTGTTTCCCCTCCTAATCCGACGTACATCTTTTTTTACCCTGGGCCTCTATAATCGGAGAATTTCTACCTACTAATTATTCTTTTGCTCAAGGGCACCCGCTTCATGTCAGCTTCATGCTGGGAAAATCCAAAACAGTATGCCACAGAATTAAATTTTTAATTAAGATCAGTTTCTCTTTCTCGAGGAAGAAAATGCTCCAAAACCAAACATCCTTTGGTCTGTGCCTTCTCTGCATAGCAACGTTCCTGCCTTCTTCCACCTAACAAGATGGGCAAAGATTAAGCTCTCCCCTAAGTTCTCCCTTAGGGCAATCAATCTTGGAGTGGAGTGGGAAGGGGTTTGGTTTGGCTGGAACAGCCATCTCACAGACCACCTCAGTCACACACGATGGCATCATTTTAATTTGAAACGCTGGTGGAAATTAACAGTTGATGGTGAAAGGAAAATAAAATAAGGGGTCAAAATGCCGTTTCAAGTGTGTCACGCCACCCGTGAAGCTGTCGGAGCGACTGCTGGAAGTAAACCAAGACGGAGGAAATCAATCCAGAGCGAGCCAAAGAGCTACATGAGGAGGAATGAGGTGTCTTGAAAATCACAGAACTACGTACTTAAGGCAGGAAGAGGTTGCCACTGTCAACCTCTGTGCAGGGGTCACCGTCTGTGCAGGCACATGAAGTGCGTTGGAACCCATACTCGGCCCTTCACATCACAAGGCCAAAGGGAATGCAATGTCTTCCTAAACTGATTTCTCCAGAGCCCCACACTAACCCTGAGGTTTGCTGAAAAGGAAATCAAGGCTTTTAGTAAAAATTCCAGTTGGAGTTCAATGAAAACACACAAATAGGATGTGAGGAGCTGGGGACTGAGGTCCCCTACACAGGCAAGATGTCCAGAGCCTATGTGCCTTCCCCTCTGACAGAAGCATCAAGCTTTTGCTGTTGGGCACACATCTGCAGCCAGCAGCGGTTGGCTCCTGTGCAGCACCAAAAGCAACTGGTCATGGACGATCTGACCACAGCACAACTTCAGAAAACATCAGGCCGGGCGCAGTGGCTCAGGCCTGTCATCCCAGCACTTTGGGAGGCCAAGGCAGGCGGATGACGAGGTCAGGAGTTTGAGCATAGCCTGGCCAACATGGTAAAATCTTGTCTACTAAAAATAAAAAATTAGCCAGATGTGGTGGTGGGTGCCTGTCATCCCAGCTACTTGGGAGGCTGAGGCACGAGAATCACTTGAACCCAGGAGGCAGGTTGCAGTGAGCCGAGATGGCGCCACTGCACTCCAGCCTGGGTGACAGAGTGAGACCCCGTAACAAAAAAAAAAGAAAGAAAGAAAATAAAACATAAGGCATGGTACTACCACTCTTGAGAAGAAAGCGAACATTGAATTTTTTTCTCTGACAGATTTCAAAAGATTTATTGCAAAATGTTACATAAAGGGCCTATTGGAGGCTTGCCATGACATCATGTCACTGCTGCGTTTGTGAAGCAGGGGCTGGGTTCCTGAGACGCTGACCTAAAGTGCCACCTGTCCTGGGGGGGCTGCGCTAGGAGGGAAACAATTGCAGCCCTATAGGCACTTGGAGGCTGCCTAGGGAACAAAGCAGCGCTTTCTTCAGTCCCTGAGCACTCCTCAGCACACAAGGGATCTGCTGGGGGTGCCGATGAGGACGAGTGCCCGCTGATGCCACAACAAGAAGGCACTTGGGCTAGAGCAGAGCTGGTGGGCCTGCCAGGATCTCGTCCATCCACACTCAGGCCAGGGACAGGACCGTTCTGAGAACTGTAGAACCAACAGCATCGAAGCCCACGGTGTCAGCAAATTGAAGCAAGCCTTAAGACAGTCCGTTTCAGAATGAGGAGCCCATGCTGCCTCAAACGCAACTGTCTCCTACAGCTCTGGGCAGATATTCCAGAAAATCATATGCTTTCAAAATACCGGCAGAGCACAAGTTTTTGGTGGTAAGCATCCTCGATTATGGGCTGGTATGATCATGTGGGCCCTCTCTGAACCTGTAACACCTTGAACTGCCAAGTCAGGTGGTTCAATACTTGACGATCAGTTAGTCTGTAATGCTGGCAGTAGGGTGGCCGCTGGCCCTGTGTGGCTATTTCAATTTAAATGAACTAGAATCAAACTTAAAATGCAGCTCCTTGATGGCACTGACTGGCCACGTTTCAATCACTCAACAGCCACATGGCGCCAGCCGTGACGGCACTGGGCAGTGCAGACGCAGGAGGTTTTTACCGTCGAGAAAGTTCTGTCAGGCAGTGCGGTGGTGGAAGCACCAGCTCCAGGCTCACACCTCAGCTCCCCCACTTACTCACTGTGGCTCCTTGGGCAGGTTCTTCATGTCTCTGAGCCTCAGTTTCCTCATCTGTGAAATGGGGATAACCGTACCTATCCCTCCCCATGGGGCACTTGTCAGGATTAAGTAATTTTGTAAAGCACTTAGAACACGACCCGCACAGAGCCAGCGCTGTATCCACACCATCACCACCAGTAAACCACCGTGACTACTGTTCCGTGCCCATCACAGCACCCGAGTGGCAGCGGCTGTCTTAACAGGAAGTAACGGAAACTGCGGGATTGTTCTGAGAATCTCCTGGTAACAGCATTGCCAAGCCTGTGCCATTCATTCAACGCACATTTCCTGGACGGCTTCAATAGGCTTAAGACACCCTGCCAGTGCCGCGGTGACAAAGCACACAAAAGACAGAAAGAGGCGGCTCTTTCCAGGCCAGTCTTGCGGAACCCCAGGCTTCTGAGACAGCACTAGGACTGAGAGACGCTTTGTCTCCCACGGGCAAGTGCTGCAGAGACAGCCCAGAGACCTTCAGGGAGGAATGGGGCGGGGGGCAGACACCGGGAAGGAGATGGGCCCAGCTGATGACACCCCGCGGTTGCGGTGGGGATGGGTGTGTCAGACACCAATGAGAGAGACGGCACAGTGACCACAGGGCCTTCCCACCTCAGGGCACCTCCCACTCATTGTACTTCATTTCCTAAGTTTAAAAACAAATACTTTTCCTGGTGACAAAAGTCTCTTCAAAGACCTAGAAGTTCTTTGTTGCTCTATCTCCTCATCTCAGACATGAAGGACCGGAAGGATCCTGTCTCCTGGCCCTTGTCCTGTCCTCCAAGCATGCAATGAGGTTGGGGTCAGTGGGGAGGAGTCCACGGGCCGCAGGGGATCTGGTGCTATCAATAGAAATGCAGAGGACAGACACACTAGGCAGGCCCATGCCGGAGTCTGCAGAACAGCAAGAGCTCATCTGCTTTGCTTTCACGGTCAAATTAGAAAATACATACACACACATACAGAAATTAGACATATATACATACATACATAGATACCTACATAAATATAAACATACACACGGAAATTAGACATATATACACATATATACATACATACACAGATACATAACCATACACACAAATGCCACATATTTCACGACAAAGAACCTGGTTGTTTCAAAGTTAGACTTGCCCCTTCCTTCCATCCTACGGTAGAGGGGAGCGGCTGGAAAGGGTGGCTGCGATGGACCACTTTTTACACGTGCCAATTTGAAGCTCTACATAATTTCACCGAAAGGGTAAGGTTCGTAAAAGACAAAAATTTTAATTTCATGCCAATACTTGGTCACAGGGTAAATAGTCACATTTCAAAAATGATGGATACCAAAGCTTGGTGACTCATGACAGAAGCCTTCCGTGACATCCTGCAAAGAACAAATCAATCCATGGGGGTGTGTGTGTGTGGAGCCTTCCGTGACATCCTGCAAAGGACAAATCAACCCATGGGGGTGTGTGTGTGTGGACACACACACACCCACGAGATGTGAGAGAGAGGATGATGATGGCCTCTGCCCTGCACATGAGACACCGCCCTGGCTGAGTGGCAGTCATGGCTGTCATAGCTGTCCCAGGGGCACTCAGGAACTTGGACTCTAGTCCCAAGCTATCAACTATACCTGGCCCTTCCCAGGAACACACCCAGAGTCACACTTCCACTCTGGGCCCCAGGCGATGACCAGTTGCCTGGGAATGCAGGCTTGGGTGTGCACAGAGCCCCTCCCTTCCCACAGGTGCCAGGGCCAGAGGGAACCACTCACCACTTTGAGCTCCGGGACAGATCGACTCAGCGTCCATTCCTGGCTGTTCACGAAGGCATCTGAAAAAGAGGAGGACACAAAGTCAGACACCATAACTCACGTAAAGGCCAAGTCAAAATGCCTCCAATGGGCCATTTTCACATCCGAAGGTCACTGAAGATGGTGCAGACAAGCCTCCCTGTGTCACTCTCACCCCAGAAAGATCAGTTTGTCCCAGTTCACGACACTCAGCTAGATGCCAGTGGGGAGTTCCAGGTCCAAGTCTGTGGTCGGTAACACATGCTCTATCCAATGACTTCAAAAGTTACTGAAAATCGAACTTTCCATTTTTCCCCTGCTAAAGCCACAGCCCTTCAGTGGAGCGTGTATCTTCAGACCCTCCTGACTGTGCCTGTTGGCAAGTGTGGAGATATTTGAGGACACACCTAGCTTTCCGAGGAGTGATTCTGTTATAGCCTGTCGGTCCACATTTGGTCTTTTGCTTGTCTACTACAATAGTCATTTTTCTGAAATCCCACACACACAGCAAAAAGTATGATTGAATTTGAAGATTTGAATGCTCACAGTGTAAGTTAACACTTCAGTGTTTGTAAGTAACAGGTTACAGCTCAGAAGAAAGATCTGGTGCTAGAGTTTTGACCCTCACAAAGATATTAAACACTGAAGACCCAGCCAGGATGGTTTAGACTATGTCAGAAAGATGGAGGACTCCTAAGCTCCATGGGGTGGTCTACAGAGCCCAGCCCTCTGCAGGTGCACTCTCCCCCGCCTCCCCTGACTGCCTGTGCACAGTGCACCCACCCGATACAGATGACCCAAACGACCATGGCTTTACCTGCAACCCAGTTTTCCACACCCACCACATGCCATTTCTTATCATAAATGAGACCCCATGATAGTAGTCATCATTTGTCCTGGTGATCACATGGCAGCTCGGGCAACACATGACGAGTGGGCTGGACCAGAGGGAGGAGGTGCATCCCACTGATAGAAAAATAGCTCTTTCCACATGGGATTTACTTCCAATATATTGTCCTCCAATGCTGAAACTTACTCACTCTACATTATGTCTAAGAAGTGACCTGATTCATAAGATGCCTAAAAGTTAAGAAACACCATCACCTTCACAGAACTGTGTGATATGAGGACCGCATGGATGCAGGGCTGGAAGCCAAGGGGCTAACCACACCATGGGTGTGACACAGGAGGGCAAAACCAGCATCTGAAGGAGGCCAGGCACACCCTGGGGAGCACAACCCACCAGGTCACACGATGGGGAGCACGTCCCACCAGGTCACATGATTGGGAAGCACAACCCACCAGGTCACAGGCTGGGGAGTGCATCTCACCAGGTCACATGCTGGGGAGCATGTCCTACCATGTCACACACTGGGGGAGCATAACCCATCAGGTCACACAAATGAGGAGCATGTCCCACCAGGTCACACGCTGGGGAGGGAGCACATCCCACCATGTCACACACTGGGGAGCACGTCCTACCATCTCACACCCTGGGGGAGCACAACCCACCATGTCACAGGCTGGGGAGCACGTCCCACCAAGTCACACGCCGGGGGAGCACAACCCATCATGTCACATGCTGGGGAGCACGTCCCACCAAGTCACACGCCGGGGGAGCACAACCCACCATGTCACACGCTGGGGAGCACGTCCCACCAGGTCACACGCCGGGGGAGCACAACCCACCAGGTCACAGAGTGGGGGGCACATCTGCCCAGTGTGTTCTGGGCGGGGGGGGGGGGGGTCATGGGGAGGGCAACTGTGCAGCAAACCAGATGCCACGGGCCCTGCAATGACAGCGTCAAGGGTCTCCCGATGCCGAGTGAGACATCCCGTCAGAGGAACACTCCCTGCTCCAGGAAAGGACAGCTGGGTAGATCAGGAGGAGATCTGAGTGATCTCTAGAGGGCAGAGACTTTCGGGGCACAACATGCCTGTCCAGCTGGCAGAGCAGACCGGCAGAGGCCCATCTGCAGGAGCTCAGGAGGAAAGCCCAAGAGCCCTGAGGAAGAAGATGCCTGGGAGGCGGACTTCTCCCTGCACTGCCCGCAAAGACTTCCAGTCACTGCCCCTCTACTCTCCTCCCACTGACACGGACACATTGGGAGCTAAATATCGGGGGCGCAAAATTTTGCATAATTGTGCACCCAAACACCACCCCAACATGCTGCAGACAAACATTACCCGTGGACAGATGATGCGAGGAACGCACTAGCGTGGGCCTGACACCCAGCAAGCGCTCAGTCAGGGGTAACTAATTGTGTCTTAATACCATCAGTGAACAGCATTACCAATTAATTTGGAAAACACTTCTTTCTGTTATCGACTACTCTTGCAGAAAAATGGGAATGTGGCCTTAGAGGATCTGCAAAGTGACCCTAATGGTCCAGGGAAAACTGAAAGGTCAATGATGATGACTCCAAAATGCAGGCCCCAATAGTGTCTGGCTTCTCAGAACGTCACTCTGTTGCTGCACTGTAACAAACCACACCCTGGTTAAGTAACTGTGGATATAGCCACATCATGGAATAGTAAAACCAGTAACTGAAGCTCAACATACTGCAGTGGGGATTCCCCAAGTCCCCAGGCTACTATCAAGTGATGACAGCCAGGTGCGATACAGAGATGGATAGGATCCTCACAAATGCATTTCTAAAAAGTGTATCGGGGGTGAGGGGTGCAAAATATGTATACGCTTGGCCGGGCGCGGTGGCTCAGGCCTGTAATTTGGGAGGCCGAGGCGGGCGGATCACGAGGTCAGGAGATCAAGATCATCCTGGCTAACATGGTGAAACCCCAACTCTACTGAAAAATACAAAAAAAAATTAGCCGGGCGTGGTGGCGGGCGCCTGTAGTCCCAGTTACTCGGGAGCCTGAGGCAGGAGAATGGCATCAACCCAGGAGGCGGAGGTTGCAGTGAGCCGAGACTGTGCCACTGCACTCCAGCCTGGGCGACAGAGCGAGACTCCATCTCGTTATTTAAAAAACAAACAAACAAACAAAACAAAACAAAATAAATATGCATATGCTTGTCAAGGCTGAGACTATTTCTGGTAAAATTTCCAACTTAACAGGTGCTGATTTAGGGTTAGGAACTAGATGGCTGAAGTCAAGGGTGATGAGATGATTTTCCTTTCATTGTTACCTTCTGGCACCTTTTAAGGTTTATTCCATTTGGCACATAAGAAATTAAATCGTGAAGTTTTAAAAATGAACTTTAATAGTAAAACAAAGAGGGTAAACTGTGAATTAAAATGAGCTCTATTCATCAATGCACTGCTGATTTTTCAACACATACCACCATAAGATTAACTTTCTAACAATATAAAATATTCATTATAAATTAAGCAGTGCTCCATTAAACAAAGATGCATGATTATATAAACATTGGAACAATGTGAAGCATCTTTTTACTTGCAAATACATCCTCACTTGAATGGAACATATTTGTGTTTGTGGCAATAAGAGTAATAAAATAAATGCTTGACTCAATTGGCCAAAACTCTTCATCTCCCAT
Organism: Homo sapiens; assembly: GCF_000001405.40. Classification (NCBI taxonomy): domain Eukaryota; kingdom Metazoa; phylum Chordata; class Mammalia; order Primates; family Hominidae; genus Homo; species Homo sapiens. The sequence continues at coordinate 235,705,699 of NC_000002.12, read as the reverse complement.
TAAAAAGTATTTATTTTAAAAACTTTCATCAACTCTGTTACCGCCCAGTCAAAATGGAATGCTGCCTCATACAAAGCTAAACGAAAATTAACAAAACATTCGCGAAAGCCATGCATACCAAAATAGTCCTTCCTCCTACTCCACTACAGGGACCTATCTGTGGGCTGGACACTGTGCTGGCGTGGAATTGTTCATCACTCAGTAGGTGGGGTCGAGGAAGGGTGGGGCAGGGTCCAGGCCAGCTGTCCTGCTTCCTTCCAAGGTGCAGGAACACTGGAAGGATAAATATGCTTCAGGGAAACACAGCTGGGCATATGCGCATGAGTGTGTGGATGCACATCCGGATGTGTGCACACCTGTGTTCCTGGACCAGCCAGAATCCAGTGGCACAGAGGATGTAGCTCGTTCTCAGAAGTGTCTGGGCCAGGCGTGGTGGCTCACGCCTGTAATCCCAACACTTTAGGAGGCCGAGGCGCGCAGATCACCTGAGGTCAGGAGTTCAAGACCAGCCTGGCCAACATGGCGAAACCTCGTCTCTACTAAAAATACAAAAATTAGCCAGGCGTGGTGGCACATGATTGTAATCCCAGCTGCTCGGGAGGCTGAGGCAGGAGAAGTGCTTGAACCCGGGAGGTAGAGGTTGCAGCGAGCCGAGATCCCACCATTGCACTCCAGCCTGGGCAACAGAGTGAGACTCTGTCGCAAAAAAAAAAAAAAAAAAAAAAAAAAAGAAAAAAGCATCTTGTATTTTACAATCGACGTTGGTGATAGTAATGATCCTTCCCAAGAACTAGACAGGTGCCGGGCTCGCCGACCACTGCAGCCCTTCAGGACAGGTTCTCCCTGCTGCTGCCTCTGGACACAGCGGGACACTTGGGAAAGTCCCCCTTGACCTCCTTGGCAATGCCAGATTCTAAATCCCTCCCTCATTATCTGCTGTGTTGCTCAGAGCCTGCTCGCCCTAGACTAACCTGGGACGCTTAGCAAAGCCAGCAACAGGTGAGCATCAGCCGGGACTCTGGAAATCAGAACCTTCAAATCGGCATTTCTTTTTTGAGACGGAGTCTCGCTCTGTTGCCAGGCTGGAGTGTAGTGGCGCGATCTTGGCTCACTGCAACCTCCACCTCCCGAGTTCAAGAGATTCTCCTGCCTCAGCCTCTCGAGTAGCTGGGACTACAGGCGCCCGCCACCACATCTGGGTAATTTTTGTATTTTTAGTAGAGACGGGGTTTCACCATGTTGGCCAGGATGGTCTCGATCTCCTGACCTCGTGATCCGCTGGCCTCGGCCTCCCAAGTGCTGGGAATATAGGCATGAGCCACCACGCCCGGCCTCAAATCAGCATTTCTAACAAGCTCCCTGCAGAGCTTTGTCCACACTTTATTACTCTTCATCTTCAATTTTTCAAAATTTGCTAAGCAGATGTTACAAGTGTAAAACTCCAAGAGCGGGAATTTCTGAGAAATGTGAAAACAGCACAGGTTGCCATGGGCAGAAAGTGCTGCAGTTACTGAGGCTAAACTCCTACCCCATAACGCAGCCCTCAGAGATGAGCCCTGCTTCTCCCACCTGGCCCTGCCCATCCCAGTGTCCATGGGAGATCAAGAGGACGCAGAGGGAAATGGGTGTGAGGGGTCAGGGAGCCAGGAGCCATGGGTTTGACAGTGACCTCGGTTAACTTTCTGGTCTCTCAATTTCCTCACCATAAAATAGAAGCATTTCTGGTCGGGCGCGAGGTGGCTCACCCCTGTAATCCCAGTACTTGGAGGCCAAGGGGCGTGGATCACCTGAGATCAGGAGTTCAAGACTAGCCTGCAGGCAGATCACCTGAGGTCAGGAGTTTGAGATTAGCCTGCAGGTGGATCACCTGAGGTCAGGAGTTCCAGACTAGCCTCGTCAACATGGCAAAACTCCATCTCTACTAAAAATACAAAAATTAGCCGGGCATGGTGGCAGGTGCCTGTAATCCCAGGTACTTGGAGGCTAAGGCAGGAGAATTGCTTGACCCAGGAGGCGGAGGTTGTGGTAAGCCGAGATTGTGCCACCGCACTCCAGCCTGGGGGATAGAGCGAGGGAGGGAAGGCTGCACTCCAGCCTGGAGGATGGGCGGGGGAGGGGAGGGAAGCGGGGGAGGGGAAGGAGGGGGAGGGGAGAAGAGGGGAGCAATTCTTTCCTAAGGCTTCTGTAAGGTTCCAAGGAGATGCTGCCAAGGAGGTGGCAGGATGCCTGGGAAAGGGCCCAACTACCCACAGAGGAAGCTCTCCTATTACCTTTGGGGGTAGGATTAAAGAGCAGGAATTGATGTCCCGTTGCCCAGGTGCCACAGCCGGGGGAGGATGCTCCCGCTCAGAGACAGGCACACATGCTACCTGAACTCACTGCTGCGCTGGAGGCACAAGTGAGCCTGGAGTAACACATGGCCTGCCAAGTCCTGATGAAGCAACCACACCAGGGATGGAAAACCGTGGCTCGGGCCGGGCGTGGTGACTCACGCCTGTAATCCCAGCACTTTGTGAGGCTGAGGCAGGCGGATCACTTGAGGTCAGGAATTTGAGACCAGCCTGGCCAACATGGTGACACCCAGTCTCCACTAAAAATATAAAAACTAGCCAAGTGAGGTGGTGTGCGCCTGTAATCCCAGCTACTCAGGAGGCTGGGGCAGGAGAATTGCTTAAACCCGGGAGGTGGAGGTGGCAGTGAGCTGAGATTGCGCCACTGCACTCCAGCCTGAGTGACAGAGCCAGACTCTGTCCAAAAAAAAAAAACCAAGAAAACTGGCTCACAGTGACCACTAACTCCACATGGAGTAAAACAAACTAGAAGGCTTTACTGGAGTCAGTTTTCATCCCAGGTCAATTTATATTCCATCAAACCACATAAAAATTGCCAGATCAATCTGACCACAGCCAGGAGGAGATGTTCCTGCTTGGAGACAGGCACATGTGCTACTTGTACTCGCTGCTGTGCTGGAGGCACAAATATGGTCAAATATGTTTGAATAGTGGCAATTTCACAGTGGGGTTCAACCTACAGCACATAAACGTGTATGAAAAAAGTCATCCATGTGATATGACTACCAACATATACCAAAAATTCTAGAATGGGAAGTAATCCTGGAAATGACTCCAGTTGGCCTATCTTAGCATTCTACCTCAGCAAACAACACCAACAAGGGAACAGGGCCCAAGGACTATGGTCAAGGAAGAGAACTTTCAGAGGATTCTGGACCTGAGATGAGGAAGCCCCACCTTCCCAGGCTGCAGGAGCCTGGCTGCAAGGACCAGGGAAGGCAGCTCCTGTCCAGCGGTGCCTCCACTGCGTCCTTCCTCGGGATTTCAGAGCCTTCTGCTAAAGGCTCCCCCACATTCTTCATTAGACAAGGGAGCCAGGACCTCATCTTCATTAAGACAGCCATCGTCTGGCAGGTGGGCTCATTCCCCAGCAGAGCTATGGACTCTAATTTTCTCCTCCAAATTATCAACTAGAAGCACAGCATGCAGCCAATATTAGAATGACTTGATGGTCTCCCGTGTCACGTTCACCCCCAGCCCAGCCCCCAATTCTGTTTGGCTCCAGGAACCACAAATACGCATTCCAGACAAAACTCGTGAAATTATACACAAGGCTAAAAAAAGGAACCTGAAATTGCAGGTGACATTTTAAAAACAACATATTATCTCAGAAATTGGGAATTTTCTTTGAAAACCTTAAACGTCACAAGGATTTTAACTATTATTTTTAGCACAGAAAAGGGGAGGAGCATTTATTTTTAGTTTAAAGCAGCCGTAAAGCCCCCAAATATAAAACAAAACAACAATGGAAGAAAGATGGTACATCCACAGAGGAGAGGAGCATCGGAGGAGGCTGTGGCTGCCACAGCCTGTCAGTTCTGTGCCGAGGAAGGAAGTGGAGTCTTAAATAGAATAAAGAAATCCATTTCAACGCAGCCGGAAAAGAGCCCGCTGCAAACTGGATCAGACATAATCCGCTGATGACTTTCAAATGTAGGACTTAGCAGAAGTTCACCAGCACAGTTTCAATGGTAGGATTTAATTTCTTATTTGGAAATCCTTGAATCCCTATAATAAATGAAATAAAACATAAACCCTGGGGATACCAGATTGGTTTCAGGCTTCCCTGGAAGTTCAGGCTCAAAGATCCTTTTCAGCAGCCTCAAAGATCCACAGACAAGACAGTTTCCCATCCTGACATGTCCGGACAGCATCCCCTGACCTTGCCATTCACCAGGCCCTCTCAGTGCAGGGTGACGAACACCTGGCCACCAAGATGCCACCATGCCCACCCCTGCAGGTACATCCACGCCACTGCCTGCAATTCCAAGGCTCTTTCCCCTGAGCCCTGAGGCGACTTAGAATCTGTCACAACAACGTCAGCATTTGACTGGGTCCTCTCTCTTCTCCTCTAAGGAAATCCCAAGGCAAAAGTTTGCCGGCCCAAATGGGCTCTAGAGGATTTGCAGGTTTGTAACTTCTTAGAGGATAGTGATTTCCACCCCCCCATATATATAAATATATAAAATATACACTAAATAGAGCATATCATATATACATAATATATAATATGTACATATAACTATATTATAGAGTATATAATATATACATATAACTATATTATAGCATATATAATATATACATATAACTATATTATAGCATATATAATATATACATATAACTATATTATAGCATATATAATATATACATATATAATATATACATAATACATAATATATATATTACAAATATGCTAGCATGTGTAATACATAATATATGCATATATTATACATTATATACATATATTATAAATATATACTATGTAGAGTATACAATATATACATATATAATATATACTATATATACACAGAGAGAGAGAGAGAGAGACAGAGACAGATTCTCGCTTTGTCGCCCAGCCTGGAGTGCAGTGGCACAATCTTGGCTCACTGCAACCTATGCCTCCAGGGTTCAAGTGATTCTCCCGCCTCAGTCTCTTGAGTAGCTGGGACTACAGGCACGCGCTACCATGCCTGGCTAATTTTTGTATTTTCAGTAGAGACGGGGTTTCGCCATGTTCCCCAGGCTGGTCTGGAACTCCTGACTTCAAATGATCCACCTGCCTCGGCCTCCCAAAGTGCTGGGATTACAAGTGTGAGCCAACACACCCGGCCCTCATTTTCATTACAGTTTCTTCAAAAGCATTCCTGAGTGCCTCATAATACCCCTCCAGAATCACGGTGTTCCCCAAGAACGCCCTTGTCGTGGGTGTGTAAAGCACTGCTTAAAGGATTCACGTCTGAGAGAATCAAAGCAGAGGGCGTGAGGATTTGAAAGTCAAAACGGCAAGGAAGAAAATTGCCCTTTCCTTCTTAAAATGTGAAAACAGAGGCCCACCTACAGCCTTGAGGAGTGGAGCACAGCTCTCCTGCACTGCTGGGATTATCTTCCGCATTTCCTTCAGAAGAACTGTGTTCCATTAGCTGAGGCTGCTTCGGAATATTTAATGCATAAATAATAACTTCATAGTCCTGAAACCCATGCCCCAATTCCATCCCGTTTCCATCTCACTGTTATAAACCAAGGTGATAACAAGTTTTGTTGCAAGCATCTTCCTAGGGCAGGTTTTGGGTCCAGTGCAGTACAGCCTTCTGGCCCCAGCTTGTTAACCTACAGGCTGAGTACAAGCTTGTTCACAGATGCAGGGAAGAAGTTCATCCCAAGCTACAGAAACAGGCCGTTCCCCCAACACCGAGGTCCCCAGAAGAACCAGCCTGAGGTTGCCTCCAAAACACATTTTACAGCCTCCCTGGCACTTCTGGCAAAGCCCCACACCTCATAGCTTCCTTGTTTCACAGGCTCTCACTTCCATCTTTAATTCCTGAACCTGGACAGCTTGGTAGAGAGTGCAGACACCCCCACTGCGAATGCTGGTTCTCCTGGAGCCCGGACTGCTGACGCAGTCAGCAGAAGGAATGGCCTGCCCATCCTATGGGTAAAGCACTGTGGCTCTCAAAACCAAAAATGCTTCTGAGTTTGCATCTCTGAGGGATGTTAACCACTTTGGGCATGGAATGCAATTTGGATGTGGTGCTTCACTTTTTGGAGGGCATTTCATGGCTCTAAGAAGTAAATTTCAGCCACAAAATGCTCCAGGGGTTTTACAAAGAGGGAGGGAGTATCCAGGATCCCATTTAACCCGTGAGAATTCAAAGGAGTCACAGAACTCCAGGGGAAAAAAGTACAATTCAACTTCTAGTATATAGTGAGCTCCAATGTTATAAAGTCAGCCCCAATTTCCCCTGCTAAAGGGAACAAGCACCTGATCACCATCATCCAAAACCTTCTTAGTCTTCTTACAAATACATCAGGCTCTCTGTAGCAAGACAACGCAACCAAAGACACTGCCTGTATCTACAGGAGGTCTCCCCAAGCCCTAGACCCCCATCCCCCTGACCCAGCTCATCCGCTGTTCCCATGCCCCAGCAGTAACACCCCACCAAAGTAGGAGAAAAGCTGGAGGGGAAGGGAGGGGGCATGTAGGGACGTCCTGCCCGACCAGTTCTTTCCCTCCTGCCTCCCCGTCCCTCCTGTGCGAGCCTAGGTGGGGTGGGGGGGGGGGATGTCTGATGCCCGTGGTGGTCCAGGCCACCATCTCCTGCCTACACCACCAACCAGCCACAGGTATGGGCACGGGGCTCCCCTGTGCTCCTCTCCTCTCTAATCTCCAGACACCTGCCTTCAGGAGCTTGCTAAAAACCCACCCTGGGGTTTTCACATGCTGACTACATGTTCAATTTATTGTTGAGCCTCTGAGTAACTGAGCTTCTATCTAAAGTGGGAAGAGCAATAAAAATTTAAAAATTGTGATAGGTATGATGAATAATTATGCAACCATCAAGCTGCTACAATAACAAGAACCTGAGAAAATGACTGTAGGAACACACTGAGCGCCACCACCAGAACGCCAGCTGTCACACTAGGGAGACACGGCCTCCCGCCAGGGGTTCCTGGCACCCCTAAGAAGCGGTAGAACATTGTCACCTTAGACCAAAGCCAGAATCCTACATTTCATATAAGACGTAGAATTTTGAACAGATCTCGAGAATGCTTTAAAACATTTTAACACCTAAAATGAAACTGCTGAGTCCTTGAAAGTGAAAATGTTGAATAGGGATATTTTATGAAAAGGTACAAGTCAGAAACTGCAAGAAAAAACAAAATCCGTAGGTTAAATTCACAGCCATTTTTTTTTCATGAGATGTAAGAGTAGACAGCTATTTGTCTTACTGCAGTTTGGGTGGAGATGTATATTAAAACAGGGGTCCCCAACCGCAGGGACGTGGACTGGTACTCATCCGTGGCTGGCTGGGAACAGGGCCACACAGCTGGAGGTGAGCAGCGTGTGAGCAAGCAAAGCGAAGCTTCATCTGTATTTACAGCTGCTCCCCATAAGCTCACACCACCTCCTGAGCCCCGCCTCCTGTCATATCAGCGGCGGCATTAGAGTCTCACAGGAGTGCAAGCTCCACTGTGAACCACACCTGTGAGGGATCTAGGATGTGTGCTCTTTATGAGAATCTAATGCCTGATGATCTGAGCTGGAACAGTTTCATCCCAAACCATCCCCCCTCCCTCGACCCCTGGGTCCCTGGAAAAACTGTCTTCCACAAAACCAGTCACTGGTGCCAAAAAAGCTTGGAGACTGCTGTATTAAAAGATAATTTCGACTGCAGCTTAGATGCTGGTAGTATGCAAGAGCCACTGTATTTGCTGAAGTTAAGACAAGTTGATAGACACGAGAACATTTTCCCTGGTTAAAATAAAGAACGCAGGAGACAAGATATTTACAATTCATATGCTGAGTTTCTGTCAGTCCTGGGCTGGATATAATTGGGCCTGACAGTTTTCATTCCAGAAAGAATTATAAACTCAGTCAGTCATACTGTTTAATTCATGGTGAAATTAATGTTTATAATAAGGGATGGCTCAATAATAGACACAAATAAATCCAGAAGATTACCACAGAAAGAGCAATCAGAATTAACTCACTCCTTACTGTTGCTGAATTTTCGCCACAAGAGCAGACTAAGAAATTGGTTGGGGGAGGGTCCGTGGGGCAAGGTGAAGGGAGCACAGTCTGTGAAGCCAAGGGTCACCCCTCCCAGGCACAGGGGTGACAGACACAGACAGTCCACTAGGTATTGGTCCCCCCTGCCATGTCACTCACAGAGAAGCATTGCTTCATCGGGGATTGCAGGGGGAAGTGGGGGCACTGGGCACTTAATGTGGCTAAACTACTTCTAACAACCTCACATGAAGACGAACAACATGTACACCCAACACAGCTAACAAGCAAACCAGCACCTCCCCATCCCGATGCGGCAATGCTGGTTCAAATCCATGCTCTACATGGAACGCCTGGGCAGCTTTTCTGCGAGTCACTTAGCCTCTTGGGGCCTTAATCTCTTCATCTGTGAAATGGGAGGGCTGCCTCCGGTTCTTCCAGCTCTCACCTCCCAGAATCTGCTCTTAGTAAGAACACCCTTTCCACGCAGACCTAAAGCTGGCTGGTGCCTGGGGCTGTCCCAGCTTCTCTCAGGTTAATGGGCTGGCACTGACCTAAGGGGAAGGTTCAGCTAAAATAACCGGACTTAATGGCAAATCGAATGAAACAAAAGTTAGGATACTTCTCTTTTTTTTTTTGAGATCGAGTCTCCAGGCTCTGTCGCCAGGCTGGAGTGCAGTGGTGCCATCTTGGTTCACTGCAACCTCTGACTCCCTGGTTCAAGAGATTCTCCAGCCTCAGCCTCCCGAGTAGCTAGGATTACAGACGTGTGCCACCACACCCAGCTAATTTCTGTATTTTTAGTAGAGACGGGGTTTCACTGTGTTGGCTGGGATGGTCTCGTATAAGGTGGGGACGGGGCTCATTCTGAGAGGTGGCATGGATAATTTTTCCCCCACAGATAAGTCTGCAGCACATGCATGGGAAAGGGGCAGCGATAGCATGGTGCCACTACTAATTTTGTGATTGTGTTACATGATTAAAACAAATCCTGCCCATCAGGTTGTAATGCTCAGCAAATCTAATCAGCCTCCTGGGAGAAGGTCTGTTGAGCCGGCTGACCCACACGGACCATCTCTCATCCCTGTGAGCTTGGTCTGTGGCCTCACATCCAAGATGCCACAATCCAGGCTGGAAAGCGTGGAAGCTGGGGCACCCGACCCGCCCTTCACACTGAAATGTCCACTGTGCACCCTGGGACCTCACACGACTCTTGGTTCCCCTGTCACTGATGCTCAGGGTAAGGGTCATAAGCCATGGTTTAAAAATTGGTAAACAGGCTGGGGGCCGTGGCTCACGCCTGTAATCCCAACATTTTGGGAGGCCGAGGCAGGTGGATCACCCGAGGTCAGGAGTTCAAGACCAGCCTGACCAACATGGAGAAACCCTGTCTCTACTAGAAGTACAAAAATTAGCTGGGCATGGGGGTGCACGCCTGTAATCCTAGCTACTTTGGAGGCTGAGGCAGGAGAATCGCTTGAAATCGAGAGGCGGAGGTTGCAGTGAGCTGAGATCACGCCACTGCACTCCAGCCTGGGCAACACAGTGAAACTCCGTCTCAAGAAAAATGGTAAACAAAACAATCATGCAGGTTCCCTCTGGGCAATACCCATCCTGGTGCCCCTCTGTCGACAACCCCATGCAAGTGTCTCCTCGGCCCTCCTCTGTTCTCAGCACAGACCTTCCGCTGGTGCACCCAAGGGAATAAAACTTGAAGACTACATCACAGAGGGGTTGGTTATTCAGTATCTCCTGCAACAATGCTGTCTGATGTCCAGAAAAGAAGCCACCTCCTTGTGAAGGACAGTGACCCCTCTCAGCTCCCTGGGCTTGGAGCTCAGATGCTCCTGTGAATACGCATGGTTTCTTTGTGCCCCTGCTGACTTACCTCTTACCTCTTTCACCCAGCAAAGTGCCCCCACTGCGCCCGGCCCTCTGCCTGACCAGCTCAGATGTGGAAGAGACACTGCTCTGCCAATATGTATGCTTACAGGCAGACCTAGGCCCCACCAAATACTGTGTCCAGAACAAAAGCTGTCTGTTCTTGAAAAAAGTTCCACGACAGATCAAGTGTAATATACTGAGCACAAACACTGGGCTACAGATCGTCTGTAACCTGAGCCGCTGTCTGTTCACCATGTAACTGACTGACAGAGACGACATATAAACACCCGTGAAGGAAGCTGTCTTCAAGAATATCCAACTGATCTGACAACAGCAGCTATCTCTGAGGGACGGGGGTAGGGGATTGCCTTTTTCTCTTTACCAATTTCAATCCTGTTGTAAGTCTTTACGATGAGCATCTACTATTTCTATAAGATAGGGCAATAAAGGTGCACTCATGGAAAGAAGTAGTTCCTTTCTACACCTCTAAGAGCTATTATGGAGTGAACTGACTCATCCACATCCACATGGTGATCAAGCTGAAACCCTGAAGCCTGCGAAGGTCAGCCTCGATGCTTAAAACACTGGCAAGCATAATTAAGGAGGAAACACGAGGAAAAGGTCCTTGTTATTTCCCAGCTTCTCATCCTTCACACCATGAATGTCAAAGATTCTTAACTGGTTTTGAGGTTATACAGTCTATTTAATAGTAAAATAGACACAAGAATTTTTAAATACTTACATTCTCCAACTATGGAGCTCCGCTCAGCACCTCTCACCCGCCCTGGGCATCCCTGTTGCTTGCCTTTGGGTTAAACCAGGTGAAACTGCGAAGAAGCCGGAACCCCCCATGCATCCTGGTGCTTACACAGCCTCTCTTCATTTGATCTCCAAGTCTGAGACGCGTTTGCTTCCTAATCACCCATAACTCCTCAGGAGAGGAGAAGAGCACCCCACATATACAAGGTGAGCTGTGCAGTGACAGCAGGACTTGCCCCGAAAGGTGCCCAGGAGATGCCTGAGCAAGACGAGGAGGAGCAAGTGTCCTTGGGAAGGTAGCAGCTTCCTTTTTTTCTTTTTTTTTTTCTCCCTGAGGCGGAGTCTCGTTCTATTGCAGAGGCTGGAGTGCAGTGGCGCGATCTCGGCTGACTGCAACCTCCACCTCCCAGGTTAAAGCAATTCTCTTGCCTCAGCCTCCCGAGGAGCTGTGATTACAGGGCACTGCCACCATGCCCAGCTAATTTTTTTTTTTTTTTTTTTTGAGACAGAGTCTCGCTCTGTCGCCCAGGCTGGAGTGCAGTGGTGCGATCTCGGCTATCTGCAAGCTCTGCCTCCCGTGTTCACGCCATTCTTCTGCCTCAGCCTCCCAAGTAGCTGGGAATACATGCGCCCGCCACCACGCCCAGCTAACTTTTTGTATTTTTAGTAGAGACGGGGTTTCACCATGATAGCCAGGATGGTCTCGATCTCCTGACCCCATGATCCGCCCGCCTCGGCCTCCTAAAGTGCTGGGATTACAAGTGTGAGCCACCATGCCTGGCCAAATTTTTGTATTTTTAGTAGAGGCGGGGTTTCACCATGTTGGCCAGGCTGGTCTTGAATTCCTGACCTCAGATGATCCACCCACCTCAGCCTCCCAAAGTGCTAGGATTACAGGTGTAAGCCACCACATCTGGCCAGCTTCCCGATCTTATTCCTCATGCTTTGAATCACTAGACTTCAAGATAAATGGACAGTTAACTATGCAGCTTCCAGAATCACATGGTAGTTTCTGTTACTTTTTATAAAATGTTCCTGGTATGCTTTGCAACATTAACAGACATTGAAACTGCCATGTTTTTCAAATGGGAACGTCATTAACCCCCAAGTAAGGGCTGAGGATCAACTCACAGGACCCACACTTATGCCAGAGGAAATCAAGTTTATTTCTGATTTTTTCAGTGGGAATAAAAGCTAATTCAAATCTATTCTCAGTTAACTCTTATCTAATTTCTACATCCTCCTATGAGAATAGCAAGTACTACTACTTCTAATGTTTTGTGGGGTTTTTTGGAGACGAGGCCTCACTATGTTGCCCAGGCTGCACTCGAACTCCTGAGCTCGTGATCCTCCCGCCGCAGCTTCGAGTACCTAGGACTACAGCCGTGAGCCACCAGGCCTGGCTTAATGCTCTTTTAATGAGAGCTTTCCGCAATGCCTTCGCATGACTGTGGTGGGCACCAGCCTGTCCCTCTGTTCAGGGGTAAAGCCTTCAGTACCTGGCTGCTGGGAGTGCAGGTGGCTGATCACTCTAGGCTGAGTCCCCATGCCAGAGACTGCACTTGGGCAGAGAAGTGAGTGGTGTGGCCCAAGGATATGACCCCTGGAGGGCAGAACACGTCCAATCATAGACTGGTGACAGGCATAAAGGCCCAGCCCCCGTGCCTACTTGGGGATAGCTTTGAGTACTACCCCAGCTCCTAAGGCCACAGTGCCACCACCTTCAGGACCCTTGAACCCTTTGCAAAGACTGCACTGCAGCCCCAAAGCCCCCTCCTCTAGGCCTGCCGGCTGAGCAAACCCTCAGGCGGGAGCTCAAGAGGCACTGCAGGAAACATTCTGCACATGCTCTCCTTCCAGAGCCTCCTTCCCAAGGAGTCAGCCTCTGCATGGCCTTCCCCAGTGGTGACTGCCGCAGCCCACATCAGGAAGGCCCCTAGGCCAGCAAGTGGAATCTGACACTCTACAGTCCACACTGGGCCTCAGCCACTGGCCTGCAGGCCACACTCCCTCTCCCATGCACAGTACCTGCCAACTCCACTGATGCCACCACCGACAGCAACAGGTCCTGCTCACTGCCTCCCTCCCTCCCTCGCTATCTCCGGAGCCAGGCAGTGCCACATCAAGGGAGATACGCACACCAAGCACACCCTGACTCCGCCTTCGAGAATCAGCAGAGCAGCCGACCAGCAAGTCCACCGCAAGACCTGTGACTGCGGGCTGTAACAAATGCCATGCAGGACACACGAGGCGGCAGGGAAGGATAAGCAGGGAGGCTGGCGGGGTGCACGTCAGTCATCGGCTTCTCTGAGGTGCTGGGCCTGAGGGCTGAGGGTCAGCGAGGGGAACCCACTGGCTAGGCACTGAGGCTGAGTCAGAAAAGGATGGCCCAGGAAGGCAAGGGGGGAGGGCAAGGGGGGAGAGCATAGGGGCAGCAGGGCGAAGTATGGTTTGATGCTGGGGCTGGAGTGCAGAGTTTGGGTTTCATTCTAACGGCAGTGGAAGTCACCTGGTGGCTTTTGGGAGTTGGCAACATGGGTCACATTTTCTAGCTGGTGCCCCTCCTGTTTCCTAAGCCAGATTAGGCTCGATGTGCACCTGGCAGTGCAGGCACAAAGGAGCAAAGTGGACGGCCCAGTGCTGGAGAAGGCAAGGTCCCCACTGGCACCCTGGGGAAGATGGAAGGCAGGGGCCACGTTCTGTTACAGAGGCGAGGCCAGAGGAACAGGTGCAAGGCAGCGGGCATATCTACATGGCTGTCACCACCTAGACACGACGAGACCTGGCCAGGTAGGGGCATCTGCCAGGGAGCCCCCGGCTTTGGCTTATGGATACATAACGCATGTACAAAAGCTTCTTAGATGAATATTCAAACTCAATATGCGCACTTGGGGTCTGAATTTATTTTGTTTACTTGGTTTACATCCTCTTGAGAAAACTTTATAGTCTTTGTTAACTGGCTCTGTCTTACCACTAGTAACTAGATAACCAGCAACTAGAGAATGTGCTATCGTGATGCTGTTATTTCTCTGAAACATTTCACAATATGCTGCATGTCTGTTTCTACTAGGAACTCCGATTTTGCATCCCTGCCTTGCCTCTAAGTTCCCTCTCCTGGATGTCACTGGCCATTGTCCCCAAGCTCATCCCTATCCAGTACTTTCTCCTAGTGGGTGAATGGGGGGCGGGCAGGAGTGCAGGGGTCAACATGACGGAGGTCACACTCAGGACAGGGAAGGAAGGGAAGGGAGGCGTGGTCCCCAGACCAAGAGGCCCCTCAGTTCCCCAGCTTGCAGCCTTCTGCAGATGTGCATAAGCCCAAAGCAACATGATTTGTACTGAGTCTCCCGCTGGTGTCCACTGTCCAGCACTTGTCAACATGGGACCTGGCTGTGCTCACATCCACAAATGACCACGGCTATCCGACTGTTTTAGAACCAGTGTTGCTGTGTGGAGGAAGAGGGACTCACGACCAGTCACAGAATCCGACTAAATGTTGGCACATCTCAAATGAGTATCTTTACAGTCTTCAGCGGATTTTAAAGATGTGTTAAATCTACTTTTGCTTCTCGCAACGGAGACGTGTAACAATTCCTGTCTCCAAAAGTAAGGCACTGGCAACCATTGGCCATTACCAACGTGTGCCTTTCTAACTTGCCACCAACAGGGTAGCATCCACTGCCAGAGAGTGACCTTTCCCTGGATATGACAGTCCTGGGGCCAGGCACAGAGCCCTATGCGCATGTGCTTGATTGACGGTGGGAAAAGGCACCAGCATCCAGCAGCCCAGAGCCTCTCGGGGCTGGGGTCTCTCAGAAGGGACCAAGGCCTCAGAATCGCATGGGGCAGACTCCTTGCTGGCCTCACCTCGGCCTAGGGAGCAGAGTCTGGAGGAGGGGGTAGAATCTTGTCTACAACCCCCACCTTGGCACTCTAGGCACACTAATCTGAGTGTTCTAAGATACAGGCTCATAGCCTAATTGGAGAAAACCAGGTGGTGAGCGACTTCCAAGAAGGCTCCTGGCATATCTAAAATAGCAGCCACGAATCCCTGCCAAACCCTCAGGCCAGATCCGAAGTATTTATATGGCTGGATTTAGAACTCTGAAAATAAAACATTGATTTTGACTTCTCGAAACCAATACTATGACTAGACTGGAGAAAAAAATAAATAAATCAAGAAGAAACACAATGACTTTACCCGAAGATAACCGTAAAAGCAACAAAAAGTCAGTATACCTGCCCCAAGCAGACAGGTGTCTACCAATAGCCGGAAGCCTGCACCTCTTTCCAAAGAGCTCCTTCAAACACATTCAGGGCCAGGAGCACTGGCTGCCCAGCCCGTCAGAGCTCCTCAAGCAGACGCTCTGCTGTAGCTCTCAGCTTTAGCAATATCCATTCTACCTCGGACTCTGGGTCTGATGTGGCTGCTTAGGTGTCTGAGTTGGCCAGCCTCCTCTACCGGAAGCTAGGAATAAACCATGCTTTCCTCCTTGGCTATCACCTTTATTTTAAACTAGAAGCTGTGTCTCAATGTTTCAAATGCATAATATCAAGTGCTCCAATGTGAGCTCTGCCTTTGAAACACAATTTAACCTGAAGAGCCAGGCTCCCTCCTGCACCTGCCCCCAGGGCACGGCCTCCCCAGCCCCAGGAGTCCACCCCACCTGCTGCTTTCACCTTTAAAGGGTGGGGTGCGGAGGGAGGGTCAGAGTCCCTTTTAGCTCAACATTCCAGGGTTGTTTAAGACTGTGTACTAAAGTTCTCTGAGTGGTAAAAGTGAAGCCACTGGACTGGCTCCAAGCAGGTAGCAAGTGAGATCCCTCAGTACCTCAGGTAGGGGGAGAGGGGAACCTGGGGACTCAGCACCTGGGGAGAAGAGAGTGTCAATACTGCATGAAAACCCCGAGGGAGAGACACCCAGGGGCTTAGAACTCCCAGTCACCTTTGCATTTGCTGTGATATCACTTTCATCAAACGCATGCAACAACGCGATCTATTTACCATCTGAAAAAATTAGACCAGGGAAAATAAACAAAAGCAGTATTTAAAAAAAAAAATACCACAAATGACACTATAGGTTCTGAAGTGCATCATGCACACAGAAACTCCTGGAAAGGAGGTGTAGGACACCACCCCAGATGCTCTCCTGGCAGCAGCCTCAGCCCTGCTGGCAGAGTCTCTGCAGGCACGAGCTGACACGTCACACAAGTGTGCACGTACACACATGCAGGACAGTTTACCAACAGTGCAGCTCTATGACTGTCCTGAAAAGTGGAACTCTCAAATGAGTGGAAATGTTGCAGATACTTCATTACACAGATTTGAGGTTAGGGGAGGTCCCTATGGTGACCTGCCAATTTGGTGTCCATCAGAAATTATTTGCCTGAAACAATGAAAACAAGAGGGGAGTTGAGAAACAGACTTAAGACTTTCAGAATTCCCCACCACACAGTACCATCTTTCTCTGGCTTACAAACGCACTATTATTTTCCTGGACAAGCTATTCTGCCTGCCTCTCTGCAGTCAAAATTGTTATGTTCTATGGTGTAATGGAAACATAATCAGTGCACTACTTTCTGCTCACTAACCCGGTATTGTGCTGGAGACCCTACGGGCCGATGAACAGCAGCAGGCTCACTCCAGGCCCGCGTGGTGAGCTGTGCAGTGACTTGTGGACACGGCAACCTCACTCTCTCCATTGCTCTTGCTCTAGCTCCAAAGTGCCCTGAACCATCTCGGTGCTAGCGAATGAAGAGTGTCCAAGGCATAGGCAGGGCCGGGGCCATCTACCGAAGGCAGCACAAGGGCCAGCAAAGCGCAGAAGCCCTGAAGCCCCTAACTCATGGGATAGCCTTGGGCTTATTTCTTCATTGCTCTATAAATACGTATACGTAGATGTCTCCTACAGATAACCAATCAATCAATCTTATAGATTTATGGGACAATAATCTACCGCACAGGGTTGTTGCTGGAATCGCTGCACAAATGCAAGCAAAGTGCTTCCAACAGTACCCAGCTTGGCGAACGTTACACGGGTGCGGCTGCTGCTGCTGCAATTGCGTTACTGTGACACAGCAACAAACCCAGTCTAAACACAGGCACAGTTGGTTCTGGCCCTCAAACAGCACTAGCGGGTGAATGAGGGGCGGGATGAGGGGACCCAGGCCTAGTCATGCCACTGACTCCCCTGCTCCTCCAAGCTGTCACCAAAGCACCCCAATGCTCATTTCCTCCAATGCAAAATGAATACACAATGACTTTTCTTTCAGCAGCGGTGACTCCCTTGTCTAGTCTTAACGGGTACACACGTGGTCATGACGAAAATCTGAACAAAAGGAAAAAATTCCAATTCCCACTTCCCACCCACCTATAACTGGAGATGTGGGATAGAACAGATTCTAGTAGGGCCTGCAGTCTCATGTGGCAGGATCTGGCTTTTTCTGAAAGCAGCTTACATCTGCAGGGCATACTAAAGTACCCCAAGAGAGGCAGAAAGTTTCGGAAGTCTGTCTGAAGTAGAGGGGCTGGAAATGTGAGAGGTGAGTGAGTGGAGGGGACCGTCATGACCTTCCAGAGAGAATGAAAAAAACAATGTTGGGAAAGCAAAAGTGGAGAGTGCAGATTCCTTCCTGCACACACCTGCTCCCCAAACAGACACCACAGACCTCAAACACCAATGAGCAAAAGGAGAGATCACACTCCTAAAATACTGACACCTCTGTCCATCTACAGCCCAGCAAGAGTAGACAGGAGGTTCAAGATCCGAGGGCAAGGCTGGGCGTGGTGGCTCACGCCTGTAATCCCAGCACTTTGGGAGACCGAGGTGGGCAGATCACTTGATCAAGGTTGGGACTTTGAGACCAGCCTGGCCAGCATGGTGAAACCCCGTCTCTACTGAAAATACAAAAATTAGCTGGGTATGGTGGTGCGTGCCTGTAATCCCAGCTACTCTGGAGGCTGAGGCGGGAGAATGGCGTGAACCCAGGAGGCGGAGGTTGCAGTGAGCCAAGATGGCGCCACTGCACTCCAGCCTGGGTGACAGAGTGAGACTCCATCTCAAAAAAAAAAAAAAAAAAAAGTCAGAGAGCGGCGATTAAGAAGAAAAATCCAAAAAAAAAAGAAAAAAAAAATCCAGGAACACATCCTTCTACCAAAGAGCGCTGAATCCTCAGTAATGTGTACTTTGCCCCTGCTTAAATTATCTGACCTTCCTCATCACAGCTAATGTCTTAAATAAATCTCTGGCCACATCCTGCGAAGAAGATAAGTCTGATCTGAACGAAGGTGGCATTCCTGCATTCCTGTGTATTTTGGAAACGGACAAAATGAAAACTCATCAGGTCATGTAAGCCATCTTTCAAACACTGGTCCTCATGTAATAAGTTTTTATCTGCATGTTTATCAAATTAAACTGATATACATCCAATATATCTGTTTGGAAACTCACCTAAAATGAATTTTAAACTGGTATCTACGATGAAGGGCTATTACGATTTACACATATCGGACTGTCACCCCCAAAGGTCAACTACAAATGAAATCTGGACTCAAAGGTCTGCAGAGGGATGACATTCCTACATATGAAAGGTTTGGGTTAGCACTCCCCACCTAGGAACACTAAAACTGAAATCATTACACCTGATGGAACCGGAGAACTTAATCTCCTTCCAAAGGATCAATATCTACTTTAGACTTCAAAGAAATGGGAAATGTCACAAACATCTCCTGTGGTGTGGAAAATTAACTGCCTGAAGAATGGGAATCTGTTTGATAGCAAATGCCCAGATTCTTCTGTTGAGAACAATGTTTACTTTTAGAGCTAGGGTGCATCCCTTCATTGGACATACGAGGAAACTGAGGCCAAGTGAGAATGTTATCAGCTCCCGCCCACCTGATCTGCAATCTGCATGTCAAGTGAGCAGAAATGTAATGAAGTCCAGCAGGGTTCATCAGGGTTGAATGGAGAGTGGGTGGAAAGAAGAGTGAGGAAGATAATTATTCAAAAAGCCTTCCTAAGCCAAGCCCAGTGGCTCAGGCCCATAATCCCAACATTTGGGAGGCAGAGACAGGAGGTTCACTTAAGCTCAAGGGTCTGAGACCAGCCTGGGCAGCACAGTAAGACCTCATCTCTACAAAAAAAAAAAAAAATTATTTTAATTAGCTGGGCATGATGGCATGTGTCTGTAGTCTCAGCTACTTGGGTGGCTAAGGTGGGAAGACTGCTTAAGCCCATGGCTGTTGTGAACCATGATCACGCCACTGCGCTCCATCCTGGGCTTCAGAGCAAGACTCTGTCTAAAAAAAAAAAAAAATATATATATATATATATATCTATATATATATATATATATATATATCTATATCTCCACGTATATATATACACACACACGTGTGTGTGTGTGTGTGTGTGTGTGTGTGTGTATATATATATCTCCTTCCTGGGAACCAGAATTCGGACGTCAAATTTCAATCTGTCAGCAGTGTACGCTCACACTCATACCTAGGTTTGGCTACAAGTGCATGATTTTAATCCCCACAATATAATACAGGTGATGTTAGAGTTTTTATTCTGGGAGACAAAGAATTCCAATATAGAAGCTCTGCCTTCCCAAACCAGGAACAAAGATAATCTCCTGAACAAATTCTATCACTAAAGCACATCCACCATGGCAAAGTGTTCATTCCTATCGCCCATCTGACCATCTATTCACCTTGGCCAGCACCTCTTCCCTCCCAGCGGGTGCCCCGTACAGCAGGAGGCTTAGTCTATGGTCAGCTACCACTTGGGGGGACTTCAGCTTTACTGGATGAGATACATCTTTAAAATTCCTAAAAAGACCTGTGGAAAACAAAAATCTTAGGCCCCCAAAATCACTAAGCTAAAGGGAAAATTCAAGCTGGAAAATGCTCAGGACAAACCTGCCTCCCACTCTATTCAAAGTCATCGCCCTGCTCACTAAGTGCATATCTGATTGCCTCCTTTGGAAAGGCTCATCAGAAACTCAAAAGAATGTCAGAAGCCCCCTCCCCACTTTGAGTGGTCCTGCCTTTCTGGACCTAACCAATGTTTATTTTACATGTATTGATTGGTGTCTCATGTCTCCCTAAAACGTACCAAGCTGTGCTCAGGCCACCTCGGGCACATGTTGTTAGATCTCCTGAGGCTGTGTTAATGAGCGCACATCCTCAACCTTGGCAAAGTAAACTTTCAAGATTAACTGAGACCCGTCTCAAATTTTCGGGGTTCACAGAGCTCTGGAGCCAAATATTTCTGTTTTGATTTTTACAGTAAAAAAAATCGAAAGGTGCTAACAATATGGCATGACTAGTCATTTTTCATTGTGTTTTGAAAACAAAACCACCCATGGGCCTTCGGCTGTCCAGACAGACGCACCCTGTATACGCGTGGAGCAGTGAGGGGCCTCTGGTCTTCATAGCATTTGTTCTCTACTGGTCAGGTCCCAGGGGAGCATTACAGCCTCTGCTGGCAGCCACTGAAAACCAGAAAGCAAGCAGAAAAGGATATCGAGGTGATGAGAGGCCGTGGGACTAACAGCTGAAGGTGTTTCAGGCATCAGAGAGGCAGCCACACAGGAGGGGGATCAGCAGGGCTCAGTGTGACCCAGAGAGATGAGAACTGAGCCCTGAGAGCCCCTGGAAGGAGGCCTGCACTGCCAAGAGTCTGCTGCATGAACCCAGGAAGGGAGGAACCCACACACCAGGGCACACAGGCAGCTGCCAGGTCAGGGAGGCGGCTTGTGGCTTCCTCTCAGGAACTCTTCTGTCCTCATCAGGGTAATAAAGAAAGGTCCCCTCACAAGGCGTGAGTCCCCAGCAACAGGCAAAGAAGAACCCTCTGGGCACCAGGATTCTGCAACCAGCCCACTCAACCTCGGCCCACCCAGCAAAGCCCTCAGAACCTGCACACCCCTGACTCTCACAACCCCTGGGGCCTCTGGGGGTCCTGCCACAGGGAACCAACCAGCCACACCTGGAGCACAGGGTCTCCAAGAACAAGGGCTTCACAATGGCCATGGTGACTTGTATGCCACAGTCATCCCAGATTGGACAGGGCATGACCGTAAGCAGTACAGCATGATCCAAAATAGGCCCTGGTGTTCCTAATGCCAGATAGTCTCTCCTGTTGGTCACAATTCCTAATCTCTGAAAGTGCCTCTAAGATTGACGAGTGATACCAACAAGTTATTCATCTGACGCAGCTCTAAAAACTCAAGCAGCCATGGATGGTAAACAGTAGCTTCCCTCATACAAGAAAGGGGCTGCACCTTGCTTTTTTGCAGCAGCTTCCCATCTATAGTTCAGAAAAGAGGTAAGTGTGTATGGATCCACACTCCAAGAAATCACTAAGACTCACTCATTTCTAAGACACTGCTCTGCACCTGATGAATGAGTGCAGAAGTTGCTGCAAAAGTTACAGTCCAGAAGCAGCTGGCAAATCCTCAAAAGGAAGCCTCTGAGCACCCAGCGCTCCCATCATTCCATTTAGGAATTAATGTGTAAATGGGACATTCTGGGCAATGACGGTTTTTTCCAAACTGAGAATGAAGCCTAGGGCTTGCTCCTTCACCAGGCCACGATGGGCTGGGTCTCGTGATTGCCTTAAGAAAGGCTGTGGCCAGGTGCGGTGGTTCACACCTGTAATCCCAGCACTTTGGGAGGCCGAGGCGGGTGGATCATGAGGTCAGGAGATCGAGACCATCCTGGCTAACATGGTGAAACCCTGTCTCTACTAAACAAAATACAAAAAATTAGCCAGGCGTGGTGGCGGCCACCTGTAGTCTCAGCTACTTGGGAGGCTGAGGCAGGAGAATGGTGTGAACCCGGGAAGCGGAGCTTGCAGTGAGCCGAGATCGTGCGACTGCATTCCAGCCTGGGCGACAGAGCAAGACTCCATCTCAAAACAAACAAACAAACAAAAAAAGGATGAGTTCATGTCCTCTGCAGGGACGTGGATGAAGCTGGAAACCATCATTCTCAGCAAAACTATCACAAGGACAGAAAACCAAACACACCATGTGTTCTCACTCATAGGTGGGAGGTGAAAAATGAGAAGACATGGACACAGGGCGGGGAACATCACACACTGGGGCCGGGCGGGGGACGGGGGGCTTGGGAGGGATGGCATTAGGAGAATTACCTAATGTAAATGACGAGTTGATGGGTGCAGCAAGCCAACATGGCACATGTATACCTATGTAACAAACCTACATGTTGTGCACCTGTAACCCTAGAACTTAAAATATAATAAAAAAAAAAAGAGAGAGAGAGAAAGAAAAAACAAGGCCATCTCCTCAAAGGAGAGCAAGCTGGACTCCTGACCTCAGCACATACCTTTCAATCCAGAGCTTCTTCACCTTTCTAACAAGTTATTCCTAAATTTTACAAACTTACATTTAGCACATTTAAATATTAAAATAACTAAACTTATTTTATAATCTATAAGTTTTATTTGTATAATTTATTAATATTAAATATAATATGTATTAAGTATTGTATAATATTTATAAATTATACAAATGTAGATGGCATTATATCAATATGTGTATATGAGGGAGGCAAGTACATTTTTAATAAAACAATGGTATCTAAAATAGTTACTTCTTTCCAAGGGATCAGTATTTTTACCAATTCTGTCTTTTTTGTTGTTGTTTGAGATGGAGTCTCACTCTGTTGCCCAGGCTGGAGTGCAGTGGTGCGATCTCAGCTCACTGCAACATCTGCCTCCCGAATTCAGGTGATTCTCCTGCCTCAGCCCCCCAGTAGCTGGGATTACAAGTGTGTGCCACCATGTCCAGCTAATTTTTATATTTTTAGTAGAGATGGGGGTTTCACCATGTTGACCAGGTGGTCTCGAACTCCTGGCCTCAAGTGATCTGCCCACCTCGGCCTCCCAAAGTGCTGGGATTACAGGAATTAAGCCACCGCACCGGCCCTCAGTTCTGTCTTAAAGGGAAGAATTTACTTTGCGTTTTCCAGGAGAATAAGATTTCCCATAGACACAGAACCATGGCAGGGTAGCCACACTTCCTTCCAGAACATTCCCTGTGTTGGAGGGGGTGAGATGAGTCCATCAACAAAAGAACTACAGCAGCTGGCAACAGACCGGAACATGAATTCCGTGCTCGTGCTGCCTGAAAACACACACACACACACACACACGTGTGCACACACCCACACATCGAGTTCACTCACCAGTGCCCAGCAGGTTAAATGCCATTGTCAGTCCTAGTTTTTCGGGTGAGAAAACTGAGGCACAAACAAGTTAAATAACTTGCTAAAGGTCACAAATCTAGAAGCAAAATCAGGGTTCTGTGCCAGGCATGGTGGATCAGGCCTATAATCCCAGCACTTTGGGAGGCTAAGGTGCGAGGATCATTTGAGGTCAGCAGTTCAAGACCAGCCTGGCCAACATGGCAAAACCCCATCTCTACTAAAATTAAAAAAAAATTAACCAGGCATGGTGGCAGACACCTGTAATCCCAGCTACTCGAGAGGCTGAGGCAGGAGAATCTCTTGAACCCGGGAGGCAGAGGCTGCAGTGAGCCGAGAGTGCACCACTGCACTCCAGCCTGGGCAACAGAGTGAGACTCCATCTCAAACAAAACAAAACAAAACAAAACCCCCACAAAACAGGATCCTGGTTCCAGACGCCTCATTCTTGGCCACCAAGCTAGTTCAGAGTGAAAATGAAATATGCCCAGCTTGAAAGGAGGAGTCCACAACGTACATATTATTTCTATATTAAAACAAACAAAAAAAACAGTGCTGATACGGTTTCATAACACAGTATAAAATATGCAAACCGAGGCCAAGCACGGTGGCTCACGCCTGTAATCCCAGCACTTTGGGAGGCCAAGATGCGTGGATCACAAGGTCAGGAGTTCGAGACCAGCCTGGCCAACATGGTGAAACCCTGTCTCTACTAAAAATACAAAAAAAATTAGCTGGGCGTGGTGGCGGATGCCTGTAATCCCAGCTACTTGGGAGGCTGAGGCAGAGAATTGCTTGAACCTGGGAGGCAGAGGGTGCAGTGAGCTGAGATTGTGCCACTGCACTCCAGCCTGCGTGACGGAGTGAGACTCTGTATCAAAAAAAAAAAAAAAAAAAAAAAAAGCAAACTAAATTAGACCCTTTATAGGACTTAGGTATACACACGTGAAAAACAGTTAAATTTCACCAATACTGTAATTCCCAACCTACTGCTCTATTAACAATCAACCTTAAAAAGTCAATTAACACAGAGTCCTAAGAGGACATTATTCAGTAAGTGCTGGTTAATGCTAACAGTACAGATGAAAATTAAAACTGTATTATATTTTTAGGTGCATACTGTATTCCACATTTATTCTTGTGAACTTGAACTGTTAGTCTCAAGAATGAGTGAACAAAGCCTTTAAACTTTAACAGGTCTTTGAAAAAACAATGGCTCTGCATGTGTCTGGCTGTCCACCTGTCGGCTGTGTTGGGGCAAGGGAGTAGACAAGGTGGTTCACCAGCTGGAGGAAAGGTGACAGGACAGAGGCCTAGGTTTGCAGTCACTCCTCTCCCGCTCTAGCATGGCACCAGGTTTGTAGTCACGCTCTAGTGCATGCTTCCTCCTCGGGAGGCGCGTAAGAAGGGTCATAGAGTGTGTCAAAAGGGCTAAAATTGCCGGGCATGGTGGCTCACGCCTGTAATCCCAGCACTTTGGGAGGCCGAGGAGGGCAGATCATGAGATCAGGAGATCGAGACCATCCTGGCTAACACGGTGAAGCCCCGTCTCTACTAAAAATACAAAAAAATTAGCTGGGCATGGTGGTGGGCACCTGTATTCCCAGCTACTCAGGAGGCTGAGGCAGGAGAACGGTGTGAACCTGGGAGGCGGAGCTTGCAGTGAGCCGAGATGGCGCCACTGCACTCCAGCCTGGGCGACAGAGCGACACTCTGCCTAAAAAGAAAAGGGGGAGGGGGGGCTAGAATTTTCAGAGGCCAGCAAACTGCCCAGCTGAGAGGAAGTAGGAAAAACACAGCTGGCTGCATCCTGAGCTGCAGCTGTGAGCATGATCATCTTATCTGGGTTCACAGTCCCAGTGTCAGCTCAGGTGTTCAGAGGCGGAAGCTGGCCCAGGAAGTGTGGAGTAGAACTCTGAGCTGAACCTCTGGGAGCCCGCAGCCACTCTCTTCCCACCAGGCCAGGCAATTCTGGTGAGGCCTGAAAATGAGGATCTGCCTAAGGACAGCATTCCCAACAAGGAGAAGCTCAGGCAGGAGACCCGCGCCAGGATGCTCCTGGCAGGTACAGCCCCAGCTGCACACACCTATGCTAGTACATTCACCCTGTCAGCACCAGTCAAAATGGATGTCACTTGCTCCCTGCCAAGGACAAGACACCAGGAGAAGCCAGCCTCCTGCTCTCGGTGCCTCCCCACATGGCTTCAAGAGGATGCCTGGGACCCCTTCCCCAGGCCCATAGAGAGCCACAGAACAGAGATGGGGGGATCACACACATCAAGTCACCTGAGACGGGTCCAAATGGACACGAGGGTGCTTCCCAAGTCACAGCTTCTAGAGGGGGCTGCAGGGCCCCTGACCCCTCTGGACACCAGCATTCACACTCAAACCCCTGCCCTGTCCCACCCCTACAAGGGCTCAGGCCCAACACTTCTCCCGCGCCAAATTAAAGCCCAAATCCTGGCCCAACATCCTTGAATTCTTAATATTTTAGCTCATTTCCACGGACAAAGCAGATTTTACCACTCTTCTATGAATATATATTTAATTACCGCTCTTCAGTTGCAAGGCGTGGGTAGCCCACAAGGAAGGTCAGCCAGGGGGCCAGCTCCCTGTGCTCTGATCTCCTGCATATAGAGCTAAAGTTCCTCTCACTAGTTACTTGCTAGCTCAACCACTATCTAAGTTTGTAACATTATCTTCAATGGTTAAGCCACGGTGCTTTTTATCCAAAGTAGTAGTACGTTACTTAGAAACGACAGTCAAAATGTCAGCGTCAGTACAACACAGATCCACGTAACACCATTCGCATCATATTAGAAACCTAAATATTTGAAAATACGGAATTCACCAAATGACCTTTACTACACTCCACTGAACAAACCTGATCAATATACTGTGTCAGTGCTTTCTTACTCTGAAGACTAAAAGTCACGCCCAACAAGGAATATCCATCCTTATTCTCTAAAATCTCAAGAGCACAGATTACTCTGCTTTCCAGGCAATGCTCTCTGGTGCCAGCCCTCCAGGAGAAGGCACAGCAGGGATTAGGAAAGGTGATGTTGGGACGCAGCACTCAGACTAGCTGTCCAAAATAAACACATATTTGGCTTGTACCAGGAATGAGACGAATCCATATGCTGCCAAGTAATCGCTACTCCTCCGAATAAGAGGAGTGGGAAGGGGATTAAGCCAAAGGAAAAAAAGAGAACTCTATTCTCCCCATTTATAATTTTAAGGTAACAGTGGTCAATAATTTTAAAGGAAGTAGTTAAATTGAAGATCATGAGAAAATACAGGGGAAAACAGTGAAAGCAAAATACAAGGTTGGCTTATACTTGGAGCTTCGGGATATAAGAAATCCACCTGGGCAAATGTATATCTCATAGTAACTATAAATGCAAACACAGCCACATATGCAATATTTCTATTTTTAGGTCTTTTGCAAAACCCGTATTACAGCTAAATAAAGTAAAGCAAAGATATGGTGCTGGGCTGCACAGTGACATATCTGTTTACTGGCACAAGGTAGACAGAGCTCAGGGATGTAGATAACTAGGCAGAATCACCTTACTAACCGAAGTATTGTTGTCAAGACTAAATCCACTCCACCAAATCAAGACACTGTGCTTTCTCCATGTGGCAATTTAAATGTGTTCCAACAACCAACAGAAAAGCATTCTTTCTTTCTTGCCGCCATCATTGTATTATCCACACACCTGAAATCAGTTTTCGAGTCAAGGCTGGCTGTGCACAGGGAGAATCCGATTAAGATCATGCCCAGCCACCACTCACCATCTGGATGCCCAGAAGACAAATGGCATCGGTATCGAGAGGGGCTACATGGCGAAACACAAGCCCAGGCAGCACTACTGTGGGGCTGGCAGGCAGGAGAGCGGGAGTGGGAAGCAGGGACCTTCCACCCAGCACCTTGCAGCTGACAGGCAGAACTCTTACTACGTCTCAGGTGAGCCGGCAGAATATACCAGGATCCCAAGGTGGGGGCGGGAGGGAGGCAGGCAGGCAGGAGGACAGTCCAAAGAAACTCCAGACAAATATCTTCCTTTAAGCCTGGGAGAAAACTACCCCCTGAGAGAAGACCAGGTACAAAAATCAAATCCTAGATCCTGAAAGGACTCTAGACCTTGAAAACTAGGATGGGACTTGAAGTCCATCAATTCTACCAGCAACAACACACACAGCCCCCGTCCTAACAATCCCTCGCCAGCCCGAGTCTGGGTGCCTCCAGTGATAGGAGAAGCCAGCTTCTTCCAAAGCAGAATGGCTATGCTTGTGAGAAATTACTTCCTAATTCTGAGCCCCAATCTTTTTCCTTTAAGTTTCCTTAACCAGCGCTAGACACTGTGTCCTTTCTATGTGTTTCTCTAATACTAGGAACAAAGCCTCCATGCTCCAGTCTCCTCTTCCAAATTACACATCCAGAGTGTCTTCAATGAACTTGGCTTCCAGAGTGTTCATGAACCAGATCAGGAGAGAATAGACATCTATGAACAAATCCAAAAGAGAACAGACTCTCAGAAGGTTGGGATTCTAGTTTGGCAGCTGAAATAGCCGGAAGAGTGAGATATCCAAATATCTTGGAGCTGTCAACGAGCTGCATTGGCACCAGAGGAGCAAAAGCCAGCGCCGCGCAGGCTCACCGGCACCATAAGCGACTGCGCCCGCTCCTGAGGCGGCAGCACTTACTGTACAGGAAAGCAAGTCACAAATACGCATCCTCAAGGCCAAAACTCTGCTTTGCATATTTTCACAGAATAACTGGTTTTGCTTTTTTTTTTTTTTTTTTTTTTTTTTTTTTTTTTTTTTTTTTTTTTTTTTTGGTAAAGAGCTAATGGGGGCAGAAAGGCAGAAACTGGATAAATATTCTTCTCTCGCCTCCACCAACAGAAGTGATATCTGAGTGATTCTGATCCTGTGTAGGAGTCAGAGAGGGCAGGAGCCGCATCAGAAAGGCTGGCGGCATTGTTCACCGAGTCAATCTCAAGTGCCTGACGGTCAGCAGACCGGCTCAAAGAAACCCTCGCAATGACAGGCACAGAGAGCAAAGGGCACACAAGATTCCCTCTGACAATCGTCTCAAGCAAATGAACATCCACTCAAATGATGCACCCAAAGGCCGTACAGAGAATAAAGGAGCATTCCTGTGTGTTGACCACAACACCCGGCACACAACGTCACGTGAAATCTTGGACCTAACGATCACACCAGAAACAGATTCAAAACATTTTCACCATTCCAAACAAAGGACAGTATAGGAAAGAAACCGTCATTTTCCCTTCCACTCCCACAGACCAAAATGCACCTCATAAAAATTATCTTCATTTCTTAGATAAGGAGTCGCCGAAACAATCCCTTCACAAGCCTCTCACTGGTACACCCTGGTACTGAATGAGAGAGGAGAGGACTCTCATCTTCTGACCCAGGGAAGCGTGCTGTCTGGTAAGCTTTGAGTCTTTAGAGCTGTTAGTGATGTCACCATTAAAAATCAACTAGGAAAATGAACACAATAAAAGATGGTAAGAAAACAAAGGGCCAATAGCCATCTCTGAATTAAAACTAGCTAAATGTAATTAAAGGAGCAGCTACGTTCATGTCTTCACAGGAGAAGAGAGAACTAGCAAACGTGAATGCAAGTATCAACGATGGGAAACACAGTTCTAGGGCTATCACCAACAAGGAACAATCAACACCACAGCGGATTCTAATTTGGGCTGAATAAAACCTAAACCAAAACAATCAAGGGCAGATGGTACTTCTTTCAAAATAATGAAAAGACAATAATCTCCTCCCTTTTTGCTAATCCGTTGACCTTAATACCAATTCTGTTCTTAATCACCTGGCGACATGAGTGCAGCTGTATGCACTTTATCTCATCATGAGACTACCCTCAATAACTATAACTTTTTTTCATTATTTCACTCATTGTGACATCATTTTAAGTTAATATAATTGTTTCAAATCATTACAGGAAAACAAATTGACAATAGCCTAAAGGAGAATTCCTATCAGAAACAAAAACCATATACCGAAAATATTTTTCAAAAACAAAAACACCAAAGCTCATTGTAGAAAGAGTAACATCCTGTTTTATGTTTAGTGTTGGCATTAGTCATAAGGATCTGGGGAACAGGAATAAATTCTTAACAATTAACTATAGAAATCCCAAACACCTTGCTGGTGGAGTCACTCTTCTCTACCTGGTAAACTCCTACAGATCCTACAAGATCCAGCTCATTTGCCCCTCTGTGAGGCCTTCATTAACTCCTTCCCATTAACTCAAGAACATTCAATTCACTCCCTCTTCTAGTTCTCTCATTAGTTCCACCCATAAACATTTACTAAAATCTATGTGTCAAGCACAGTGTCTACAACTCTGCAGTACACAGAGGAATGATACGTGCTTCATGCCCAGGAAGGACTCACTAGTTAGAAGTGGCAGGCATGTATGCAAGGTTATTGTTACACAGTGGACTAGTGCTCTAATGGAGATATGCTATGCAGAGAAATAGTCATATCATCCCTCAAGTACCCCATGAGGCTGTGATTCATTCAATCTTTTCCATCTCCTCCAGTATGCTACTGACCTCTGAAGACAGGAACTGTGCTCTAGTTAGCTCCAGCTTCCACTGCCTAGTGAATGCAGAACACACCATAAACATGCAATATATGTTTGTTAATGCATTAAAAAGACAAAAACTACTAGTGCTTTATAATTGGGTCTTACAGCTCCAAACAAAAGGTATTTGTTAACTGTATAACCCAATAATTTGCTACAATGTGCCTGTCAACACTGGAGGACCTCTGGAGCAGATGTACTTTTGAACATTCCCCCTGGTGGCAGGATATTCCAGCCCAAGTCTCTTTGATGACTTATCAAAGAGAAAGATGTTAACAGGTGACCTATGCTGAAACTTGGGCTCCAACCTAAGGAAATAAACAGCAGGACACAGCCCACAGCGGTGACTTAGAAGGTTCCCTGGCTGACGTTCAGCACAGCTCTTCCTTGTACCCCAAGTACAACTGCTCTGTCTCCAGGAGAATCATTTTAGCCCTAAACAAAAATAATGAGGAGTTTCCTAAATTGCTATCTGGAGTAATTTACAAAAAGCAAGCAAACTCTAGGAATGTTCAATTGTAACAACAAAACACTGTAGATAATCAATTCTAATAACAAAAGACTAATCAGTTCAAAATGTTTCAAATGAGAAACACTGAATTACATAGTTTCCTTACTAGTGTCCTTTTCAGGCCAGGCGCGGTCGCTCAGGCTTGTAATCCCAGCACCTTGGGAGGCTGAGGCGGGTGTATCACGAGGTCAGGAGATTGAGACCACAGTGAAACCCCGTCTCTACTAAAAATACAAATAAATTAGCCGGGCGTGGTGGCGGGCACCTGTAGTCCCAGCTATTCGGAGAGGCTGAGGCAGGAGCATGGCATGAACCCGGGAGGCAGAGGTTGCAGTGAGCTGAGATCGCGCCACTGCACTCCAGCCTGGGCGACAGAGCGAGACTCTGTCTCAAAAAAAAAAAAAAAAACCAACCAACCAACCAACCAACCAACAAAAAGTGTCCTTTTCAGTAACAAATCAAATTTAAAAATCAAACTTTATCAAATTGTTTCAGTAATTTTATTTCATTTAATTGCTGTGTCCTCACGTTCTCCACTGAAGGCTGTTTGTTTTAAATGGTTTAAAAAATAAAAATATAAATGGTTTAAAAAATAAAAATAATAAAATAATAAAATAAAAAAACCACAGGTGTGGTGGCTCATGCCTGTAATCCCAGACCGAGGGGGGTGGATCAAGAGGTCAAGAGATGGAGACCATCCTGGCCAACATGGTGAAACCCTCTCTCTACTAAAAACACAAAAATTAGCTGGGTGCGGTGGCATGCGCCTCTAGTCCCAGCTACTGGGGAGGCTGAGGGAGGAGAATTGCTTGAACCTGGGAGGGGGAGGTTGCAGTGAGCTGAGATCGCTCACTGCACTCCAGCCTGGCAACAGAGTGAGACTCCATCAAAAAAAAAAAAAAAAAGTCTATCACCCTACAGTAATTGACTGATACAAATCAAGGGAATCAGAAATTAAAGAACAAAGCCACTCATAAAATGTGCTGTCAAAAATCAGTTGTAAATTACTAATTTTAAAAGCTAACCTCAGTAAGAGGTATCAATGAATCACTTTATTACTGTAATCAATCCTCCCAGACAGCAAGAGAACACTCTAAAGACACCGAATGTTCTGGATGGGCATAGCCAGTGTGGGCTTCACTCACAGCACAGCTGGTTCCAGGGCCGGCCCAGACGGCATCCACTGGGATGCAGAGAGCATGCGCTGCAAGGGGACCCCCTACAATGTCATTTATCATTTATTATTTGATCTTTCCTTGTATTAAATTATACTTGAGTCAACGGACTCTGCCCTAACACATGTGTATCAGTTAACACGAAACTGCCCTTGATCTGACACAGGGTCTTTCTGGAATGTCTGCTGGCTTGCTGCTATCAGTTGCAAGCCTTACACAGAGGGAGCAGCCCTGAACTCACCGAGGCAACTGTTCTGCATTAGAGGGAAGAACTAGGAAGAGCCTAAATAGACAAGTTCCAACAAGGACCAGACAGTACAAGAGAATCATCCTACAAAAGGTAGGTGCTCCAATCCTTTCATCCTTAATGCCTTCAGTTCAGAATACAGGCAAACCAAAGGTACACGTATGTAGGAGCCTGTGTGTGCTTTAAAATAAGACTCCAGCCATCTTGCTTCCCTGTGCTAATGGAAATACCTTGCCTAAGCAATTAACTCTAAGCCAAATAGACTAATGCAATAATTACTTAGTCTTTAGATTTCTGTAGCCAATTCAAAAATTTACTAGCTCTTTTAAAGAATATGAAAAGATTCTAACGGAAGAAAAACCTGTACCAGCTGAGGTCACTTCTAATTTCCTTTATATTTTCAAGGACTCCAAATTTTAAAACATTATGGCCAAAATGTACAGAAAGCCAGTGGTGCTTCTCATGATGCTTATCACGTTGCAGGTCTACGATAGTTTAGCTGTCAATCTGAAATCCAAAAAGGTCTGAGAATGGAACTTCTTTTCATAAATGGCTGGCAAATTACTTTGGTGGCAAAACCAGACTCTAACTGGCACGAGGCTATTTTTAATCACTATTTATTTCACTGAGTATGGATATTTCAGGCTTTGCTGCAAAATACTAGTGTGTTACTAAAGGGCGCCACCCGATCTCACAAGCAGCGTTCTATATAACACACACCATTTTACCTTCCTCAGATCCAAAATTTCCGAGTCCTACAAACCCACCTGTCCCCAGTGGTTTGGGGACTTGCATCCTATGGACATTTACAGGGAAACTGAGCTTGGGCTCTACTGTATCTGACTGTTACCTTAGAGATTCTCACCTAAATTCAAAATCTTAAACAGCACCTAAATTCTGAATAATTTATGTCACAGGAAGCAAATATGTAAAGACTGGAAAAATGTAATAAAATGAGAAGTTGTGACACCTATGGGGGCTACACCTTTTACCTGTAACAGACACTGGCATCACCAAAATCCTAAGAATATTGACATGTCAGACATTTTAGCCAAAGGCAAAGAATTTATCCAGGTGAAAGATGTAGCTTTTTTGAGCATGTGATTACTTAGAACTTCAGAAAAAAGTGAGGCCCTAGAGTTCTGACCATATGGCTATAATGTAGTTCATTAAATTTCCGTTTTTCTATACAACCCACAATGCTGGTAATATCATGTCTCAGACCAAAGTAATTCCGCCCAGAGAAGGACTGACCACAAGGAACAAACTGAGCATTACTATAAACATTCCAACACACTTCACACCCTTACTACTCCAAATCTACTATCAATCCATTTGACCAGAGAGGAACTATCCAAACTCCAAATGCTTTTAACTTGTATCAAGAGGGACCACAATGAAATGCATTCTCTCTAAATCATGTCTGTGCGTTTTTCTTTCTCTCTCTGATACAAACTTGTCTGGAACCGAGGCAGCTAATTACTGTTTTCTTCCAAGTCCACAGAGCAAAGATGCAAGCCTGCTATTAGAGAACTGAGACCTTCAGGTCTTAACTTCCTCTGAAAGCCAATGATGACAGGAGCAACTTCGTGCAAACCAATTCTTTTAACAAAATAACACGCATCATGTTCTCATATTTTAAGAGAATACATGAAGGGATGGGATAATGGTTGGAGTTAAATACAGTGCCTTCTAAAGTAAGTGCTCCAAGGGAGGTTAAAACTAGATGTGCCATGACAAGCTAAACATAAGTGTGGCAACAGTGTAGCCTCACTAGTGAAACAGGTCAGATTTTAACATTACCGCACATGCCACTGCTTGGTTTCAACCATCCTCTAGCACATTCTGAGGATCATTAGGAGCATATTAGAACATGACCATTTTATCTTCACTTTACCTTAAAAATATTTCCATAAGGACAGTCATTTATTTGCATGAGTTGGTTTTAACATAAACCCTAGGGGCAGTCAGCTGACCTGTTAAGTCCACTTGGGATGAATACCCTCTCCAGAGGTGGGTTACACAGCAGTCTGAACTGCAAATCAAAAGCCCACTCTCCAACTACCTTTATCTGTACCAGCCAAGTTAAAGAATTCAGATAAGAGGATGAATAATATTTTTTTTTTTGGTGGTAAAAATGCATGGCCTCTTGTCTGTGGCCACAATATCTTCAGGCATACAACCCCCTCCCAGGAGAATAAGGTGTAGCAATCTAGCACCACTTCCACCCCCAGAATCCCCCTCAGGGTGATGCGCAGTTGATGGAGTCTGTGTTTTGAGGTTTCTGGAGGCTCTGACCCCGAAATGCTACCAAAAGGTTAACTGATTCCTGCAGAGAATAACATATCTGGCTGGAGATCCCTCCATGCAAAGTCCCTGTCTGAGGACTTAAGGGAACACAGACCTGAGGTTTCAGAACAGGCTGCAGGGCTGCGGTTTTCCTGCCCTTTTGCTAGCCTACATTATGAGGAAACAGAATCCAGTCCCAGACTCGCTCTCCTCATTAAGATGCCACCTGGCAGGAAAGCTGTGGAGAGAGGGGCCTCCGTCCCACCCCAGGCCCCACCACTGTAGTGAGGTGTCCTTACAGCCAGCTCAATACCGAGGGCCACGGAGTCAGCTGAGTCCACATCACAACACTGACAGATGGTAGCACTAACAGGGAGACGACTCGAGGCAGGGAGGGGCGCCAGGATGAATGCCGGCTTCTCCCATCCAGGCAGCCGCACCTGTGCGGCGG